>NC_000002.12:190216890-190519921 GCF_000001405.40 Homo sapiens
AACCAGAGACCCTTTGCAGTTGCTGGGTCACCAGCAGGGGTGGTGTGGAATACAAACAGTACAGCTCTCCGCCTGCCAGGGAGAGGAATGGTGTCTTCAAAGCAAACAATGAGGAAGTGAGGGTGGAGCCAGGGATGCTTTTGCTAATGAAAGTGCCCCTCAGGAAAGGTGCCACAGGCTGTTAGCTCTTCAAACCAGCAGCTCTTGGCCCAGTGCCAGACCCAGCAGGGCCCGACCAAAGGCACCCTGGGAAGCCAGCTGGTCAGTCCCTTGCCTCCCCAAGTTCCTCCAGGGGTCAGTGGACCCTGGGGAAGTGCCTCACCTAACTCCAGCCTGTAATCCCAACACTTTCTGAGACTGAGGCAGGTGGATCACCTGAGGTCAAGAGTTCAAGACCAGCCTGGCCAACATGGTGAAACCCTGTCTCCACTAAAACTACAAAAATCAGCTGGGTGTGGTGACACATGCCTGTAATCCCAGCTACTTGGGAGGCTGAGGCAGGAGAATAGCTTGAACCCAGGAGATGGAGGTTGCAGTGAGTTGAGATCACACACTGCACTCCAGCCTGGGCGACAGAACGAGATTCTGTCTTAAAACAAAAAAACAGACTACTGGAAAAAGACCTCCTGGGTTAAGGCCATATTTAAGCAGGACTACTAACCTTTCTACTATGAAAATCAAAGACCAATTTTTTAAAAATTATACACTGGGCATATCCTCTACCCTGTCATCCCTTAGGTTAAAAAAACTTCTAACTCGAACCCTGCCTCTTGAGTTCACAGTTCACCACTTCCAGGCTGGCAACTCGGTGCTAATTAAAACCTGGAAAGAAGACATGCTCCACCCAAGCTGGGAAAGTCCGTAACAAGTGCTCCTAATCACTAAAACAGCCACATAAACAGCTGAACCGGGGTGAGCACATTACACTCGGGTCAAGAGACTGGTAAAAGAACCCCTGAAAGAAAGGGAAAAGAGTGAATAGGGAATGTATAAATCACCTAAGAAACCCTTAAAGCTAACTCTAAGGAAAACCTAAAGGAAGCTATGAGCAGGCTCCGTCATTGGGGGTGGATACGGTTAGGATTAATCCTAACACAAGGGGTAAAAGGAAACCCTATTGGATAGGGCCCAGTACTAGGGGTGGAAAGTAGGAAATATCTAATCAAACTAATAGTCAACATAACTAAAACCTCCACCCCCACCCCCCAAACTATAAAATTTAATGCCTGCCAAGTCTTACCTTGTGGGAATTTACGGAACCAAAGGCAGTTGTCACAAGCAGACAAATATCTATGTCCTAAAACAGACCGTTATTGGGCCCTCTCAAAAAAATCTCTGTGCTAGCTGGAATCAGGTCTGGTGGACCACACCATATCAAGGCCAGCTGAGTCATTCTTCTGAAAACCAACCGTTAAAAAATAAAATATAAGGGCCCCATGCTACCTAACTGTAAAAATTTAAAATGCAATCCTATATTAATTACCATAAACAACCCAGCTACTCTAGACCAGGAACCCTGGAGGTATACATTAGGAATAATTATCTCAGGAAGGGATTCCATGGGACAGTTAGCTCTTAGGCAAATCACCAATTCCACCCCCAAGCCCACCCAGAATTACTAGAACTCCTGGTCTTACTACTTCCTTTAACCCACCAGACAATGACCCTTAAGACACTAACTTTAAGGCAAACTAAAAATTAAAAATATGGGGATGTAACTGCCTGGGTTGAATGGGTCAAATTTTCAGTACTAGCTCTTAATAGAAGCAACAGTTACGCATGCTCTGCTGGGCGGCCTCAAGCACTGGTAGCTGCGTTTCCCCTAAAATGGGATACCAATCCCAGAGGAATGCATTGCATGTTGGCTCTATACCAGGACAGGGATGCATGGGGAAATGAGACTTGCAAAAGTTTATTATTGCTCTTTCCCACCTTGCAAAGGTCAAATCCTAGAGCGATCCCTTCTTTCTCCATAGGGAATATAAACCACTCCTCTTGCCTCTCTAGACAGGGGACAGAGTTCAGTAAGCCCGTGGGAAAACTCTCAACTTGTACCCACATCCTAAACGTTACTGGTAAGTCAAACAAAGGCAACTACTCAGCTCTTCATATACCCCAGGCTAATGTCTGGTGGTATTATGGGAAAGGGAACCTCCGTAACCTGTTACCGTCCAACTGGACTGGGACTTGTGCCTTAGTTCACTTGGCCATTCCATTCACCTTGGCATTCCAGAAGATCTCCAAGAATCCACATGGCCCTGAAGTTGGAGAAATCTAACAAATTCTTTTAATTCTAACACTTATATTAACTCAATAGAAGTCCCTAAAGGAGGACCTAATAAATTTAAGAACTAAAGGACACAAAAATAAATGCAGAAATGGAACAAATAGTAGTAGAAAGAAAAAAAGGAGAGAATTGAAGGAAATAACGTATACCATGGTTCATTTCCAAAACAAAGTGCCCTGAATCGGCTTAGGTCAGCAAACCACAGAAAAAACAGGATATACTAGGCCCCTGTTTGGATAGCTGATGCCGCTTGTTGGCCTCCACTTTCTCCACCACTTAGTTTCTCTCACCCGAACCAAAGAATTTGAGTCTAAAATAAAAGTTTATTAGTCTGCAAAATAGCTCACTTTGTTTGTTCTTATCGGCCTGCCCAGCAACTTAGGTCATAAGTCAAATACTTGAAGAGCCCCTGAGCTAACTAGGATTGCAGTGCATTGTGGGCTGCAACAAAATGCAGCAAGACAACCCTAAAAACACACCTAAAGCCCTGCCTAACAATCAATAGGTGATGGGACCTACAATACTCAGCCTATAAGGAACCGGGGGAGGGTCCTGCACACTAAGGGATAAATTGCTTGTTAAAACCATGCTGGGTGTGCCTGCATGCCAGACACTCAATCTTGCAAGACTGTCATTAAAAGTCTCGCTTTCGCTATTGTCCAGGTCTGAGTCCATTCTGTGGGTTTGGATGGACAGAGGACATTTTATTTTACAATGTAAAGAAGATGAAGGAGTAGAAATACAGTAGCTCTTTCCTACTCTGTGACTCCAGAGAAGTGTCTTAACTATAGTCTTCACCTAAAAATAAATCTACTCACCTTGGAAAGAGAGAAGACAATTCAAGATTACGTACAGCACTTGTTTACAGCATTTAAGTATTTAATAAAATAAGAATTACAGATCTGACTTGTTGGCTATAATGCTATGCCACTCCTTTTGAAATTAAAGGTGCTATCACTAGTTCCAAGATGTATCTATGATCGTGACTTCAACAGCTGCTGCAAGAGGTCATTACATGCTGTGTACATCTGATGCCTGTGCTTTCCTTTATAATCACAACAGATACTTTTCAAGTTTATTGTTGAATAACTATTTCAAAGGTTTAGACTTTACCTGAGTTCAAGAATTCCCTACTTCAAGATTCTGTGTTCTCTGTAGCATCCTTAATTCTGGCAACCAGATTCAAGGAACAGAGTAAATGGATAGAACAGTATCTTACACAGCAGTTGCCAGAGCTTTGAACAGATGACTTCGGTACAGGAAAAGTTCAAGGAAAATCAGTATCCTACCTACAGTCACGGTGCTGCTGAAGAGAAAAGATGAGAAGGAAAGAAAAATGATTAAGGGCACTGATAAAACTGGTTCTTCATGGGAACTCATTCTTTGCCCTAGGTGCTTTATGAACATTCTCCCATTTAATGCCCCCGATTACAGGGTACTCCACTGGCCTTTCTGGTTACAGGGCATCCAAGGCAGTCTGCATACTGTGCTAACAGGCCCCACCCTTTCCGTAGGCAAGCAGAAGACACTGAGTCCATTTTGCTGACAAAATCACTAGTTTTCTTTAGCAGGGAACAGTACCATCTATTACCTTAGGTGAAAACCTGGAAGAACTTCATTGACAATGCTAAAAGGTGTGTATAAGGGAGTGACATGACCACTTTCTGGCTTCATATGCAAGGTCAATGAAGCTCCAATTCCCTAACAGTGCTGCCAGGTGCAAGCACACAATTGTTCCTCAGCACTACCATTATGGTTTACTGCTTATGGTTTCCATTTCTTGGTTTGGCACTTTCTATGTAACCTGGATTTCTCAAAACACAGAAATCTACCTTTTGCTATATTTCCTCAGTTGGTTATCAATTAATTTTATAAGAAAGGCCGCACAGGACCCGTTTATCTGTGCTTGTTTCATACACACACAAACACACACAAATAGGAAGAAAACTTTATTTAAAAAGTTCTGTTGGTTCAGAGATTTCATAAAATTCTAATTAAGAATCCTTGCAGTTTCTAACAACTCTTAGTATGCTGGCAATCTAGCACAGAGTCTTCGGGTTTGGACTCTACCGTCAGAGAGTGCTGGGTTAGAATCCTAGGCTTCACCACCTTCTAGATGACTGACCATAGTATCCTCATTTGTAAAACAGGCATAATAATACTGCCAACCTCGTAAAAATGATATGGCAGTGCATGATGGTGCACTGAAACCAGGCAAAACAGGTACAAGAAGAAATATTTATTAAACACATTTCCCTTAGCTTTCATGAGGATACTTTAACATGTTTAATCACAATCTGGGAAAGGGCATGGCAGCATACAAATTTTACAGATGAGGAAACCTGGCTCTGATACTGATAGGGACAGGAGGCACAGAAATTCCGGGAAGAGGGTGGGTCCCCCAGTAAGGGCCCCACCCTCAAGCGTGAAACCACGGTCCAAAGTGAGAACACACATTCCTGTTTTCCTGCTCGAATGTTGCCTTTTCCAGAATCACCCTTGGCCTGCCCCACCCCCCATCCAGTGCCCATAAAAACCTCACCCAGCAGAGAGAGGAGGAGAAGTAGCAAGACGACGGAGACTACGGTTGGACATTGGAGAGAGGCAGCTTGACTTCAGAGGGATGGCTTGACAGCAATGCTTTGGAGAGGAATCTGGCCAGGGATGGCCAGACTCCAGGGGAAGATTGTCTTCCCACTCCATTCCCTTTACAGCTCCCCTTCCTTGAGAGCCACTTTCATCAACAATAAAATCTCCTGCATTTAACATCTCCAATATGTTCATGAGACCTCATTCCCCCTGGATGTCGGACAAGAACTCACTCAGGTGAAGGTGCAAAAGTCTGGCACACTGACCCTCCACTGAGCTGCTAACACGTAAGCCATCAGCAGATGGCAAAGCTAAAAAAGCACTGACTGTAACACTCTTTCTGGGCTTCAGGGGTCATAGGCACCCCCTAGACGCTGCTGCTGGGCTGCACAGAGTTTTGCTCCCGTCAGTGCCCAAAAGCCCTCAACCCAGCTTCTGCACTCACTCACTTGTGTTCCCCACCTCCTGTGAGGGGTGGAAAGTAGCAGGACCAAGCAAATGGAGTCTGTCCCTGCTGGCACAGAAACGGCCGGCTAGTCCTAGCACCTGTGCACTACAGTTACTGCCCATGAAGGTGTCAGGGAAAATTTCCTGCTTCCATATGAATTTGTCTAAGGTTCAAGAATGTCAAAGGCTGAAGAAGTCAAAAAGGAGGAAAAAAAAAAAACCCAAGAAGAGAACATTGCATCAAGTAATAATTAGAAGTGAATATCTCAAAAAAGACATTTATGCAGCCAACAAGCATATGAAAAAATGCTCATCATCACTGGTCATTAGAGAAATACAAATCAAAACCATAATGAGATACCATTTCACGCCAGTCAGAATGGCGATCATTAAAAAGTCAGGAAAAAACAGATCCTGGAGAGGCTGTGGAAAAATAGGAACGCTTTTACACTGTTGGTGGGACTGTAAACTAGTTCAACCATTGTGGAAGACAGTGTGGTGATTCTTCAAGGATCTAGAACTAGAAATACCATTTGACCCAGCAATCCCATTACTGGGTATATACCCAAAGGATTATAAATCATTCTACGAGAAAGACACATGCACACGTATGTTTATTGCAGCACTATGCAAAATAGCAAAGACTTGGAACCAATCCAAATGTCCATCAATGACAGACTGGATTAAGAAAATGTGGCACATATACACCATGGAATACTATGCAGCCATAAAAAAGGATAAGTTCATGTCTTTTGCAAGGACATGGATGAAGCTGGAAACCATCATTCTCAGCAAACTATCACAAGATCAGAAAACCAAACACCACATGTTCTCACTCATAAGTGGGAGTTGAACAATAAGAACACATGGACACAGGGAGGGGAACATCACACACTGAGACCTGTTGGGAGTTGGGGGTTAGGGGAGGGATAACATTAGGAGAAATACCTAATGTACGTGACAGGTTGATGGGTGCAGCAAACCACCAGGGCACATGTATACCTATGTAATAAAACTGCACGTTCCGCACATGTAACCCAGAACTTAAAGTATAATAAAAAAATAAATAAGAGACAGGGTCTTGCTATGTTGCCCAGGCTGGCCTCAAACTCCAGGGCTCAAGGGATCCTCCCACCTCAGCCTCCTGAGTATATGGTACTACATGCATGCCACCATGCCCTATTAAGTAACTCCTTTTTTTCACCACTATTTCCTTAGCTCCAAGAACAATGCCTGATAAGTGGTAGTCACTCAAATATTACTGAGTCAGGATGGTAGGCGTGAAGAAAAACAGAGTCAAGGAAAGGCTTTGTGATTTGTTTACAAAAGCTTTCTGAAAATAATGGTAGAAGAAAATGTGCCAATAACCCAAGAAGGCAAAATTGAAGAAACTCAAAGAGGGAGAAAATTAATATAATTAGTTCTTAGAGGAGGCAGGAAAGGATAGAATGAGAGCATGGAAAGGGCTATTGCCCTTGGCAAGGAAGTGAGGAACATGTTAGAGAAAATCAAAGAAGGGAAGATAAAGAAAGCTAAAGGAGCTCATGTAATATACCTTCAATTGTTAAAAAGAGAACACAGAAGATGGCCGAATAGGAACAGCTCCAGTCTACAGCTCCCAGAGTGAGCAATGTGGAAGATGGGTGATTTCTGTATTTCCAACTGAGGTACCACGTTCATCTCACTGGGGCTTGTCAGACAGTGGGTGCAGTCCACAGAATATGAGCCAAAGCAGGGCGGGGGATCGCCTCACCTGAGAAGCAAAAGGGGTCGGGGAATTCCCTTTCCTGGCCAAGGGAAACCGTGACAGACGGTACCTGGAAAATCAGGACACTCCCACCCTAACACTGCACTTTTCCAACGGTCTTAGCAAACGGCACACCAGGAGATTATATCCTGCACCTGGCTCAGAGGGTCCCATGCCCACGGAGCCTCACTCACTGCTAGCACAGCAGTCTGAGATCGAACTACAAGGAGGCAGCGAGGCTGGGGAAGGGGCGTCGGCCATTGCTGATGCTTGAGTACGTAAACAAAGCAGCAGGGAAGCTTGAACTGGGTGGAGCCCACCGCAGATCAAGGACGCCTGCCTGCCTCTGTAGACTCCACCTCTGGGGTCAGGGCTTAGCAAATTGGATAAAGAGTCAAGACTCATCAGTGTGCTGTATTCAGGAGACCCATCTCATGTGCAGAGACACACACAGGCTTAAAATAAAGGGATGGAGGAAGATCTACCAAGCAAATGGAAAACAAAAAAAAGCAGGGGTTGCAATCCTAGTCTCTGATAAAACAGACTTTAAACCAACAAAGATCAAAAGAGACAAAGAAGGCCATTACATAATGGTAAAGGGATCAATTCAACAAGAAGAGCTAACTATCCTAAATATATATGCACCCAATACAGGAGCACCCAGATTAATAAAGCAAGTCCTTACAGACCTGCAAAGAGACTCAGACTCCCACACAATAATAATGGGAGACTTCAACACCACACTGTCAACATTAGGCAGATCAACGAGACAGAAAGATAACAAGGATATCAAGGACTTGAACTCAGCTCTGCACCAAGTGGACCTAACAGACATCTACAGAACTCTCCACCCCAAATCAACAGAATATACATTCTTCTCAGCACCACATCAGTTATTCCAAAAGTGACCACAAAGTTGCACTCCTCAGCAAATGTAAAAGAACAGAAATTGTAACAGTCTCTCAGACCACAGTGCAATCAAACTAGAACTCAGGATTAAGAAACTCACTCAAAATCGCTCAACTACTTGGAAACAGAACAACTTGCTCCTGAATGACTACTAGGTACATAACGAAATGAAGGCAGAAATAAGATGTTCTTTGAAACCAGTGAGAACAAAGACACAACATACCAGAATCTCTGGGACACACTTAAAGCAGTGTGTAGAGGGAAATTTATAGAACTAAATGCCCACAAGAGAAAGAAGGAAAGATCTAAAATTGACACCCTAACATCACAATTAAAAGAACTAGAGAAGCAAGAACAAACACATTCAAAAGCTACCAGAAGGCAAGAAATAACTAAGATCAGAGCAGAACTGAAGGAAATAGAGACACAAAAAACCCTTCAAAATATCAATGAATCCAGGACCTGGTTTTTTGAAAAGATCAACAAAATTGATAGACAGCTAGCAAGACTAATAAAGAAGAAAAGATTAAAGAATCAAATAGACGCAATAAAAAATGATAAAGGGGATATCACCACCGATCCCACAGAAATACAAACTACCATCAGAGAATACTATAAACACCTCTACACAAATAATCTAGAAAATCTAGAAGAAATGGATAAATTCCTGGACACATATACCCTCCCAAGACTAAACCAGGAAGAAGTTAAGTCCTTGAATAGACCAATAACAGGCTCTGAAATTGAGGCAATAATTAATAGCCCACCAACCGAAAAAACTCCAGGACCAGACGGATTCATAGCCGAATTCTACCAGAGGTACAAAGAGGAGCTGGTACCATTCCTTCTGAAACGATTCCAATCAACAGAAAAAGAGGGAATCCTCCCTAACTCATTTTATGAGGCCAGCATCATCCTGATACCAAAGCCTGGTAGAGACACCACAAAAAAAGGGAATTTTAGACCAATATCCCTGATGAACATTGATGCAAAAATCCTCAATAAAATACTGGCAAACTGAATCCAGCAGCACATCAAAAAGCTTATCCACCATGATCAAGTTGGCTTCATCCCTGGGATGCAAGGCTGGTTCAACATACACAAATCAATAAACGTAACAGACCCAAGGACAAAAACCACATGATTATCTAAATAGATGCAGAAAAGGGCTTCAACAAAATTCAATAGCCCTCCATGCTAAAAACTCTCGATAAACTAGGTATTGATGCGACGTATCTCAAAATAATCAGAGCTATTTATGACAAACCCACAGCCATTATCATACTGAATGGGCAAAAACTGGAAGCATTCCCTTATGTAAACTGGCACAAGACAGGGATGCCCTCTCTCACCACTCCTATTCAACATAGTGTTGGAAGTTCTGGCCAGAGCAATCAGGCAGGAGAAAGAAATAAAGGTATTCAATTAGAAAAAGAGGAAGTCAGGCCAGGTGCGGTGGCTCACGCCTGTAATCCCAGCACTTTGGGAGGTCGAGGCGGGCAGATCACCTGAGGTCAGGAGTTCGAGACCAGCCTGACCAACATGGAGAAACACCATCTCTACTAAAAATACAAAATTAGCCGGGCATGGTGGCACATGCCTATAATCCCAGCTACTAGGGAGGCTGAGGCAGGAGAATCGCTTGAACCTGGGAGGTGGAGGTTGCAGTGAGCCGAGATTGTGCCACCGCACTCCAGCCTGGGCAACAAGAGTGAAACTCCGTCTCAAAAAAAAAAAAAAAAAAAAAAAAAAAAGAGGAAGTCAAATTGTCCCTGTTTGCAGATGACATGATTGTATATTTAGAAAACCCCATCATCTCAGCCCCAAATCTCCTTAAGCTGATAAGCAACTTCAGCAAAGTCTCCGGATACAAAAATCAATGTGCAAATATCACACGCATTCCTATACACCATTAACAGACAAACAGAGGGCCAAATCATGAGTGAACTCCCATTCACAATAGCTTCAAAGAGAATAAAATACCTAAAATCCAACTTACAAGGGATGTGAAGGACCTCTTCAAGGAGAACTACAAACCACTGCTCAACGAAATAAAAGAGGATACAAACAAATGGAAGAACATTCCATGCTCATGGATGGGAAGAATCAATATCATGAAAATGGCCATACTGCCCAAGGTAATTTATAGATTCAATGCCATCCCCATCAAGCTACCAATGACTTTCTTCACAGAATTGGAAAAAACTACTTTAAAGTTCATATGGAACCAAAAAAGAGCCCACATTGCCAAGTCAATCCTAAGCCAAAAGAACAAAGCTGGAGGCATCACACTACCTGACTTCAAACTATACTACAAGGCTACAGTAACCCAAACAGCATGGTACTGGTACCAAAACAGAGATATAGACCAATGGAACAGAACAGAGCCCTCAGAAATAATACCACACATCTACAACCTTGACAAACGTGACAAAAAGAAGAAATGGGGAAATGATTCCCTATTTAATAAATGGTGCTGGGAAAACTGGCTAGCCATATGTAGAAAGCTGAAACTGGATCCCTTCCTTACACCTTATACAAAAATTAATTCAAGATGGATTAAAGACTTAAATGTTAGACCTAAAACCATAAAAACCCTAGAAGAAAACCTAGGCAATACCATTCAGGCCATAGGCATGGGCAAGGACTTCATGACTAAATCACCAAAAACAATGGCAACAAAAGCCAAAATTGACAAATGGGATCTAATTAAACAGCAAAAGAAACTACCATCGGAGTGAACAGGCAACCTACAGAATGGGAGAGAATTTTTACAATCTACCCATCTGACAAAGGGCTAATATCCAGAATCTACAAAGAACCTAAACAAATTTACAAGAAAAAAAATCAAACAACCCCATCAAAAAGTGGGCAAAGGATATGAACAGCCACTTCTCAAAAGAAGACATTTATGCAGCCAACAGACACATGAAAAAATGCTCATCATTGGCCATCAGAGAAATGTAAATCAAAACCACAATGAGATACCAACTCATACCAGTTAGAACGACGATCATTAAAAAGTCAGGAAACGACAGGTGCTGAAGAGGAAGAGAAACAGGAACACTTTTACATTGTTTGTGGGACTGTAAACTAGTTCAACCATTGTGGAAGACAGTGTGGCAATTCCTCAAGGATCTAGAACTAGAAATACCATTTGACCCAGCCATCCCATTACCGAGTATGTACCCAAAGGAGTATAAATCATGCTGCCATAAAGACACATGCACACATATGTTTATTGTGGCACTATTCACAATAGCAAAGACTTGGAACCAACCCAAATGTCCAACAATGATAGACTGGATTAAGAAAATGTGGCACATATATACCATGGAATACTATGCAGCCATAAAAAAGGATGAGTTCATGTCCTTTGTAGGGACATGGATGAAGCTGGAAATCATCATTCTCAGCAAATTATCGCAAGGACAGAAAACCAAATACCACATGTTCTCACTCATAGGTGGGAATTGAACAATGAGAACATTTGGACACAGAGCGGGGAACACCACACACCAGGGACTGTTGTGGGGTGGGGGGAGGGGGGAGGGATAGCATTAGGAGATATACCTAATGTAAATGATGAGTTAATGGGTGCAGCACAGCAACATGGCACATATACAAAAGTAACAAAGCTACAGGTTGTGCACATGTACCCTAGAACTTAAAGTATAATTAAAAAAAAAGAGAGAGAGAGAACACAGACTGTTCTAGAAAATTTGATAAATTATTGGGACTTGGATCTTTAGCTATGCAAGAAATGTGTATTGATATAATTTTGTACCCATACAACCTAGTGAACACATTTCTACTTCTTATGGAACACTGGTAAGTGGCTCAACCCATTTATCTGACCCTTTAAAGATTTGTTTAAAGATTAGGGGGAAGGAAAATCAGTTGTCTCCTATTGTCAAAGAGACAACTTCTTTTCTCCTTTATCAAACAATTCATATTCTCATTTCAATTCAAAAATATTGCTGAGCACCTACAATGCACTACAGGGGAGACAATAACAAAGAGGACGTGATTCTTGCACTTAAAGAGCATTATCAGAATTATAATCACTGCCCTTTGGGTAACACCCCAAAGAACCCTTCTTTTGACAAGTTTTATCTAGACATGGGAAATTTCTAACAAAAGGAAAACTCAGGATATTGCCTTTGCCACTCCCTTCAAAAGTCTCCCAGAACACCCAATAATATACAGTGTGACATGCCTACTGTATGGGGTATGCAAAGGTAGAGGCTATATCCTGAGATTTCCTATGTATCTCCTATTGGTTCTATTTCTCTGGAGAACCCTAATACAGAACTCTAACTGTTTGGAATTCATGTATATTTAGATCACTTTACTTTTAAAAAATGCATTAAAAACAGAACTGATATTGACTTCCATTAAGTACAGAGTAGAGACAATGAACAGCAAATGAGGGATTAAGAGCCTAATTAAAGAAAACAAATTGGCTTATCTCCTATCCAACTCAAAGGAATGCTTAAAGGTGTAGGAAGAATATACATGGGTGTAATTTTGCTCTCCTCTGAATAAAGGCTGTAGCATATTTCCAATCTGCTAACATGCTGTGAGATAAACTTTCTAATCCTTCAATTCAGAAACCAAATTCACTATTTCTAAAAACTTTCTTTGAACTGCTAAAAATACCATCAAGAAAAAAGTGTAAGCAAGCCACAGATGGCAACCAATGAAGTAATATTCAATGTTCTTTCCACATTACAGAGGTCAGAGGGGAGGATAAAGCATTTGTTCATATTATAGTACAGAAATAATATGAATTGCAAATTTTTTTAAACACTTGCAAGGCACAAGAGAAATAAATCAGTGCAAAACAGGTCAAAACATACACTACCTGAAAGCATTTTCAGCAGAAACAATGTTTTCTACAAGGGCAAATAGTGCACAGAAAATAAAACTAAACTAAGAGACACTACTATTAGAAGCATCTTATATGGCTGGATTTTTTTTTTTTAAGGAAAATCTAAAACAGTCTATCTAATCACTTTTTTAACAAGTCCGTAAAAACGTAACAGTTAAATTGACAGGTAGCAAAAGTCCAAAATAATGAATTTCTATTCTGCATTATGGTTGGTTACTGTAGAGAGCTTGTAATGAAATCTCTCATATATGCCTGCTCACAATCTTCTGAATACCTTCTGCACATTTTAATAGTTGCCTCTGTTGTAAGCTCCCCATTCTAATCAGTAAAATTAAAGGGTTTCTGTTTGGGTCCCCTACACTTTTGTAAGCTGTCTGTGCTGTCTGTGCCCCTTAATAAAACATTTTCTGCTTAAGAGTACCTGGTGTGAACTCTCTTTTCTACAACTAAGAATTCTGACCAATAAAGAGCCTGAAAATATAAAGATGGAAAAATAAAGTAAATGGGGATGGTGGGTGGAAGAGAGAGAGAAAAAAAACAGTAGTAGTAAAAAAGGAATCATTACAGGTACCACAGACATCAAAAGATATTACGAACAACATTTCCAATAAATCTGACAACTTAAATAAAAGTCACGTATTCTTTATTAAAGAAATATAATCTTGGCTCACGCCTGTAATCCCAGCACTTTGGGAGGCCAAGGCGGGCAGATCACAAGATCAGGAGTTCGAAACCAGCCTGGCCAATAAGGTGAAACCCCGTCTCTACTAAAAATACAAAAATTAGCTGGGTGTGGTGGCGCGTGCCTATATTCCCAGATACTAGGGAGGCTGAGGCAGAAGAATCGCTTGAACCCAGGAGGTGGAGGCTGCAGTGAGCCAAGATCGTGCCGCTGCACTCCAGCCTGGGCGAGAGAGCAAGACTCAGTCTCAAAAAAAGAAATATAATCTATAAATTACAAACCTTCTCACAAAGGAAACTTCAGTCCCAGATGGCTTTACTAATAAAATTTGTATCTTAAATTTATATAAACTTTTCCAGAGAACAGGGAAAACAGGAAACCTTTCCTACTTTGTTGTATGAGTCTAGCATAACCTTATTACTAAAACTTGACATGACAATTACAAGAAAAATTATAGACCAATCTCTCATAAACATAATGCAAAAATCCTAAACATACTAGCAAATCAAATCCAACAATATGTAAAACACGTATCACGAAAAAATAAGGCTTCTTCCAGAAATACATAATTAGTTCTTTCAAAAGCCATTGTCCCAGAAACAGACTCCCATCTATCTACAATGTCATTTGATTTTTGACAAAAGACACCAATGCAATCCAATGGGGAAGAAAGAAGTCTTTTCAACAAACTGTGCTGGAACAATTATATAATAATGTGGGAAAAAATTAACCTGGACTTCTATATTTTACACTACGCACAAAAAATTAATGTGAGATAGATCTAGACCTAAACAAAAAAGCAGTAACTAGAAATCTTCCAGAAGAAAGCACAGGAAGATATTCTGCAAGTAGCTGAAGTTTTCTTAGGACACAGAAATCAATACTGATAAAAGAGAAAAAGATAAATCAGACTTCCTCAAAATTAAAAACATTTGATCATCAAAAATTACTGTAATTTACATTAATAAAGGGCAAAAATCATATGATCATCTCAATAGACGCAGCAAAATAAGCATGATAAAATCCAACTCTCATTCAAAACAGTAATTACCGAAAAAGCTCTTTACCAACTAGGCACAGAATGAACTTCTTCACACTGACAAAGAATATCCACAGAAAACCTACAAAACTCAACATTTTTAATGTTCTTAAAAGCTTTCCCCTTAAGACTGGGAATAAGACAAAGATAGCTATCATCACCTCTACTGAACATTTTGCTGGCAGTGCTAGCCAGTATAGGAAGCTGGTGAGAAGGGAGAAATAAAGGGGGTATGAGACGGAGGAAGGAAGGGAGAGAGGGAGAGGAGAAGAAAAGGAGAAGAAGGAATAAAGGAAGAAGGAAATATGACATTATGTATACAAATGATGAAAATTCAACCTAATCTGCAAACCATAAATAACTCACTTAAAAAAAAAGTGAGTTTAGCAAAATCATTAGGTATAAGGTCAAAACATAAAACTTAATTTCAGGGCAGCATGGTGGCTTACACATGTAATCCTAACACTTTGGGAGGCCAAGGTGTGTGGATCACCTGAGGTCAAGAGTTCAAGACCAGCCTGACCAACATGGTGAAACCCAGTCTACTAAAAACTACAAAAATTAGCTGGGCATGGTGGCGGGTGCCTGTAATCCCAGCTACTTGGGAGGCTGAGGCAGGAGAATCCTTTAAACCCAGGAGGTGGAGTTTGCAGTGAACTGAGACTGTGCCACTGCACTCCAGCCCGGGCAACAGAGCAAGACTCCATCTCAAAAAAATTTTTTTTAATTTCAATTTTATTTCTATATATCAAAAAATAGAAAATTAAATTTTAAAATGACACCATTTAAACATACATCAAAAAACACCAAATATCTAGGGATAAATCCAATGAAATATATGCAAGCATAAGTCTTCCACAAAGAAGATTCAACACCTACTTCCCTTTTGGCAGTCTGGAATTGAGGTATGTGCTAAGCAGAGTGCCTACACTACCAGTCCCCAATAAAAGTCCTGTGTGCCAAGTCTCTAATGCACTTCACAAGATCTCAACTAGTTGCTGGAGGTGCAAGTACCCACTGGAAGAGGACTCTTAGGCGCTTACACCTGGTTTCCTCCAGATTCCACCATCTGTGCTTTTCCCTTTGCTGATTCTGGTTTGTATTCTTTTGCTACAAGAGTACAACTATACGTTGGTGCAGAAGCAATTGTAGTTTTTGCCATTACTTTTATGACAAAAAACATAATAATAGAGGCCGGGCATGGTGGCTCACGCCTGTAATCCCAGCACTTTGGGAGGCCGAGGCAGGTGGATCCCGAGGTCAGGAGATCGAGACCACCCTGGCTAACATGGTGAAAACCCATCTCTACTAAAAGTACAAAAAATTAGCCAGGTGTGGTGGCGGGCACCTGTAGTCCCAGCTACTCGGGAGGCTGAGGCAGGAGAATGGCGTGAACCCGGGAGGCGGAGCTTGCAGTGAGCCGAGATCATGCCACTGCACTCCAGCCTGGGTGACAGAGCAAGACTCTATCTCAAAAAAAATAAATAAATAACAAAAAACAAAATGTAATAATATATATATGCTGAGTCCTGTGAGTCCTTCTAGTGGGTTGCCAAACTCAGGAGTGATCTTGGGGACCCTTGACACAGAGGGCAATGAACCATTGCCTTTTAGCTTCCAATATTGTTGAGAAACCTGAAGCCTTCATATGTAACATGTTTTATTCCTTAAAAACTTGGAGGAACAGTGATTTCTTAAACAGGATATAAAAGAACTATAAAGGAAAAAAGGATAAGCTGGATTACATTAAAATTAACATTTTCTGCTCATCATATGACACCACTGAGAGAGAAAAGGCAAGTCACAGAAAAGAAGATGATATGGTTTGGCTGTGGTCCCCACCCAAATCACATCTTAAATTCCCACGTGTTGTGAGACAGACCCAGTGAAAGGTAATTGAATCACATGGGCAGATCTTTCCCATGCCGTTCTCATGATAGTGAATAAGTCTCACAAGATCTGATGGTTTTATAAAAAGGAGTTTCCCTGCACAAGCTCCCTCTTCCACATGACTTGCTCCTCCTTGCCTTCTGCCATAATTTTGAGGCCTCCCCAGCCTCAATGAAATATAAGTCCATTAAATCTCTTTCTTTTGTAAATTGCCTGGTCTGGGGTACATCTTTATCAGCAGTGTGAAAAGAGATGAATACAGAGGATAATATATGCAATATGTATTATCAGACAAAGGATTTACATCCAGGAGGATTCCTACAAATTAATCATAAAGATTTAACAGGAACTTCATAAGAAAGACTACCCACATGGACGATAAATATATGAAATGGTGCTCAACTTCATTAATCAACATGGAAATGCAAATTAAAACCGTAATGTCATGCTATTTTATATATCCCAGAAAGATTAAAATGAAAAAGACAATATCAAATGTTGGGCTGGGTATGGTGGGTCACGCCTGTAATCCCAGCACTTTGGGAGGCCAAGGCAGGTGGATCACATGAGGTCAGGAATTAGAGACCAGCCTGGCCAAGATGGTGAAACCCCATCTCTACTAAAAATGCAAAATTAGCCAGGAGTGGTGGCACATGCCTGTAATCCCAGATACTTGGGAGGCTGAGACAGGAGAATAGCTTAAACCTGGGAGGTGGAGCTTGGAGTGAGCTGAGATTGTGCCACTGCACTCTAGCCTGGGCAACAAGAGTGAAACTCCATCTCAAAAACACCACCACCACCACCAAAATGCGGGTGAGAATGCGGAGCAACTAGTACTTGAATGTAAACTGATACAACTATATTAGAAAATTATTTAACAGTAACTACTGAAGATGAATATACACCTACCTGATGATTTTATAGCACTACTTCTGGGTATATAACCCATAGAAATGTGTGTCTATGTTATCACAAGGCCAAAACTGTTTACAGCAGAATTATTTCTAACAGTAAAATCCTGCAAATAACTTCAAATGTCCAACAGTAGAAATGAATAAGTGAACTGCAATACATCAAACAATGGAGCATCTTAGAATGAACAAACTACTGTCATGTAAGTACAATCTGGATGAATCTCACAAATATAGTGCTGAGCAAAAGAAACTAGACACAAAATGATACAATTTCATTTATATAAAATTCAAACAATCACACCTGTAATCCCAGCACTTTGGGAGGCCAAGGCGGGTGGATCAACTGAGGTCAGGAGTTCAAGACCAGCCTGACTAATATGGTGAAACCCCATCTCTACTAAAAAATATAAAAATTAGCAGGTATGGTGGCGGGCACCTGTAATCCCAGTTACTCGGGAGGCTGAGGCAGGAGAATTGCTTCAACTTGGGAGGTGGAGGCTGCAGTGAGCCAAGATCACTCCAGCCTGGGTGACAGAGCAAGACTCTAAAAAAAAAAAAACCTCAAACAAAACGTATGGTGTGAGAAGCCAGTATAATGGTTATGTATTCTGGAGAAGAGGTAGTGAGTAGGAGGGCACACAAGTAAGACATCTGGGGCACTCTGTAAATGTTTCTTTGTGGCAGACTGCCACAATTACTACTTGAGACCTTCACTACAACTGTTACTACTTGAGACTGTCATTACGAGACTGAGTGAAGGGGGATGAACTAGAAATGAAAACTTAAGACAAAAGTAACTGTTTTAAAGGAAGGGGCCAGGGGAAGAAGAAGAGGGCTCCCTGCTTCTAGTGAGCAAAGGCAGTGCCTGAGCTTCTACAGCCCTTCGTATTTATTGGGTAACAAGAGCAAGGAGGAAGAGGTAATGATTGGTCAGCTGCTTAATTAATCACAGGTTCATATTATTACTAACAGGCTTCAGATGTACCGAATCTCAAGAAACATTGCACTTGGGACATGACTGCCCTCAGCATTCCTTATGGGTGGCATACGCAGTTTGTCAGTTTGCCAACATTCTGCATTTATGAGAACAGTTTGTTGTTTACTCATATAGCCTCCAGTGGTAGGATACTGAGTTAATCACGACCCTCAATCTTTCAGCCTCCAACATTTCTTTAGTTCATGTGTGAAAAAATATTGAGGTATAAATATATGATTTCTGTATTTTTCTGTATGTTACAATTTAAAAACATGAGTTCTTAAAATATGCATACTCAGAAAAAACTCACAGAATTCAAGCAGTTAAGTATAACATAAGGACCATTACAATCTGCCCCCAGTCATCTTTTTGGCCGTATTTCCTGGTATGTTACTCCTTGTTCCTTGCTCTGCACTTTCCAAACATTTGTCTAAGTATGTGGTATTCTCTCTGGAATACCCTTTGGCACCTGGCAACTCACATAGACTTTGCTCAGATTACACTTCCTCATGAGGCCTCTCAGAATCCCTCCATCGTTTTATGGACATCCATAATAATTTGTGCCTCTACTTTAGACACACTTGCCACACTGCATTGTAATTGTTTATGTGTGTGTTCCACTAGATTGCAAACTCCCTGAGAACAGATACTGGATTGTCATTTTCATACTTCAGTGGCTGCTGTGGCACCATTCATTCATTCATCATACCTATCATATGAAATACTTTGTCATAGGTGCCAGGAGATAAGGGTTAAGCAAGCTTCCAGGAGTTAATGGTGTGTGCTAGATATCACTCAATAAAGCAAAAGGTAAGAGGTTGAGAGAAAAAGACGTAACAGAATGGAGACAAGCAGACAGAGGTGCACACACCTTCATGGAGTAACTGCCATTTTAAGGTATTTTACAATATTGCCACTGAAGATCTGGAGCTGTGTTGTGTTGTTGTAAGGCTTAAATGGGAAATATCTCTTGGCATTTGTCCTCAGGGTTAAATGAAACTAAGCTGAAGGTAAAATTTAATTCACAAGTATTTTAATAATAAGTCACATCATCTGTTATATTGAAACCAAGTGACAAAAGCTCTATTATACTCTGTTAGTTTTTAATTTTTTAAGCTAGTTTAAATCAAACATATTTAAGAGTTATGTTCTGCTTTGAACTGTAAATATTTTTCTAAGTAATCATCTTAAACCTTACAAACATATATCTATAAATCATTTCCAGAAGTGTTCCGACTGACAATAAACCAATACAAATACAAAATATTTAAAACAAGAACAAGTCAATGTCTATTTCATTGACTAGTGCAGTTTCACAGAAATATTTCTATTTTTTAGTATATTTTCACCAATCTGAAATGTCATATTACTATATAAAGACCAAAACAGACCTTCAAAACATGGCACTAATATTCTTTTTTGTATCTACAATAAAAGGCTTAGAGCCAGTGCAAGAAGGCTGCCTTTTGCAACCTGATCTTAAGACTTTTCTGGTAATTTCTTAAAGGCATTAACAATTTATATAAAATGAAAAGATACTATCTAAAGATACAAGTACTACTATTTTATGTTTCCTAAATGCCAATGGTAGCATTTAAGGGTCGCTAAGGCCCATCAGTGAACTAGAAAACTGTTTTCTCTTCTGTCTACATAAACTGATGCATTTTCCCCTTTATCATACTCTTTCCCCAAAGCACAATGTATCCATCAACACTGGCATTAAATTGCTCTTATTAATAGCAATAAATGGTATACTATAATGGGTACATTCAGCAAATACAATGCATACATCTATAGGCCAACTGTCAGTATGTCATTTTATTTTTTAAATAGTTCTACTGATGTTAAATTATATATAATAAAATTCACTTAAGTGCATAGTTCTATGAGTTTTGATAAGTGTATACAGTTGTATAATTAGCCCCACAATCAAGATATAGAACATTTCTAACACTCCAAAGAGTTCTCCTTACCCTCTGGCAACTGATCTGTTTTCTATTCAAATACTTTTATCTTTTCTAGAATTTCATAAAAATAAAGCCATACAATGAGTGGTCCTTTGCATCCACCATCTTTTGTTGACATACTGCTTCCAAGATTTATCATGCTGTGTGTAGCAGCAGCTCATTCCTTCTTAGAGAAGTAGTATTCCATTGTATAAATATATCACAATAAGTTTATTCAGTAATTAATATGCATTCAGCTGTTTCTAGATTTTGGCTATTATGAACAAAGTTCCAATGAACATGTAAATATAAGCATTTGTGTGGACTCGTGTTTACACTTTTTTGGATAAATCTCGCAGAGTGGGGCTGTTGGGTCTTGGTGAGTTTATGTTTAACTTTGTAAGAAACTGCCAAACTGCATTCTTGCTGCAATGTGTAAGTTCTAGGTGCCCCACATTTATATATATATTTATATATACGTGTGCAGAACGTGCAGGTTTGTTACATAGGTATACACGTGCCATGGTGGTTTGCTGCACCCATTAACCCGTCATCTAGGTTTTAAGCCCCTCATGTATTAGGTATTTCTCCTAATGCTCTCCCCCTCCCTTTGCCCCCTACCCTGATGGGCCCCAGTGTGTGATGTTCCCCTCCCTGTGTCAATATGTTCTCACTGTTCAACTCCCACTTATGAGTGAGAACATGCAGTGTTTGGTTTTCTGTTCTTGTATTAGTTTGCCGAGAATGATGGTTTCCAGCTTCATCCATGTCCCTGCAAAGGACATGAACTCATTCTTTTTTTACAGCTGCATGGTATTCCATGGCGTATATATGCCACATTTTCTTTATCCAGTCTCTCATTGTCAGGCATTTGGGTTGATTCCAAGTCTTTGCTATTGTAAATAGTGCTGCAATAAACATACATGTGCGTGTGTCTTTACAGTAGAATGATTTATAATCCTATGGGTATATACCCAGTAAAGGGATTGCTGGGTCATATGGTATTTCTGGTTCTAGATCCTTGAGGAATCGGCACATTGTCTTCCACAATGGTTGAACTAATTTACACTCCCACCAACAGTGTAAAAGTGTACCTATTTCTCTGCATCCTTGCCAGTATCTGTTGTTTCCAGACTTTTTAATGATCTCCATTCTAACTGGTGTGAGATAGTTACCTCATTGTGGTTTTGATTTGCATTTCTCTAATGATCAATGACAATAAACTTTTTTTCATATGTTTGTTGGCCGTGTAAATGTCTTTTGTTTGTTTTGAGATGGAGTCTTGCTCTTGTCACCCAGGCTGGAGGGCAGTAGGGTGATCTTGGCTCACTACAACCTCTGCCTCCCAGGTTCAAGCGATTTTCCTGCCTCAGCCTCCACAGTAGCTGGGATTATATATGCACTCTACCACACCTGGCTAATTCTTGTACTTTTAGTAGAGACATGGTTTCACCATATTAGTCAGGCTGGTCCTGAACTCCTGACCTCGTGATCCGCCCTCTGTGGCCCCCCAAAGTGCTGGGATTACAGGCGTGAGCCACCACGCCCGGCCACAAACGTCTTCTTTTGAGAAGTGTCTGTTCACATCCTTCACCCACTTTTTGATGGGGTTGTTTTTTTCTCGTAAATTTAAGTACCTTGTAGACTCTGGATATTAGACCTTTAGATGGATAGGTTGCAAAATTTTTCTCCCATTCCGTGAGTTGCCTGTTCACTCTGATGAGAATTTCTTCTGCTGTACAGAAGCTCTTTAGTTTAATTAGATCCTATTTCTCAATTCTGGCTTTTGTTGCAATTGCTTTTGGTGGTTTAGTCATGAAGTCTTTGCCCATGACTATGTCCTGAGTGGTATTGCCTAGGTTCTCTTCTAGGGTTTTTATGGTTTTAGGTCTTATGTTTAAGTCTAATCCATCTTGAATTAATTTTCACCTAAAGTGTAAGGAAGGGGTCCAGTTTCAGTTTTCTGCATATGGCTAGCCAAGTTTCCCAACAACATTTATTAAATACGGAATCCTTTCCCCATTGATTGTTTTTGTCAGGTTTGTCAAAGATCAGATGGTTGTAGGTGTGTGGTGTTATTTCTGAGGCCTCTGTTCTGTTCCATTGGTCTATATATCTGTTTTGGTACCACTATACCATGCTGTTTTGGTTACTCTAGCCTTGTAGTATAATTTGAAGTCAGGTAGCATGATGCCTCCAACTTTGTTCTTTTTGCTTAGGATTCTCTAGAGTACACGGGCTCTATTTTGGTTCCATATGAAATTGTTTTTTCTAGATCTGTGAAAAAAGTCAATGGTAGCTTGATAGGAATAGCACTGAATCTAAAAATTACTTTGGGCAGTATGGCCATTTTCATGATATTGATTCTTCCTATCCATAAGCATAGAATGTTTATCCATTTGTGTCCTCTCTTACTTCCTTGAGCAGTGGTTTGTAGTTTTTTTTTTTTTTTTTTTGAGACAGAGTTTCCCTCCTGTTGCCCAAGCTGGAGTGCAATGGTATGGTCTCAGGTCACTGCAACCTCCGCCTCCTGGGCTCAACTGATTCTCCTGCCTCAGCCTCCTGAGTAGCTGGGATTATAGCCATGTGCCACCACGCCCAGCTAATTTTTGTATTTTTAATAGAGACAGGGTTTCACCATGCTAGCCAGGCGGGTCTCGAACTCCTGAACTTGAGTGATCTGCCCGCTTCGGCCTCCCAAAGTGCTGGGATTACAGGCATGAGCCACCGCACCTGGCCTTGAAATATTTTTTTATTGTTGTGTCTCTGCCAGGTTTTGGTATCAGGATGAGGCTGGCCTCATAAAATGAGTTAGGGAGGAGTCCCTCTTTTTGTATTCTTTGGAATATTTTCAGAAGGAATGGCACTAGCTCCTCTTCATACCTCTGGCAGAATTCGGCTGTGAATCCATCTAGTCCTGGGCTTTTTTTGGTTGGTAGGCCATTAATTATTGCCTCAATTTCAGAAATTGTTATTGGTCTATTTAGGGATTTGACTTCTTCCTGGTTTAGTCCTGGGAAGGTGTATGTGTCCAGGAATTTATCCATTTCTTCTAGAGTTTCTAGTTTATTTGTGGAGAGGTGTTTACAGCATTCTCTGATGGTAGTTTGCATTTCTGTGGGATCGGTGGTGATATCCCCTTTATCATTTTTTATTGTGTCTATTTGAGTCTTCTCTCTTTTCTTATTAGTCTGGCTAGTGGTCTATTTTGTTAACCTTTTCAAAAACCAGCTCCTGGATTCACTGATTTTTTTGAAGTGTTTTTTTTCTGTCTTTATCTCCTTCAGTTCTGCTTTGTTATTTCCTGTCTTCTACTAGTTTTTGAATCTGTTTGCTCTTGCTTCTCTAGTTCTTTTAACTGTGATGTAAGGGTGTCAATTTTAGATCTTTTCCACTTTCTGATGTGGGCATTTAGTGCTATAAATTTCCCTCTAAACACTGCTTTAGCTGTGTTGTGATTCTGGTACGTTGTGTCTTTGTTCTCATTGGTTTCAAATAACTTATTTCTGCCTTAATTTCATTATTTACCCAGTAGTCATTCAGGAGCAAGTTGTTCACTTTCCATGTATTGTGCGGTTTTGAGTGAGTTTCTTAATCCTGAGTTCTAATTTGATTGCACTGCGGTCTGAGAGACTGTTATGATTTCCGTTCTTTTACATTTGCTGAGGAGTGTTTTACTTCCAATTATGTGGTTTATTTTAGAATAAGTGCTATGTGGTACTGAAAATAACGTATATTATGTTGATTTGGGGTAGAGAGTTCTACAGATGTCTATTAGGTCCACTTGGTCCAGAGCTGAGTTCAAGTCCTGAATATCCTTGTTAATTTTCTGTCTCATTAATCTAACATTGAAAGTAGGGTGTTCAAAGTCTCTCACTATTATTGTGTGGGAGTCTAAGCCTCTTTGAAGGTCTCTAAAAACTTGCTTTATGAATCTGGGTGCTCCTGTATTGGTGAATATATATTTAGGATAGTTAGCTTTTCTTGCTGCATTGATCCCTTTACCATTATGTAATGCCTTTGTCTTTTTTGATTGCTTTTGGTTTAAAGTCTGTTTTATCAGAAACTAGGATTGCAACCCCTGCTTTTTTGCTTTCCATTTGCTTGGTAAATATTCCTCCATCCCTTTATTTTGAACCTATATGTGTCTTTGCATGTGAGATGGGTCTCCTGAATCCAGCACACCAATGGGTCTTGACTCTTTATCCAATTTGCTAGTCTGTGTCTTTTAATTGGTGCATTTAGCCCATTTACATTTAAGGTTAATATGGTTACATGTGAATTTGATCATGTCATCATGATGCTAGCTGGTTATTTTGCCCATTAGATGCAGTTTCTTCATAGTGTTGTTGGTCTTTGTATTTTGGTATGTTTTTGCAGTGGCTGGTACCAGTCTTTCCTTTCCATATTTAGTGCTTCCTTCAGGAGCTATTGTAATACAGGCCTGGTAGTGACAAAATCCCTCAGCATTTGCTCATCTGGAAAGGATTTCCTTTCTCCTTCACTTATGAAGCTTAGTTTGGCTGGATATGAAATTCTGGGTTGAAAATTCTTTTCTTCAAGAATGTTGAATATTGGCCCCCACTCTCTTCTGGATTGTATGGTTTCTACACAGGGATCTGCTGTTAGTCTGATGGGCTTCCCTTTGTGGGTAACCCGACCTTTCTCTCTGGCTGCCCTTAACATTTTTTCCTTCATTTCAACTTTGGAGAATCTGAAGATTATGTGTCTTGGGGTTGCTCTTCTCAAGGAGCATCTTCGCGGCGTTCTCTGTATTTCCTGAATTTGAATGTTGGCCAGTCTTGCTAGGTTGGGGAAGTTCTCCTGCACAATATCCTGAAGTGTGTTTTAACTTGACTCCATTCTCCCGTCACTTTCAGATACACCAATCAATCCTAGGTTTGGTCTTTTCACATAGTCCTACATTTCTTGGAGGCTTTGTTCATTCTTTTTCATTCTCATTTCTCTAATCTTGTCTTCACATTTTATTTAAGTTGATCTTCAATCTCTGATATCCTTTCTTCTGCTTGATTGATTCAGTTATTGATACTCGTTCTTCAAGAAGATTTATGTTCTTCTCTAAACTGGTTATTCTAGTTAGCAGTTCCTGTAACCTTTTATCAATGTTCTTAGCTTCCTTGCATTGGGTTAGACCATGCTCCTTCAGCTCAAAGGAGTTTGTTATTACCCACCTTATGAAGCCTACTTCTGTCAATTCGTCAAACTCATTTCCGTCCAGTTTTGTGCCCTTGCTGGAGAGGAGTTGTAATCATTTGGAGGAGAAGAGGCATTATGGTTTTTGGAATTTTCAGCATTGTTGCACTGGCTTTTCCTCATCTTCGTGTGTTTATCTACCTTTGAGCTTTGATGCTGATGGCCTCTGAATGGGGTTTTTGTGTGGGTGTCCTTTTTGTTGACATGAGGTGCTTGCTGAAGACAAAGGGAATACAGAATGGGTAGTAGGAGGAGGTAGTCATCAATACTAGCTACAACCATGTGATCAGCTGCAGAAATGGAGACTGTGATTGTCATAAATATTTCCTCCATCTTTTGCTAAAAACATGTTTGTGCATGCATATACTTGTACTAAGAAAATATCTTTATTTCCTTTTCCTTTATCATGTGACATAAGATTTACTGACTTCATATTGGCATTTAAGTACTGCTAACTTTATGTAATGGTATTTGGGTTGGGAACTGGTGCATTTCTGGTCGTACAAAGGGTAGTTGCATTATGTTAGGCATAATTATGACCTTATTATTGTCTTTATTTGAAGACTCAGGAGATGTGTATGGGTTCAAGTTGACAAGGGGTGGACTTGTGATGGTGAATACTGAGTGTCAACTTGACTGGACTGAAGGATACAAAGTATTGATCCTGGATGTGTCTGTGAGGGTGTTGCCAAAAGAGATTAACATTTGAGTCAGTGGGCTGGGCAAGGCAGATCCACCCTTAATCTGGTGGGCACAAACTAATCAGCTGCCAGAGAATATAAAGCAGGCAGAAAACCGTGTAAAGGAGAGACTGGCCTAGCCTCCCAGCCTGTATCTTTCTCCCATGCTGGATGCTTCCTGCCCTTGAACATCAGACCCCAAGTTCTTCAGTTTTGATACTCAGACTGGTCCTCATTGCTCCTCAAGCTTGTAGACAGCCTACTGTGGGACCTTGTGATTGTGCAGGTTAATACTTAATAAACTCCCCTTTATATACATATCTCCTATTAGTTCTTTCCCTCTAGAGAACCCTGATACACCAACTTAAAGTCGGATTCCTTGAATTATAAAATGACTATTGATGTAAACATTCCTGGAAGTTGTTAATATTAACAATCTACTTTTGTGAGTTAGGCAAATAAATGGCTGGTCTACCTGCTCTAATTTATGCCCATCCTTGAAAGTTAACAAAATTTTAATACTGTATAAGATCCCATGGGAGAAATTAACTTTGGATTTCCCCCTTAAGAATACAGTAAAAGGCCGGGTGTGGTGGCTCACACCTGTAATCCCAGCACTTTGGGAAGCTGAGGTGGGTGAATCACTTGAGCCTAGGAGGTCGAGACCAGTCTGGCCAACATGGTGAAACCTTGTCTCTACAAAAAAATACAAAAAATTAGCCACCCGTGGTGGCACACGCCCGTAGTCCCAGCTACTCAGGAGGCTGAGGTGTGAGGATTGCTTGAGCCTGGGAGGCTGAGGCTGCAGTGAGTTGTGATTGCACCACTGTCCTCCAGCCTGGGGAACAGGGCAAGATTCTGTCTCAAAAAAACGAAAACAAAAAAAATACAGTGACAATGGAGGAAATGTTTTCACCTTTACAGGTAAGACTATCAAAATTTTTTCTCAATATGTTTCCTGACAACTGAAATGCTATGATTACATCTATAAATAGAAAACATTATGGAATCATGATGTGGAGCCTAATATATATATATATATACACACACACACACATATATATACGAAAAATGCTATCAGATGAAGACAAGCTAAAACACCTTTTAAGTATAAGGAAACATACCTTTTCTTTCCTTTGTCTAGAAGTCTGAAATACTCCAAGTCTCATAATCATACTAGAGGTCCACGAATGTCAATACCTGGTATGTACACATTTATACAAAAATGGCTCTTCTGCTGTTAACAGTTATGTGTCAAAAAGATCAAAGTGTACCTAACACAGAAACACTACATAAGACTCAGCTATGGCAAGAGATAGAGTCTCTTGCTTGTTTAAAAAAGATCACTTTTTAATTAAACCTCCTGTTTAGAAAGACCATATTAAGTAGAATTTATAGATCAATGTCCCAATTGCAATGTATCATAAGGTGACTAATCTCCAGTGACCCAGCCCTTCTAATTAAAATGTCCCTAAAACCTTCCTCCATAGGACAAGGAGGACTATTTGGAAATGAAGCATGCTTACTAAAGTCCTCTGTTACATTCAAAGGACATAAAACTAGATTGGCTTTGCCCTCAACGACCAGCAGGTAGACACGGCACTTGGATTTAGGTCAGGGTTAGTGGAACTGATTTCTGAAGCTCACCTAAATTTGGGAAAAAAGAAAACACAATGCATGGGCTATGTCACCACCAATGGAGCACTAATACCCCCTTAGAGAGGCTTCCCTGTCACCGGACTTCACTATGTTCACTCAGGGCAGAAAGGATTCCAATATTACCTTCAATTGCTCTAGGGCAAAAGATGAACCATCTTGCTGTAAGTTTTCAATAATTTCTTCCACAGTATTGGCTGAAAAACAACTATAAAAAAAGGAAATGTGATTTCACCAATGTGTAAGTGATTTCCTGTTTCTAACATACGATGAATCTGAACATAGGCTTTCCCCCACCTCTGTTTCAATAATGAAAAATTGTCTAACCTCTTTAACAGGACGTGAAAAGAAAGAGAGCATTGCTTCCCTGGGTAAGCATTTGCCGTCTACCTTCACTAACATAAAATAAAATCTAAATTTTATTTTTTCTTTTGCATCTGTTATATTTCCATGTAAAGAAACAATTCAACAATGAAAAATCGATGCTTCTAAATTGTAGAGATGGTTGTCTTATTTTCTAATACTTTTCCTCCTCTTGTTTCCCAAAGCCAGTTTGTCAATCTCTCAAATCATCACACAAAACCTTTTTTGCTGATCGGCTTGATAAGACCTTCAGAGAAGATGAATTTAAAAAGGTAAAAGTTAATTCAATTATTATTTTCTAGCTTCTCTTCTCCACTTAAAAAAAAAAGATATTTTGCACTAATATAAATTCAAATCACTGCACAAAATCTTTTTGCTGTTCAGCTTGGTAAGATCTTCAGAAAAGATGAATTTACAAAAATAAAAGTTAATTATTATTTTCTAGCTGCTCTTCCCCACTTTAAAAAAAAAGGTATTTTGTACTAAGATGAATTCTCATGGTAGATTACTTAAATATAATGAATTTATTTCACCCAGAAAGAGAGGGAAAGAAGCTACTTTCAAAGGTAAGTGAAAAAAAAACCCTATGCTGGCCAGGCATCACGCCTGTAATCCCAGCACTTTGTGAGGGCGAGGAGGGTGAATCACCTTAGGTCAGGAGTTGGAGACCAGCCTGGCCAACATGGCGAAACCCTGTCTCTACTAAAAATACAAAAGTTCGACAGGCATGGTAGCAGGTGCCTGTAGTCCCAGCTACTCAGAAGGCTGAAGCATAAGAATTGCTTGAACCCAGGAGGCGGAGGCTGCAGTGAGCTGAGATTGCACCACTGCACTCCAGCCTGGGGGATAGAGCGAGACTCTGTCTCAAAAAAAAAAAAAAAAAAAGGAAGGAAAGCTCTATACTTTCTGATCTCAGAATTCAGTGCACTATCAAACACAATGTAATTAAAATGGTAATTATAATGTTAGCAAATTCATTTTAACATAGTCTTTCTAAAGGAATATATAACTGAGATCTCTTTTTAGGTACCTGTTTATTTTGTCCATGTGTTCCTCAAGTATAAAAGACTTGTCTCGATCAATCTTAGACTGTTTGAAAAGAAAAATCTTTTAATAAATTTGAACACAATTTTTTAATCCTTAAAAATTCATATTTAATGATACACTTTGTGAAAGATTGTCACTTGTCACTTTCAGTCAAATTACATCTAACTGTCTCATAAATAACTACCGCTGTATGATCAAAATTCAGACAGCATGTAGAACTCTAGACTAGCTCTTAAAAGTATCAACGGCAAAAATGTTCTAGTATTTTTATTTACATGTATAAATATATGTAA
This sequence comes from Homo sapiens, assembly GCF_000001405.40. Taxonomy (NCBI): domain Eukaryota; kingdom Metazoa; phylum Chordata; class Mammalia; order Primates; family Hominidae; genus Homo; species Homo sapiens. Next base: position 190,246,464 of record NC_000002.12, read on the forward strand.
CCACTATTACATTTGACACATTATCATTAAAATATATCTGTGAATATGTAAGGGACCTGAAAGGTCAACCTGCCCAAATTTCCATCCTAGCCAGAAATTCACACCATATACCTGGTATGCCTGCAGCTGTGACCTTCAGGGAGAGAAAGCACCTCTCAAGGAGGAGTTCACAAATGCTAGAACAACTGAATAATTAGGTTTCTGTTGTTGTTTTAATTCTGGAACAAAAACCAATGCTAGCATGTTTATAGTTCTAGTTAATCTCTTTCACCTTAACCACTTCCCACATGACACAGTTTTGTGTCCCCTCATGATCCAGGTCCTTCTCATGGACAAGTTCCAGTTTATCAAGGTCATTCTTCAAGTACGGGACACGTATCTTAGCTGCAGGTGTGGCTGGATGGTAGCAAAGTATAAGAGGGTTCTGCAGGCCCTTGATTGCTTTGGATATACTTTTCTTAATTGGACTAACTCTGAGTTAGTGTTGAGACAGGCCTATGATTGCAGCTGATTCACACTAAGCTCCAATTAAATAAGACTTTTTTTTTTTTTTAAACCTGTGCCATTGTAGGCTGTGTTTCTCCTATTCTGTACTTATGAATTTAGCACTTTGGGTTAAAACACAAGATTCGCACTTATCTTTATTAAATTTCACATTATTACTATTGAGCAGATCACTCTAAACTCTAAGGGTTGTTTTTTCATCCATATTCTTTTTCCTAATTTAACTTGTTTTTCTTAGTTCTAAATCAACTTGATCAAAACGCTATCAGTGGTCACCAAATCACTTGAGAAAAATGCTGAATAAGTCTAAGATGACTTCCCTACAAACTAACTCCTATACATTTAGTAGAACTCTTTGATAAGCCCCTTCAACCACCGCAAAGCATAATTCATCACATATTTACTCAATTCGACAACAGGAGACTATCAAATGCTCTGATAAAAACAAGTGAAATCCTCATGTGCTCTGTATTCATATTCTCTCCACCAAGTACTTGGTGGCCCTGCCAATCTGTACTCATGTTCTTCAGTTCTGGGTAATTTATTTGGTACTATTTCTCCAAATATTTCCTTCCCTCTATCTTCTTTACTATGAATTCCTAATGATTAGATTTTGGACCTCTTGGAATAATACCTCTAGTTTTCCATTCTCTCCCTTTTCTATTTAATTATCCTTTTCTGTTAGAGTTTTCCTCAACCACAGATTTTAATCTGTTCTGGGTTTTTTATTCCCAACTTTTGTTATCATCTTTAAAATTTTACAGGCATAACCACTACCAAGGTCAGCCAGTAGCCATCAACATCTAGGCAAGGCCCTCCAGCAGCAAAACAATTATGACTCACCGAAAGCTCAGATGATCATTAGTATTTTTAGCTAAATTATTTTATAACTATAAATTAATAAGATACGTACTTGTGCTTAGAAATGATGCTCCTGCACACTTAATAGACTACAGTATAGTGTAAAAGTTTTTATGAGCACTGGAAAACCAAAACATTCATGTGACTAGCTTTATTGCCATGGTGTGGAACCAAATTCAGATTCTCTGAGGCATGCCTATATTATTCTTTGAATTACCTTTATAACATCTGTTGTTGTTTAAGAGGTAAAATATTTTCCTCTTAAGTTAACAGTTATAGATTGGTATTTGTCTAAGTTTCCTTCTTCTTGCATTAACTGTTTCCTTCCAGTGCCTTTGTTGTTTGTTTTGGCCTAGGAATATTTGTTTTTCTATGCAAAGCACTAAAATTAGGAAGCTTTGCGTCTAATGTCAGTTGCAAGTTATGGGATTCTCAATTGTGTTACATTATAAGATGATCAGGCAAGATGTGTTATTAAGGGGTCCATGAATTTCAACGTCTATGGGTTTTTTTTTCTTCCAATGTATTGCTTAGGAGTGGGGTGGGATGCAGCGGTTCTGCAAGCCAACTAGGGAAAAGGGACAGAGGTCTTCCAACTTAGTATATCTCACCTCTCATCAGTACAGTACTTCATCAGTCTCTACTGTCAGCTAGACCTGCCTGATTTGGTTTCTCTAAGGAGTAAGTATCTACTCTTCTGCCAGGCTACTGGAAGATAGCTACTCTCAGTTGTACAAGAAGACTTGTGGAAGGGCCAGGTGCAGTGCTCATGGCTATAATCTCAGTACTTTGGGAAGCTGAGGAGGGTGGATCATTTGAGGTCACAAGTTCAAAACCAGCCTGGCCAACATGGTGAAACCCTGTCTCTACTAAAACACAAAAATTAGCTGGGCATGGTAGCACACGCCTGTAATCCCAGCTACTCGGGAGGCTGAGGCACGAGAATCGCTTGAACCTGGAAGGCAGAGGTTGCCGTGAGCCAAGATTGCGCCACCGCCCTCCAGCCTAGGTGACAGAGCGAGACTCTGCTTCAAAACAAAAAAAAAAAACAAAAAAAAAACTTATAATAAATCCTCCTGTTTTTCTGCCCCATTCTACACCCTAGTCTTCAGAGGGACCTAGTCCCTTTAGAAGGGTCTACAGCAACAATCAGCTGACTTCTTATTGGCTTTCAGAGTTCTTTGGTTTAAGTTAGCAGCACTCATCCTGCTGATTTCAAGCTTCCAAAATACTAACATCTCATGTCTGCCACTGTCTCCTCTTCCGTTCTACTTGTCTTTGTGGGTTTATGCCTTTTCTTATTCACTTATTACAATTTTGAATGGTGTTTTAGGAGGCAGCATGTATTCAATCATGTTTAACTAGAAGTTATGGAGTGTTTTTAAAGATTCTTGGCTCTTATAAGAAAATTCAAGTCAGACAACATAAGTAAGGAATTAAAAATACATGCTGCAATAAACTTTATTAAATATAAATAAATGTCAAGAGTTTGCATCTCCACAAATAGTGTTAACATTGAACACCGTTTACAGAAATGCCAAAACCCTTGCAAAGAATGATCACAAGGCTATGCACTGAAGTTAACCAGCAGTGGGAAGACAGCTATGCAGCTGCACAGGAAAGAAGTCATCTTATTAGCTGGCTATACTAACAACTGTGAAGCACTGATTCTTCTGCCACGCTTTAAAGTAAATAAATCCTTAGTACATTTATTTATATTTACAAACTATAATATTCACCAACTGCCAGTTTTTTAATCACTTCCCCTCCCCATGAATTAAAACCTGAGGTTAGAATATTAACAAGATTACCTCTGTATGGTAATTTTCTAAGACAGATGCAATATTTTCTTTTGAAGGAGATTTCAAGGCTAACAAATCTTCCTCTAACATGGCCAACTAAAGGGGAGGCAGAAAAAAAGGAAAGATCTTAGATCCAATAGAAACATAGAAAGCTTTATAAAAATCTCATCTTCTTTTTTAGAATTCTTGACTTTAAATTATGAAGCTGTCTCTTCAGGTGAATCACTGAAAGAAATTTTGACTTAAGTTGAATGAACAGGTATTCCCACACAGCAAATGTAGCCTTCAAAGGAATGGATAAAGATGGAAGAAATTAAGAAGGAGAAATAGAGACTTTTGTTTCTCAGCCTATTGAGTACTTGGAACCAAAGACCTACATATAAATTTTATTTTATTTTTAATTAATTTTAACCAAAATTGCCACAAATTATTAGTGGCTACCACAGACAATGCACAACACTATAATATAGCTTCACTTATTTATCCATCTAATCCCTCACTTAATCTACCCTACACTGAGCCAAACAGGACTTTTTACTGTTCCCAGAGCATAGCTAATGCTTTCTTGCCCCTGTGATTTCATTAAATGTTTCCTTTACCTGACAATACCTTTTCCTGATAATACTCACCTTAAGGCCGGCTGTACTGCAACCTTCATAAAAAAGCTTCTAGTCCTTTCTTACAGGTAAGCTCTTCCTCCTTTCAATTCTTTGAGTATTTTCTTTGTATTGTTTTTACACTTACCATACTTTACCTCTGCCAGATGAGAGAGATGGTTATTTATCTTTTGTACCCACTTCTAATCGCATCCCCAAAGTATATTCCTCTTTTTCATATCCTCTACAGCCCTGAGAATGTCTGTCTACTCATTGCAGATACTAGCATTGAACACATTGACAAAGAAAGGGGTTATGCATCAGCTCTCTCGTATCCTAAATTCCACTGTAATCAAGGGTGTCCCTTCCAGACAGGATAATCACATGCCCATGTTTCCTTCCTGTTATAGCTCAAGGGAAGCATGAGACTACTCAATGTGACTGAGGATGCCCACAACACAGAGAAAGATCTGAATCTTTGGCCAAACATGATAGAAAGGCCTTCATAACAGTTTACAGAGACAATCTTCAATTTTGTATGCTTCATACATTTTACAGAATCTGTAACAGTGTGAGAAACAAGACCAAAGCTCATCAACATAAAAATTTCCACAGCCAATTTATAAAGTTTATGAAGAGAATTCTATTAGTGACCAAACAGTACATTTTTATGCTATCCAGCTGTTTTACTTCAATGGCCAAAGAGGACGTGTGAGAATAAATCATCATCATTTGTAAAAAGTCCTTGGGGGACTCACATGATAGTCTAACTGTCAGTATAATCTCTGGCATCCTTACCCAAAACAGAAGAATGTTACAGATATGAGGATAAAAAGGGCCATCCTTTGTAACATACAAGAGACTCTCAATGAAAAATCCGGCAACCTCTAAAAATATAAAACTGCATTAAAATTATTAATAATAGTTAAATTTTGAGTGTTTACTATTTGTCAGTTACTGGGCTAAGCATGTAACATAAATTTTCTAATTTAATTTTTATAGCTTTCCTTGCCGTATCCTAAAACACCCTTCCCTTAAGATCTGATCAGCTATTCATCTGATGACCATGTGCTTCCTTGAAAGCTGACTTTACCCCACAGATTGAAGGACAGAGTGTGCATTACCTAGGATAGGCCAGTTGGTATATTCTACCTACTCATACGGTTCAGGAATAAGATAAGCCAGTCCAGTCAGAGTGAACCAAACCAGGTGAAGCAAAATACATCCTAAGTCTCTTGCTGGGAATTCTGAGGCAAAACTACCTTGAATTGGGTCTTCTGCCACATGTAACACAAGGAGTTTCAACTACTATGTAATAGTGTCATCTCCATTCTGCAGACGGGAAAATGGGGGGCAAAAGAGGCTAAGTTCCAATTAAGACTTAAACTCAAACTATCTATATATTCTTTTCCACTATGTTATCCTGTGCTGAGAAAATTGGCCACATTGTTTTTTTTTTAAAAAAAAAAAAGCAAAGATAAGTAACGTGTTCCTTGTAACAGATGTGTTTTAGAAAAGTCAAATGCAATTACTTTCAATGCGCTAGGGAAACTCATAACCAAAAGAAGCCTTCAAAATGTCCTCATAAAATAAAAGGCTATCTTTTTATATATAAATTTAGATTTGTACATATTAGACTTTCTTAAGGTAGGCATGATTTTTTTTTTAAGAGACTCTAATTGTTCACTTAAAAATACTCACTGAAGGTGCCAACCCTGAATCCAGGTATCATTATCTCCAGTTTGCATATGAGGAAACAGAATTAGAGAGCTTATGCACTTTCTCCAAGGTAACACAGCTATAAACTAATAGGTCCAGGATTCACACCACGATTTCACCAGAAGTCTGTGGCTCTCAACCACCCATTGTACCTTCCCATGCACTATTTTGTGTTGTTATTCCAACAATACAAAATGCAAACATCTGAAAAAGTACCTTTTCAGAATCTACAAAGTGTGTAGCAATTCCTGCTCTGTACACATCTCTTCCTTTTAGTCTGAATCCTGTTAATGCAAGGAAGTAACCAAGTTTTCCTTGGAGTCGTGGCAAGAAATAACCTCCACCCACATCAGGGAACAGTCCTGTAATTAAATGTAACAAAAAGAGATAATGGTGATTCAAATGAAAAAGATAAATATAACCTTTTTGCCGTAGATCACACAAACCATTTCTCTCTGGAGCTTGAATATACATTACAAACATTATTAAACTAAGTACTATACACTGCAATCAATATCACAAAAGACTTGCTATGAACTGTGCTAACTTGGGTATTTTTCAAAACCTTCATGTCTCATTTCTATAGAAGTCAGTAAAGTATTTGATGACACAATGTTTTGTATATTAGAAGTACTCAATGTTACCTAAATTTTCTTACCACTGATCTACTTTTGAAGAATCTCCAAAATAGGTAAAAATTTCAAAAAAATTTATTTCCAAATCAGCACAGGAAAAAAAAATACATAACCTATGGCCTATTATAGCAAAATTATTACCATTTAAATCATGTCCCAACCTTAGTCAATTATCTAATATTCAAGATGTTTAAATATTGATGCAATAATCACAAGTCCTACTAAATGAACAGGTTTATACCTAATAAAATCATTTGCATTTACCCTTTTCTTAACCATCAGTATTTAAAAATTATCTACGGGTAACAACTGAAAATAGCATATAAGGCTAGGCGCGGTGGCTCACACCTGTAATCTCAGCACTTTGGGAGGCCAAGACAGGCAGATCACCTGAGGTCAGGAGTTCAAGACCAGCCTGGCCAACACAGTGAAACCCCGTCTCTACTAAAATTCCAAAAATCAGCCGGGCATGGTGGCGCATGCCTGTAATCCCAGCTACTGGTGAGGCTGAGGCAGGAGAATCGCTTGAACCCGAGAGGCAGAGGTTGCAGTGAGCTAATGCCACTGCACTGCAGCCTGGGCAACAGAGCAAGACTCCATCTCAAGTAAAAATAATAATAATAATAAAATAAAGAAAATAGCATACATACAAGTAATTACCAGCACACTCCTTTGGGTGTTTAAGATCTTAAACAACTGTGACCCTCTAGTTTTATAATTTATGTATCTGTTCTAAAGTTTCCTTTAATTATGTTGGGATAAAAATGCAAGCACTAAAATTCTCTCCAGTTCTACTTTACAAAAAAGTTCTAGACTTAAAAGAAAAAGCATCATGCTCCTGTAAACAGAAATATCTCTTAGTATCTCAAACTAGCTAGGTCTCAAGTTAAACTCATAACCTCCCCGCGCCAGTCCCACAATCTTCCTCCAGCATCACCTACCTCAATAAAGGGTGCACGTATACAGCCTTGACACCTTCTCGCACCATCCCCTTAATCCCCATCAGTGACCACATCTTATTGATTTTCCCTCTGAACTGTTCTCCACACAATAGCCAAAGTGATCTTTTAAAAACACAAATCCTTACCAGAGTCTTGCATCCACTGCTTAAAACCCTCCCATGGCTGCCTATTTCTCCTGGATTAAAACAAACACCTTTATCAAAGTCTTCAAGGCCCCTTACCACTTTTTCCACTACATCCCTTACTACTCACTCCCAATACTCCAGCCACTCTGGTCTTCTTTCAGTTCCCTAACATTCTACACTCATTCCTGCCCCAGAGCCTCAGCAGCATGCTGCCCAAGTGGAAAAACCCTCCATCCTGACAACACGTTCTTCTCTTCCAGGGTACCACATTCTCTCTTTTCTCCCCCTTCCCCCAATTCTGCTTCTTTCCAGTCTCCCTCACAGACACCACCTCCTCTGCTTGACCTCTTGCTCAAGGTGCCTAAGCTCCATATTAGGCTACCTCCTCTTTCCTATATATACATTTTCCTTAACTCCTATGACTTTAAATAATATCTATATGCTGATTACTCCCTGCTATGGACTGCATTGTGTCCTTCCAAAAAGTCCTATGTTGAAGCCCTAACCCTCGATGTAACTGCATTTGGAAGCAGGGCCTTTGAAGAGGTAATTAAGTTTAAGTGAGGTCATAAGGGTGGGGTCCTAATCCAACAGGACTGGTGTCCTTATAAGAGGAGGAAGAAACACAGGGATGCATGTGAACAGAGAAAAGGCCACATGAGGACAGAGCAAGAAGGCAGCAGTCTATTAGCCACAGAGAGAGGGCTCAAGAGAACCATCTGCTGACACCTTGATCTCAGCCTTTCAATCTCCAGAACTGTGAGAAAAAAAATTTCTACTGTTTAAGCAACCAAGTTTGTGGTATTTTGTTATGCAGCCCTAAAAGTTTAATACACTGCGAAATCACTCATGCCTTCTCCCGTGAACACTGAACTCTTAGATCTGCCACCTAAACAGAACCACATAGATAATAAGTATCTCACATTTAACATGGCAAAAGTAGAACTACTGATTCACAAACCTCCAACTACACTGCTCCTTCCCTCATCAGCCTCATCCATCAAAGTAGCACAAGTTAAATACCTTGGAGTTATTCCTGATTCATCATACCAGCAAGTCAGTTAAGCCCAAAACATGTTTCAAATCTATTCACTCTTTTCAACTCTATACCTCCAAACTACTCCAAAGCCAAAATCTCTCCAGACTGTGCTGTCCAACAGAACTTTCTACAATGATGAAATCTATAATTTCTGCTGTCCAATAAGACAGCCACTAGCCATATGTAGCTATTAAACACCTGAAATGTAGCTGGTGTGACTGAGGAACTGAATTTGTTTTCTTTAAATTTAATTAATTTATATTAAAATTTTAAAAGCCACTTGTGGCTAGTGGCTATACAGTATTGGACAGTGTAGCTCTAGACTAATGTAATAACCTATTATCCAATCTCACTGCTTCTACTCTGCTACCCCTACAATCCATTATCCTCAAAGCAGCCAGAATCATGGTACTACAATATAAATATAAACTAGATTATGTCATTGCCTGCTTTATACTCTTCCACAACTTCCCATATTTAGGTTTAAATCTTAACTCTTCACCAGAGGCCCCCATGTACCCTTTTGAGAGCATGTTACATCACTCCTGCCCTCGATTCAGACACAGATTGCCTCCATTTGGTTCCTTTAACAGGCCAAGTTCATTCTTACCTAAGGGTCTTGAGCTAACTTTTCTTAATGCCACAATATTCTGCTCTCAGTTCTTCATGTAGCTGACTCTTGCTATTCACATCTCAGCTTAAAGGACAACTCCTCTGAGAGCATCTTTAATCATCCAATTTAAAGTAGCCATCTGGGAGACTTATACTTTGGACAAGATAGAGTAACAGGAACCAGACTTATCCCCCTACCTGAAACAACTATAAAAACAGACACAATATATGGATCAATAGTGTTTTCAACACACTGAACATCAAGCAATAAAGAAAAGTGGTCTCTGAATATCAGAAAACAAGCAAGGTAAATTCTACAACAGCTCCAACTTCATGCCTTGAGTGAATTCCCAGGCCCAGCACAGTGCCTCATTTGAGAAGATGAAGCTGAGTCTAGGGAAACCAAGACAGCTAGAATTCCCACAACAGAGTACCAGAGCGGAGAGAGCTGCAGAGAGAAAGCTCTGGAGATCTGCAGGGTGTCTCTTTTAAGTACTTAGCTTAGGAATGGAGAGAGAGAGAGAGAGAGAGTGTGTGTGTGTGTCAAGAAACTACATGATTAGTCAGTTTTCACACTACCCGAGACTGAGTAATTTATAAAGGAAAGAGGTTTAATTGACTCATAGTTCCAAATGGCTAAGGAGGCCTCAGGAAACTTACGATCATGGCAGAAGGCAAAGCAAGCTTGGACCTTCTCACATGGTAGTAGGAGAAAAAAGAGTGAGGAGCAAAGGGGGAAGAGCCCCTTATAAAACCATCAGCTCTTGTAAGAACTCACTATCATGAGAACAGCAAGGGAGACACTGCGTCCATGATCCAATCAGCTCCTACCAGATCTCTCCCTGGACACATGGGGATTACGGGGATTACAATTCAAGATGAGATTTGGGTGAGGACACAACGCCTAACCATATCACTACATGAGACTAAGGAAAGAATCACAGAAAATGATTATAGAGAACAGTACTGGGAACCCACACAGGACTAAAAACAGCATGTTCCCCACCATCTGGACTAGAAAAACTCATGATTGATGTCATGGGGCACTGTGCAGAACACAAAGCAAGATCTTGCCCCAGTAGTGGGAAATAATTAGCCCTAGTTGGACCACTGCTCCAATTCTGCAAAAAAAAAAAAAAATAATAATAATAAATCTTACAACACTTGAAAATATTAAGATGTTTCCCAGGAATTTAAATTCATCTCAGAAGAAATCTCAAAAATACTTAAAAGAATACAAAAATATCCAGCACCCGACAAAGTAAAGTTTACAATATGTACAATTCAATAAAAAATTACCAGCTATCTAAAGATGCAGGAAAATACTAACCATTAAAAGGGGATTTAAAAAAATAAGAACCGACATAAATGTAAGAACCAGCAGACAAAAACATTAACACAGTTATCACAAACATAACCTATATATTCAAGAAGTTAGAGACACAGAAAATTTTTCTTTTCAGAAAAAGAACCAAATCATACTTCTAGAGATGAAAACTGAAATGAATGTATAAGCTGAAAAATACCTGGATGAGATTAAGGGCAGATTAGATCTTGTAGAAGAGAAGATTAATGAATTTAAGGACACAGGAACAGAAACTATCTAAAATGAAAGAGAGAAAAAAAATGTTTTTAATGAATGAAGCATAAGTGAGCCTTATAGAAGTATGACCAGAATTCCTGAAAACGGAATGGGTGGAAAAAAAGTATTTGTAGAAATAATGGCAGAAAATTTTCCAAATTTGACAGAAGTTATAAACCTAAGTAGCTCAATAACCACAAGCATTAGAAATATGAAGAGCACCAAAGCACATCATAATCAAATAGCTTGAAACATGTGATCAAGAGAAAATCTTAAGAGCAGCCAAAGAAAATAAAAAGACACAGGAACAAAAATAAGGAAGAGAGAAGACTTTCTGTAGGAAATTAAATGAGATGACAGTGTAGTAACATCTTTAAATTACTGAAATTAAAAACCAGAGTAGAATCGAATTCCATACCCACATCTCATACAAGTGAACTCAGGTTTCACCTGAGGAAATGAAAGAAGAGCAAACAAAATCTAAAATAAGCAGAAGAAAGGAGGAATGAATACTGGAGCAGAAATCAGCAAAATAAAAAATAAATGAAAACAAAAATCTGTTTAAGATCAATAAAATTAATAAACCTCTAACTAGATTGATCAGGAAAAAAAAAGAGAAGACACAATGACCAATATCAAGAATAAGAGAGCCAGAAATCACTAAGGAGTCTACAGATATTAAAAAGATAATAGGGGAATATTATTGTCTTAGTCCATTTTGTGTTGCTATGACAGAATACCACAGACCGGGGTAATTTAGAAAAAAAATTATTTCTCACAGTTCTGGAGGCTGGGAAGCCCAATATCATGGTGCCAACATCACACGAGGGCCTTCTTGGTGCATCATCCCACGGCAAAAGGCAAGGGTGAGACAGGACAAGAGAGCAGAAGGAAAGGGGGCTGAAGTCATCCCTGTATCGGGAACTAACCTGCAAAAACTGGAAGAGCCCCCATGAACCACTCACCTCTTAGTGGTACCAACTCTCAACACTGCTGAGTTGGGAATTAAGTTTCCAACACGTGAACTTCAGGCGACACATACAAAAAAGCAATTATGAACAACTTTATGCTAACAAATTGACAAATTTCTTGAAAGGCCCTGATATGGTTTGGCTCTGTGTCCCCATTCAAATCTCATGTTGAATTGTAATCCCCAGTGTCGAATGAGGGGCCTGGTGGAAGGTGATTGGGTCATGGGGGCAGATTTCCCCCTTGCTGTTCTCATAATAATGAGTGAGTTCTCATGATATCTGGTTGTTTTAAAGTGTGCAGTACTTCTCCCTTCACTCTCCTGCCAGCCACGTGAAGATGCACTTGCTTCCCCTTCATCTTTGGCCACGACTGTAAATTTCTGGAGACCTCCCCAATCATGCTTCCTGTACAGCCTGTGGAACTGTGAGCCAATTAAACCTCTTTTCTTCATAAATTACCCAGTCTCAGGTAGTTCTTTATAGCAATGTGAGAATGGACTAATACAGCAAACCGGTACCAGAGAAGTAGGGCATTGCTATAAAGATACCTGGAAATGTAGAAGTGACTTGGGAACTAGGCAACGAGCAGAGATTGGAATAGGTTGCCTCTTTACTCTGCTAATTGTTTTCTTTGCTGTGATTCTAGAAGCGTTTTACATAATGTAATTCTATTTGTCTATGCACAGACCTTGGGAGCCACCCCTTGCATCAGTGTAGCCTGGATGTTGGATAGATTCAACAACATGTGTATATACGACAACAATCGTATATTTTTGTTTTTGTTGCCTGAGCTTTTGGCGTCAAAGCCAAAAAATTATTGACCAGATTAATGTCACGTCATTTTCCCATATGTTTTCTTCTAGTGGTTTTGCAGTTTCAGGTTGTATGACTACATCTTTAATCCATTTGAGGTTTTTTTCTAAAATATAATATGAGGTATGGGTCTAATTTCATTTTTCTGCATATGGATATCCAGTTTTTCTGACATCATTTATTGAAGAGACTGTCCTTTCACCATTATGTATTCTTGGCATCTTTCTTGAAAATCACTTAACTGCAAATATATGGATTTGTCTCTGGGCTTGCTATTCTTTTCCAGTGGTCTACGTATTCATTTTTATTCCAGTACTATGCTGTTTTGATTACTAAAACTTTGCAATAGTGTTTGAAGTCAATACAAAGCCTCTAGCTTTGTTCTTTTTGCTTAAGATTATCTTGGCTATTTGCAGTCTTCTTTGGTTCCATATGAATTTTAGAATTGTTTTTTCTATTTTTTTGAAAACTGACATTGGGATTTTGATAGGGATTACACTGAATCTGTAGATCACTTTGGGTAGTAAGAACATTTTAAAAATATTCTTCCAATCCATGAACATGTAATATCTTTTTATTTATTTGTGTCTTCTTCAATTTTTTTCATCAAAGTTTTGTAGTTTTCAGTATACAGATGTGTGTGTGTGTGTGTGTGTGTGTGTGTGTGTGTGTGTGTGTGTGTGTCTGTCTGACTGACATGGTCTGGCTCTATTGCCCAGGCTACAGTGCAGTGGCATGATCTCAGCTCACTGCAGCCTCTACTTTCAGGGCTCAAGCCATCCTTTTATCTCCACCTCCTGAGCAGCTGGAACCACAGGCACACGCCACCATGTCCAGCTATCTTTTGTTATTTTTGTAGGGATGTCGTTTCGCCATACAGATTTTACCTACTTGGTTAAATTTATTTCTAAGTATTTTATTCTTTTTGATGCTTTTGTAAATGAAATTGTTTTCTTATTTTTCAAATAGTTTGTTGTTAGTGTATAGAAATGCTGATTTTTATGTGTTGATTTTATATCCTACAGCTTTACTGTATTTATTAGTTCAAACAGTTTTTTACTGGAGCTGTTGGAGTTTTCCATATATATATAAGAGCATGTCATCAGCAGTGACAGTTTCACCTCTGCTTTTCCTGTTTGGATGCCTTTTATTTCTTTCTCTTGCCTAATTGCTCTGGCAAGGACTTTCAATACAGCATTGAACAGAAATGATGAGAGCAGGCATCATTGTCTTGTTCCTTATCTTAAATGAAAAATATATACCTTAACATCAAACTTAATTGGTAGAAGACTAAATGCTTTCCCCTAAAATCAGGAACAAGGAAAAAATGTCCACTCTCACCACTTCTATTCAACATTGTATTGGAAGTTCTATTCTACGCAATAGGGCAAGAGAAAGAAATAAAAGGTATCCAGATTAGAAAAAGGAAAGGAAAAAGTAAAACTGCTCTTACTTGTGAATGACATAATTGTCTCTTTAGGAATTCCAGTAAAGTAGAATCGAATTCAAATCTAAAGCAACTAAAACTAATAAGTGAGTTTAGCAAGTCTGCATGATAAAGGTAAATACAAAAATCAACTGTATTTCTTTAGACTGGTAACTAACAATTCAAAAATATCATTAATATGAAATACTTATGGATAAATATGACAAAAGATAAGACCTATAAACTGAAAACTAAAAATCCATGCTGAGAGAAATTAAAGACCACTTACATAAATGAAGAATTATATCTTGCCCACAGGTCTGAAAAGACTCGATAGTGTTAAGATGTCAATTCTCTCTAAATTCATCTGCAGGCTTTTTTGTTGAAATCGACAAGTAACTCTAAAATACATATGGAAAGATAAAGAACCTATATAGCCAAAGCAACTTGGTAAGATACAAAGAACAAAGGTGGAACATTGTCACTACCTGATTTTAAGACTTAACTATAAAGCAACACTAACCAAGACAACATGGTGTTGGCACCATGATTGACATCTATAGACAACTATAACAAAGCTACACAGGCAATTCAGTAGCAAAACAATACCCTTTCAACAGTTGGTACTGGAATGATTGTATTTCCATATACAAAATAAACTTTGACTTATATAGGTGATCCACACCCCTCACCATATACAAAAATTAACTCAGAAGTGTCATATGATAGTTTTGATCACAACTCAAAACTGCACAGATCTAAAGGCAAAAATATATTCCCTTAATGATATTTTATCTATAGTGTTAATGTTTTATTTATAGTGTGTTAATGTCTCCTTTAATGTTCTCAGTTTTGTGTTTTCAGATATAATCATTGAGCTAATATAGACTTCAAAGTATCTTCCTATTTAATTTCTTTTTTAAAATCCTTTCATTGTTGCATCTCACACAAGAGTCCATCAATTCCTTCAACAACAGTAAACTCTGAAACATATCAAAAGAAGATGATGCTAAAAGTAATTATAAAAAAAATTCTGGTTGTTTACCTATTGCAGTTTCTGGCATAGCAAAAAGACACTTTTCTGTAGCCACTCGAAATTGCCCATGGACTGAGAGACCAACTCCCTAGAGAAAAAAGGCAAAAAAAGAGGCGGGGGGGAATTAAACATATTGTTAAAAAACAAGCAAATTCACACACTTACAAAATTACAAAGCAAGTAAATTATCTTTATACTCCACAGGAACTTGCTTCAGGGAATAGGTTGTCCCCACCTCTTTCAATTAACTTTGAATTCCACAAACAGCACATGACTATATTCCCCTTTATTAAACATTTACACATAAAGTCTGATCACACCCCCATTCTTGTCTGGTCATTCTCTTCCTCCACAGAGACACATAGCTATTATCCATTTGGTAAGTAACCTACGATTTTTTTCCCTATGTATTTCTTATATATGAACAAATGTGTCTATTTATCTGATATATATTTTATATATAAGAATATATACAACTATACATATATAAAATTCACACTCTATTCCATGGCCTGCAAGGCTCTATATCACCTGGCCTAGCTGACCTCTTTGACTTTATCTCCCATCACTCTTCCCGCACTCGTTCCACTAGCCATGGGGGCTTCATGCCATTCCTCCAAAATTTTAAGCTTTTACAATTTCAATTAATCATAAAACTTCTAAGGTAAGAAGAAAAACTACTAGATAAGGCCACTGCCTGCTCAATCACTGCTTTTTCTCTAAGGGAATCTGCTCTGCCCAGAGACTCTCTTTTCCTTTCCCCAGGAGGGGCTGAACTAGGGATTGGCAATGGACCCAAGGGCAGCCAATGGAGACTAACCAGAATTCAGAGGCCTGGGGAGCAAAGAGGCAGGGGTGAATTAGATAAGGTTCTTCTTACTCTTAGGTACTTAAAACTAAAACACAGTGCACAGTTGTCAGTCGATGACAGGCAGTGAAGCTTAAAGGTCATCTGACATTTGAGCTAAAGATGACAATGACAGCCAAGTAAAAGCTGGTTTTATATGCGGTAGAGACAAAAAAAAAAAAAAGAAAAGAAAAGAAAAGAAAAAAACCCTGAGAATGCTGCAGTCTGTACAAGACAGAAAACAAAACAAACACATAAAAAGAAGCAGAGATAGAAAAATAAACACACAACTTAAATTTGCCTCAAGCCCACACCTGCAGTCCAATTTTCAGGAACATAAGCAATGCCTAAGGTCCCTGAACTTGTCTAATAACTGCCCCATTCTCTTTTGTGGATCTTTTTGAGTGAGTCTCTGTTCTTTCCAATTAAAATGTCTCTTCACCACATTTTCAGTTAGAACTAGACCTAGATCCTGCCATCAGCATCACACAACGTAAGTCTTTGGGCCCCCAGTATATATTCACTGCAATACTGTTCTGTGCTTTTCCTCCCAACACAACCTCCTAACACTGCTGTCCCTGACTAGTCATTCCCATCACATCTTCTGGAATCTTCATTCCTTTACAAAGGAACAACCTAACAGACCAAATTCTCTACAGAGGGCCCTCTCCACCTCCTGAACTCTATGGAAAAAGAAACTTAAAAACCCCATATTACTTCACATAGAAGCTACAGATCCATGCGGGGTAACTGATTCATTGATTCCATTTGTTATCTTATATTACATAGAGTATGTTTTATTTTAGCATTGGCTGATAATAGTGAATTAAAGAAAAGACATCAAGATTTGAGCAAAAAGTTATTAATGAAAAACTATCAGAATAAGAGACCACTGACATAAGAATCATTAAGAGCCAATTTTAAAGCCTTTCAATAAAGATGAAGGTTCAGAATAGTCAAGCCACTTCACTTGAAGATACTAGGAATACGCTGAACCATTTCGAATGGGGTATAAAACCCTAATGGCAGATTCGTAACTAATTTTTCTATCTTACATCAAAGAATCTATTATAGGTTACTTGTAAGCAGCCCTCTTAACTTCTGAAATTTGATTTTACATTTTATTTAACCATTAATCTTAGCTGATACTTCTTTGCTAGACTAAAAAGGCTCCAAAGTCTTCAAGTTTTATTGTATTAGCTAATTTTATACAGATTCATTCTCCAAATATAATACTTTATTCCAATTCCAACTCTCCTCAAATCTCTCCCCCAAACCTACCAAACCCAGTAGTCAAATCTCATTTTTCACCAAGCTGAACACTAGCTAAATAGCTCAGTAATATTTGACAGTTGCTCATTCCTACTTTATGAAATGCTTTACTGGGCTTTGAGGCACCATACATTCCTGCTTTAAAATCTAACTCATTAGTTACTCTTTCATTTCTCCCTGATATCAAAGTGTTGACCTGCCACAATAATTAGATGTCATCCTTCTACTCCACTTCACTCTACCCCACTGTACTCTGTCCTGTCTACATGCATTCCCTAGGAGATCTCTTCCAGCCCTAGGATTTTAAGCACCACCTAAAACACTAATAAATTATTTCCCCATCCCTGATTTCTCTACTCAGCTATTTAACGTCTCGTCTTGAATGTCTAATAAGTATCTCAACCTTCACACATCAAAAGTAAATCTCTTGATTTCTCCTTAAGTGTGCTCCTCTCTCTGTCTTCATCTCAGTAAACAGCATCACAATTCACCCAGCTGCTCAGGCCAAACATCTCAGCATTACCTTCTTTCCTTTCTACCCCACAATGTAATCTATGAACTATCCTGAGAGCTCTAACTTAAAAATATATCCTGGACTGGGCCACTTTTCACCATCTACACTATTACGACCCCACAATGTAATCTATGAACTATCCTGAGAGCTCTAACTTAAAAATATATCCCGGACTGGGCCACTTTTCACCATCTACACTATTACGACCCTACTTGAAGCCTTTATCCTCTCTTGCCCAGGCTGGTGTATCTTGCTTCTATTCTTGCCACAATCTATCATCTCTATACCAGTCAAAGCACGCTTATTAAAATGTAAAACATATCACGTCATTCTCCCGCCCAGAAGTCTCCAGTGACTTCCCTTCACACTAAAATATTATCATGGCTGATATGGTCCCATATGATCTGGTCCCCTTCTACCTTCCTGATTTTATAGTCTACCATTCCCCACTTTCTCACTTCCCCTCCAGCAAGCCACACGGGCTTTCTTTCTTTTTTCTTTCTTTTTTTTTTTTTAAACTCTCTTGATGTATAATATCCACTTAAAGGTACACAAACAGTAACAAATAGTACGTTCGCAAGCATATAGTTTCAATGAATTATCCTCAAATGAACACACCCATGTAACCAAAACCCAGATAAAAACTATCAGAAATTGTGCTATGCACTCTGTCAGTCACTACACCCTCCATCCCTCAAGTAGCTACTATCTTGACCTCTAACAAAGGATTAGAGTTTTTTCTGGTTTATCTAGATATAAATAGAATCACAGAATATATATTACTATCTTACTTCTTTCAGTCAACATTATGTTTGTGAGATTTTATGTTCTTGCATATAGCAGTAATTTGTTCTTTTTCATTGTATAGCACTGTATGAATAAACAATTTGTTAATCCATTCTAATATAAATGGCTATTTGGATTGTCTCCAGTTTTTGGCTATTTCAAGTAACAATTCAGTGGCCATTCTTCTGCATATGTTTTGGTGCAAAAGTGCACACATTTTGGTCAGATATATACCAGGGAGTAAAAGTGTCAGGTCAAAGGGTATTAATCAGCCAGGTACAGTGGCTCACGTAATGCCTATAATCCCAGCACTTTGGGAGGCCGAGGTGGGCGGGTCACCTGAGATCAGGAGTTCGAGATCAGCCTAGCCAACACGGTGAAACCCTGTCTCTACTAAAACAACAAAAATTAGCCAGGCATGGTGTCATGCGCCTGTAATCCTAGCTACTCGGGAGGCTGAGGCAGGAGAATTGCTTGAACCTGGGAGGTGGAGGTTGCAGTGAGTCAAGATTGTGCCACTGCACTCCAGCCTGGAGGACAGAGCAAGACTCCGTCTCAAAAAAAAAAAAAAAAAAAAAAAAAAAAGTATTGACTCATTCAACTTTAAAATATATCAAAACAATTTTCCTAAGTGGTAGTACCAATTTCTGCTCCACTAGCTGTATATGAGTTTGCTGTTTCTACATCCTCACCAACACTTCAAGAGGTCTTTCACATTTTAGCCATTCTAATGACTATATGTTAGTATTTCACTGAAGTTTTAATTTGCATATCCTTGATGATTAATACAGTTGAGAGCTTTTTCAGGTTTATTAGCTATCTGGGTATCCTCTTTGTGAAATGTCTGTTCTAATCTTTTGCTGTGAAACGTCTGTTCCAATCTTTTGCTCTTTTTTTTTTTTTTACTGGATTTTTGAATTGGTAGAATTCTCTATATATCCTAGACAGGATTCCCTTATCAGCTGTATACCAAATATGTTTTCAGTCTGTGGCTTGCCTTTTCACTGTTTCAAGGATGTCTTGGAATGAACAGAAGTTCTCATTCTTAACACATTACAATTTATTCATTTTGCTTATGGTACATTTAGTGTATTATTTAAGTAATCCCTCCCTAACCCCTGGGACTGAAATTTTCTTCATAAAAAGGTTTTTAAAGACTTACTTTCATTAACAGTTATGGATTATAATTTGTCCATTTCATCAAAATTTTGAAATATATGACCATAAAGTTGTACATAACATCCTCTTGTAATCTTTTTAATGGCTATGGGTTTTATAGGGATGTGCTATTTTTCATTTCCGTATTTGTAACATACTTTGCTTTTATCTTTGTCTTTACCAACTTATCACTAAGGATTTATCAGTTTTAATAGTCTATAAAAATAATTTTCAGCTTTGATATTTACTGTTTACTGATTTTAAATCTTTTTTTTTTTGTATTTTGATCATTTCATTGTGATGTCATATAAGGTTACTGCTTATGTTCCAAACATTTGGGATTTCCCTATTATCTTTCCATTACAGATTGCAACCTTAATTCCACTGGGGACAGATAATGTATTCTGTAAGATTAATCCTTTAAAATATATTAAGATGAATTCCAAGGCCTATTTTGGCAAGTGTTTCATACACACATGAAATGAACGTGAATTCTGCAGTTACTGAGTGCATGTTCATTAGGTCAAGCTTATTAAACAATTTTCATTCAAATAATGTGTGTGCATATAAAATATGTGCATGAAAATATACGTACTCAGTATGTCTCTGTTTTATCTGTTATTGAAAGAAATATGTTCGAATATTTCTTATGATTGTGGTTCTATTTCCACTTTTAGAGCTTTCCACTTGTTTACAAGATTAGTCATTTTTACTTATTTATTTATTTTGAGCCAGAGTCTCACCCTGTCACCCAGGCTGAAGTGCAGTGGCGTGACCTTTACTCACTGCAACCTCAGTCTCCTGGGCTCAAGTGATTCTCCTGCCTCGGCCTCCGGAGTAGCTGGAACTACAGATGTGCACTGCCACACCCAGCTAATTTTGGTATTTTTAGTAGAGATGGGATTTCACCATGTTGGCCAGGCTGGTCTCAAACTCTAGGCTCCAGGTGACGCGCCCGCCTCGGCCTCCCAGAGTGCTGGGATTACAGCCATGAGCCACCGCACCTGGCCACAAAATGAGCCGTTTTTATTTTTAATTAATTTATATTTTTGAGACAGAGTCCTGCTTTGTTGCCCAGGCTGCAGTGCAGTGGCACAATATCAGCTCACTGCAACCTCTGCCTCCTGGGTTCAAGCAATTTTCCTGCCTCAGCCTCCCGAGCAGCTGAGACTTCAGGCGCCCACCACCACACCAGGCTAGTTTTTGTTTTTTTAGTAGAGATGGGGTTTCACCACGTTGGCTAGGCTGGTCTCAAACTCCTGACCTCAAGTGACCCAAATGCCTCGGCCTCCCAAAATGCTGGGATTACAGGCAGGAGCCACTGTACCTGGCCAAGATTAGTCATTTTTATTTTTATTATTTTTATTTTTTATTTTAGAAGACCAATTCTGTCCACAGTGTATGAATGTTCTAGGTGAAGCTGGGGTGATGGGGAGAGTGAGGTGAAGACAACATCTACAAATCTCATGACTTTTTGTTGTTGTTGTTTTGTTTCATTTTTTGGAGACAGAATCTCTGTCACCTAGGCTGGAGCACAGTGGCGTGACCTTGGCTCATTGCAACTTCTGTGTCCTGGGTTCAAGCAATTCTCCTGCCTCAGCCTCCTGAGTAGCTGGGATTACAGGCGCATGCCCTGCTAATTTTTGTATTTTTAGTAGAGACGGAGTTTCACCATGTTGGTCAGGCTTGTCTTGAATGCCTGACCTTAGGTTATTCATCCACCTCGGCCTCCCAAAGTGCTGAGATTACAGGCATGAGTCACCACACCCTGCCAAGATTAGTCATTTTTAAATGTTTGAAAATATCATACCAGTAGAGTTATTTCAGATAGGCAAAGGTTTGTTCCTATGGTTTCTCCATTTTAGTGCTAGTGCCATATTGTTCACTATGGAACTCATTAAGTAATTCAGCTTCATATTTAGTTATAAACCGAGGCTTTTAGACAAGTATTTATAAAGTATCTTTCTGCAGTTGAGTACAGTCAATAATCAGTGATATTAAAATGGTAAAAAGCTGAATAAAGTTTGAAACAGATTGAGCTAAGCCATATCTTCTAAAGAAGCAAAAATGGAAATTTAGGGCTTGCCAAGTTGGGCCCCTAAGGGGACCTCAGGAACTAGATAGCCTAGATTCAAGCCATCATTCTAGGATGACCTCGAATTAAGTCCAGCTTCAAATTCTCTGAAGTCCTGACTAGACTGAGATGATCTGGGACTGCTAGTGCCCTTAGCCTGAACACCTACCAGAAACAAAGGTCCATCTTCTTTGGAGAGAGAACATCATCCTAGGACTCAAAAATATCTGCATTTTAAATACTCAATTAGAAATAACTCAGAAATAATCAGACATATGAGAAAAGACCACAACTAAAGGCACAATAGATACAGACTCACAGGGCATTAAAATTTAAATGTACTATCTAACCATTCTACAATTATGGTATGTCCTACCTCAAATAAAGGTTTTTGCCATAAAACGTACGTCATTGGATATTTAAAAAGTTATACCACTTTCCTTTAGTTAGTGTGGTATGCTATCTTAACCCTTCTGTGCCTTATATTTATGGTGTCCCGAGCACTCTGACATTCACTGTTTTTTAACTGCGTTATTATTAAACAATCATCTTCACATAGTAATACAATCTACTATAAACAATGTTAATATGGACAAGCATAACATTTGAACAAAAATGGAAAAAGCATGTGAATGTAGTCAAACTCCTACTCTGTCACTGTAAAAATGACTTCCTATTTAAGTTTTTGGCATCCCTAAAGGCAAAATTTAGGCAACCTAAGACTTTACTTTTTAATTAAGAAACCTAGCTAGATGAGTTTTCAGACTGTTCCAATAGGAGAAGAAAGCTGACACAGCTCTGTTTTTGGCTTTAAAAGAACATCTCATTATAATTACTTTAAAAGGACAATTAAATCCATTCAAACATATAAATACGTTAATCTGCAACTAGGAATCAGCACTTGCTCCCATATTTCCAGATATTACTATTCTAGACAAAAAGCAATTTTTTTTAACTGCTCCTTGTGGAGCAGGGCTAACCCATAGGCAGCATGCCCAGAGTAGCCCAATATTAATTTTCAAAGACTGATAATTATAAAGATATTTAAAGTAACCAAAACAGCATGGTACTGGTACCAAAAGAGGTATATAGACCAATGGAACAGGACAGAGCCCTCAGAAATAACACCACATATCTAAAACCATCTAATTTTTGAGAAACCTGACAAAAACAAGCAATGGGGAAAGGATTCCCTATTTAATAAATGGTGCTGGGAAAACTGGTTAGCCATGTGCAGAAAACAGAAACTGGACCGCTCTCCTTACACCTTATACAAAAATTAACTTAAGATGGATTAAAGACTTAAACGTAAGACCTAAAACCATAAAAACCCTAGAAGAAAATCTAGGCAATACCATTCAGGACATAGGCATTGGCAAAGACTTCATGACTAAAACAGCAAAAGCAATGCCAACAAAAGCCAAAATTGACAAATGGGATCTAATCAAACTAAAGAGCTTCTGCACAGCAAAAGAAACTGTCATCAACGTGAACAGGCAACCTATGGAATGAGAGAAAACTTTTGCAAGCTATCCATCTGACAAAGGTCTAATATCCAGAATCTACAAGGAACTGAAACAAATTTACAAGAAAAAAAAATCAAAAAGTGGGTGAAGGATATGAACAGACTCTTCTCAAAAGAAGACATTTATGCAGTCAACAAACATATGAAAAAAGCTCATCATAACTGGTCATTAGAGAAATACAAATCAAAACCACAATGAGATACCATCTCACACCAGTTAGAATGGTGATTATTAAGAAGTCAGGAAACAACAGCTGCTGGCAAGGCAGTGGAAAAATGGGAACACTTTACACTGCTGGTGGGAGTGTAAATTAGTTCAACCATTGTGGAAGACAGTTTGGTGATTTCTCAAGGATCTAGAACCAGAAACCCCATTTGACCCAGCAATCCCATTACTGGGTATATACCCAAAGGATTATAAATCATTCTACTATAAAGACACATGCACACATATGTTTACTGCAGCACTGTTCACAATAGCAAAGAGTTGGAACCAACCCAGATGCACATCAATGACAGACTAAATAAAGAAAATGTGGCACATACACACCATGGAATACTATGCAGCCATAAAAAAAACAATGAGTTCATGTCCTTTGCAGGGACATGGATGAAGCTGGAAGCCATCATTCTCAGCAAACTAACACAGGTACCGAAAACCAAATGTATGTTCTCATAAGTGGGAGCTGAACAATGAGAACACATGGACACAGGGAGGGGAACATCACACACCGGGGCCTGTCGGGAGGTGAGGAGCAAGGGGAGGCAGAGCATTAGGACAAATACCTAATACATGCAGGGCTTAAAACCTAGATGACGGGTTGACAGGTGCAGCATATCACCATGGCACATGTATACCTGCACGTTCTGCACATGTATCCCAGAGTTTAAAGTAAAATAAAATTTAAAAAAATGTACTAGTAAAAATAAATTTAGTTATTACACCTTTTTTTTTTTTAAAAAAAAAGATATTTAAGGTTATTTTAAGGCATAGTTAACCACCCATGATTTATACTAATGGCAAGATTAATCCCTCAACGCATAAACACAGACACATGTAAACAATTCAACTTGGTGCTCAAAAAGTAAATATTCCAAAGTAAACAGTTGATAACCACAGTAAAGAAGACAAAAAACTCAGAAAGATACACAATGGGGTGATGTGACTGATGTTTACAGAAAAAGTCATGGATTTAAATCTAACCAGGGAGAATGAGTAAGCTCCTGCCCAGAATAAACACTGCATCACAGTATTAGAGAGTATGTGATAGCCTATCGCTATCACTCAGGATAAATGATGCTTTGAAATAGCACCATTTCAATTTCTTTTGTTAGAAATTCAAGTAGATTTGTCATCGCACATGCTTTCACTATGGCATAAAAGTTACTATTATGACTATTAAATAAGTTTCTTAATGTATCTCTGGGACCACATACATTAGATTAACAGAACAGCAGGCTGCAAAGTAAAAACAAAGATTTTTACTATGTTTCTCATATTAACGGGCTCATATTGCATCTTAATATGTATATTGATTATATAATAATGTATTTTAATGGACTAACACATAGAGATTAGCACCAAACAGATTTTTTTTACCCTGCTATTGGGTATGTATAATTCATGTTATTTTTAGACAAAAATGATATTCAACAACAAATAATTGAGAGAAAATATTTAACTTATTTACATATTATTATTAATTATTTACCATTCTAGGAGGTCCAGCTCAAAATTAAATTCATCTCCCTTCACTCTCCCCAGCCCACCCCATAGCTACTCTTCTCAAATCTTAGTAAATAGTGCCACCATTTATTCCATGGCCCAGCCTAGACACCTGAAAGTCATTCTTGCTCCACTTTATCCATCACATACAATCCATCATCAAAACCCATCAAGTCTTCTCCAAAATCTCCCTATCTCCCTCTTAAATCTATCTACCCATTATCTCTACCCTACTTTTTTTTTTTTTTTTTTTTTTTTGAGAGGGAGTCTTGCTCTGTCATCCAGGCTACAGTGCAGTGGCGTGATCTCAGCTCACTGCAACCTCTACCTCCCGGGTTTCAAGCGATTCTCCTGCATCAGCCTCCCAGGTAGCTGGGATTACAGGTGCGCACCACTGGGCCCAGCTAATTTTTGTTATTTTCAGTAGAGACGGGGTTTCGCCATGTTGGCCAGGCTGGTCTGAGACTCCCAACCTGAGGTGATCCACTGCCTCCACCTCCCAAAGTGCTGGGATTACAGGTGTGAGCCACTGTGTCTGGCCTCTACCTTATATTTAATCACCATGATCTCTCACCCGATTCCCTGCAATAGCTTCCTAAATAATCACTATACTTCCAATCCCACCCTCCTAAAGTCAATTCTTCCCACCAGAGTTCTTTCTAAAATGCAAATCTGTTCTAGTCATTGCCCCTGCTAAAAAGCACTTAATTAGCTCTCCATATTGATCTGAAGATCAACTACTTAACATGTCCTATAAGAGAGCTGATCTGGCTTCTTGCTTACCTCTATGGCCTCAGAATTTAACCCCTATCTCCTTCACAGTATAAAATGTAGGCACACTGAACTTTGCTCAAATATGAATTCTCTCTTATCTCATTTTCACATATGCTATTATCTTCTCACCCACACACTGTCGTTCAACACTGCATCGAACCCTTACACAATTGCACCAACCACATCGCATTCTTTTACTACTCTCAGCTTTTCTTCTCTGGTTAATTCCTCCTTCCTTAAGCCTCAGCTTAAATATAACTTCCTCCAAAAGGCTTTCCCTACACTACCCCCATCACTACACTATTCGCACATACACACAGTTAAGGCTGGTATTGTTTAATGTATTTCCAGACTACCCCATATTTGCCTGTTTGGACAGTAAGCTCTAGGAGAAAGGAAAACATGTCTGTTTTGTTCACTGTTTTATCACCAGAGCCCAACCAGTATCTGGCACATCTAGACATCCAATAAGTTTTGCTGCTTGGGTAAAATAGTTGAGAACAATCTCAAATGATGGCTAAAGTCATAATGAGCCTCTAGTTAGTTTCGAAGCTCACATATCCATATATCCTTAGGGGAATGAGCTCGTTTTATGGGCAAAGAGCTCTCCTCCGCTTTTCTTCTCTGAAATACTTTCACGCCTCAATAAGAAACAGAAACCTCTAGACCAAAAATCATCCAAACCAACATGGTCAGGGCAGAAGGCCAGATGAGAAATGCACAGGGCAAAAGGTGCCTGCTACTTGACCTTGAACCTAGGGTGGTTTCATATTACAAATGAAAGGAACCCAAAACCTGACCAATATGGCCAAAGGAAATGGCCAAGGGAAAAAAAAAAACTCCCTGTAGATCTCAGAATCTGTAAGTTTGTCAAAGTTGCCAAGAATATCTATACTCCTGCAAGTCAAAAATTTCCCAGAATGCAATACCTTAATGGGGGGGCAGGGAGACCGAAGGTAGTGAGGTCAAGTTCTTGGTAAGAAAATGAAAGTACTCTCCAACTTAGATATCCCTGGGCTAAAGGGTAGATGGAAATGGGGTATAGGAAGCTAAAAAAAACAAGGGCTCTATCTAATAAGACAGACAAGTAGTAAAATACAATTAAACAGACCATCTGTGGTATATTGCCAAGCAGCAAAGGAACATCACTTAGATGATAATCCATTACATCTTGAAAAATCAATATAACCCAATGCTTACCTGTTAAAAAGAAAAAAAAAGCTCATTAAGAAACTAAATGACCCTGAAATTTTACTATAAGAAACTACGCAACTCAAAGCAATCCTACGGCCAGGCGCAGTGGCTCATGCCAGTAATCCCAGCACTTTGGGAGGCTGAGGCAGGTGGATCACTTGAGGTCAGGAGTTCGAGACCAGCCTGACCAACATGGTGAAACCTCAACTCTATTAAAAATACAAAAATTAGCCAGGTGTGGTGGCACGCGCCTGTAATCCTAGCTACTCGGGAGGCTGAGGCAGGAGAACTGCTTGAACCCAGGAGGTGGAGGTTGCAGTGAGCCAAGATCACACCACTGCACTCCAGCCTGGGTGACAGAGCGAGACTCCATCTCAAAAATAAATAAAAATAAAAACAAATAAATAAAAGCAATCCTAACTCTCCCCTAATAAGACAGAAGGAAATCTAAAAGAATCTCATCTGGGGATGAGAGGAGATCTACCGCTCTCTATCAAAACAAGATATCCATCCACACTTGGAGAAAGTTGAATAATCAATATAGATAAAAACGAATGTATATAAACATACACCCTATACACTTAGAAATCCAAGGGAAATTTCCCTCTATTTTTCCTCTCTCAGCTCCTGCTGTGTTACTGATATTTCATTCTTAAAGAAAGCTCCTTTCATATCTTCCAGTTTTTTTAAAAAAAAAAGAGATTTAAATTACATAGGTGGGTGGGAAGAAGTATACCAAACGAAGCTGAACTCAGAAGTTTCTCCAAAAATCTTAATAAAATTATTTCATCTCTTCTTTCATAAACTCTCAGGTTCTCTTTTTTTTCCTGCGGCAGGGTCTCAGATGCAGTGAGACAATCATGGCTCACTGCAGCCTTGAATTCCTAGACTCAAACAATCCTCCCGCCTCAACCTCCCAAGTAGCTGGGACTACAGGCATGCACCACCATGCCTGGTTAATTTTTTGGAGACACAGAGTCTCGCTATATTGCCTAGGCTGGACTTGAACTTCTGGTCTCAAGTGACTCTCCCACGCTGGCCTCCCAAAGCGCTGGGATTACAGGCATGTGCCACTGCGCCCGGCCTCTCAGGTTCCATACTAAGTAAAATAAATGTTGTTATGAAAAACCCGGCACTTTATTATTTAATTAAAAAATGGTTTCTTAAAATGTCTTCTATTCAACTGTCACTAATAGCAAGAAACAGAACACCTTTTAAAACTGAAAAAAGGTACCCATTATGTCTAACAAGTCTTTGCAATATACTAACATAATTCAATCTTTGAGCACTGTTCATTCTTTTTATGAAAATAAGAACATGTCTTCAATGACATTAATCAGTGGATAAACATAATCTGATTCAGTAGTTCCCATTTAACAGAGCACTAGTCAACTTTCATGTGGGTAGTTTGTACTGCAATAAAGTCATTTGGGTAATGTATACGCTCATTATTTTTATTCCATTCCAATTCCCACTTCTCTAGTCATGACAACATGCTCTTTCTAAAATACACTTTAAAACTTAATTTTCTATTATTCATTGTGTGTGGTGGGGGAATTTTCCCTTTACCTTTCTGAGTTCTTAGCTGGGACTGCTCCAACAAGACAGACCAACAAGAGAAAAACAGTTTATTAACATGTATACCTCATGTATACACAGAAGATTATCCAGGGAGAAATAAAAACTCTCCAAGAGGGAGCCTAAAACTCCAGCTTACATAGCAACTTCAACTCGAAAGGATGTGAAGGAAGGTTACCACAAAAAGCATGGTAAATAAGAGAAACGATTGTTTTGCAGATTTATGTTGTTATCTCTGTTGATAGGAGTCTCTTGCAATTTGGTCATCCTTCTCTTCCCCAGAAAGGGAGACACTCTTACAAATAGAGATTTCCTTTCTAGGTACACATTTCTCTTACAAAAAGGTAACTTGTGCTGTTTTCAGAGATGATCCTGTATCTGCTGGTTCTCAAAATAATCTGCTCAAAATAATCATTATGCCAAAGTGGCATATTTAGGGTGGCATATTGTGGTCTCCTATAATCAAAAAACCCTCTCACTAGTAGCATCTTAAGAGCATTTTGAGAAACACAAAAACAATACCTTACTGTGCCATATTTTGAGTTAGGTTGGGGAACCAACTTCATTTCTATTCGAAAATGCAAGAGGTGGTGGAAAAAAAGGAAGACTAGGAGGGAGAGAGAGGAGGAGAGAAGAACCTAAAATGTTCTTTAAATCCAATTCAGTTGGGGAGGGAAACAGGAGTGGTACTACATGTATGAAACAAAAATTTAAGGATTGTCCTCTGTTCTATATCTACTTAATTTTATATTTAAACAAATCTGTAATTGTTATATTCAAGGAATCTTCAAAAAGTTCACGGAATATGCATTATTATGAAAAAACTATGCAAGAACTTCAAATTTTTTTGTATGAAAATCAACTCTTACTAATTTGTCATAACATACCAGAACAGGATCTAGCTTGAGGTCCTAAGAGGGATAGGACAGCAGTCTGAAAGGGCCCCTATCAGAGCAATATGAATTACGCTAAAATTGAAGCAAGAACAAATATCAAATTTATGGTAAAGCTTGTGTAGAAGAAAAGTAAAATCACTGGTGAGTTGTGAAAAGTTTGTGAGGAAAATGCCTCAAAGATATCAACAGTTTACAAATAGATAACTCTTTTAAAGAAGGCATGAGACAATGTTCAAGATGCCCACAGTGGCAGACCATCCACATCAATTTGTGAGGAAAAAATTTATCTTGTTCATGCCCTAATTGAAGATGATTGAGAGTTAATGGCATGAACAATAGCCAATGCCACAATTCTTTTATAATTGGTTCAGTTTACACAATTCTGACTGAAAAATTAAAGCTGAGCAAACTTTCCATCCGATGAGTGCCAAAACCATTGCATCCAGATCTGCTGCAGACAAGAACAGAGCTTTCAATGGAAATTTTAAGTAAGTGAGATCAAGATCCTGAAGCATTTCTTTGAAGAACTGTAACAGGAGATGAAACATGGCTTTACCAGTATGATCCTGAAGATAAAGCACAACCACAATGGCTACCAAGAGAGAGAAGTGGTCCAGTCAAAGCACAAGCAGACTGGTCAAGAGCAAAGGTTGGCAACAATTCTTTGGGACGCTCAAGGCAGGTTGCTGGTTGACTTTCTGGAACACCAAAGAACTATCATGAAAAGTTAGCCAAAGCTTTAGCGGAAAAAGGCCCAAAGTTTCATCAGAGACTCCTCATACACTATGTAAATGCCCCTACTTACTCCGCTCATCAAACAAGGGCAATTTTGAGAGTTTCAATGGGAAATTATTAGGCATCCACCTTATAGACCTGATTTGGCTCCTTCTTACTCCTTTATGTTTCCTAATTGATATAGATTGGATATCTGTCCCCTCCAAATCTCATGTTGAAATTTATTCTCCAACATTAGAGTTGGGGCCAAATGGAAGGTGTGGTCATGGGGGCAGATCCCTCATGAATGGCTTGGTACATCCCCACAGTAACGAATAAGTTCTCGCTCTATCAGTTCATACAAAAGCTGGCTGTTTAAAAGAATGTAGCACCTTCTCTCTTTCTCACTCCCTCTCTCGCTATGTGATATGCCAGCTCTCCTTCCCCTTCTGCTATAATTGGAAGTTACCTGAAGCCCTCACCAGAAGCAGATGCTAGTGCCATGGTTCTTGCACACCCTGCAGAACTGTGAGCCAAATAAAATACCCAGCCTCAGGTATTCTTCTATAGGAACCCAAACAGACTAACACACCAGTCTTTAAAAATCTGTAGATGGCACCCATTTTTCTTCAGTTACCAATATAAAAAACACTGCATTTGCATAGTTAAATTCCCAGGACCCTCAATTATTTAGGGATGGACTAAATGACTGGTATCACTGCTGACAAAAGAAGTACCTTAAATTTGACGGAGCTTATGTTGAGAAAAAAAGTTATTTTTATTTCTATCTTAATTAATTCCATTTTTCCACAAACTTTTTGACGTCCCCTCATATTAACTTAAGAAAATGCAACCCCAGATGTTTTATATAAATGGCAAAAGAGATAAAAAAATTTGTCTTCCCCAGAAACAGAATAAATTTAGTCATTTAAATATCTATTCATAAAAAAATTGTTTCTCTTTCAGAAACACTGGAATAATTTTACATAATTCTGATCTACCATGTGGAGAACCACTCAGTAACATTCATTTTTATTTTACTGTATTTCAAAATACTGAGTAAATGTTTGAATTTCTAAAATATTAAAGATACTGTGCTACTCTTCATGGTGGGTAACAAGAGAAAATAAAACTGTCATTTTCTATACTGGAAAAAATAAAACCTTCTATAACAAAAACAAAAGGAAAGCCGTGGGAACCAAGCTCTGTGGCGCCATCTTTTGGACTGTACAAATTCTTAACAAAATTCTTTTACATTATTGTAAGAAAAAATTTATTGACCAGAATCAAGCAAGTACTATTCCTATGCCTTTTAAGCCCTGTTAGCTCCACGTTATTCTCACACTTCTGTACTAGGGTATGTTAAATAAGCAGAAGCCATTGAACTGAGACTGTCTCTCTGCACTTTGAGTTCCTTCATAATAAATTGCAACCTTAGTAAGAAAATAAACTGAAACCTAATTTAAGAGTATAGTTTTGTAACAAACAGCCATGTTTCAGCCAATCATAGGCAGCCAACTGATCAGACCACACCCACAGAGAGTAAATATCTCATCACACCATGCCCAAATAAGGCAAATGCCTTGCGGTAGCCAATCAGGTAATTTCTCTAATTTGCTTCCACATTCAACCTATGGAAGCTCACTGCTCATGCTGCAAGGTGGAGCTCTCTCAACCTCTTCTGGTTCTGCATGCTGCCAGATTCATGAATTGTTCTTTGCTCAGATAAAGTGTTAAATTTGTATGAAGATTTTCTTTTAACAGATTAAAAATGTATATATACTAAGCCTACACTAAGCAATTATGTGTAATACTAAAATTCTACTAAAAATTCTGAAAATAAAGGCTTTCTGAATAACAAACTGTAGTCTGAACACCTTACAAAAATTGTTCCTAAAGTGAACTCCCCTCCCCCTAGAATCATCATTACCTGAGAACTTGTTAGAAATGCAAATTCTTGGGCCAAATTCCAGACTAAACTAGAGATGGGGCAGGGAAAGAATCTGCTTTTTTTTTTTAAGATGGAGTCTCGCTCTGTCGCCCAGGCTGAAGTGCAATGGTACAATCTTGGCTCACTGCAACCTCCACCTCCCGGGTTCAAGCAATTTTCCTGCCTCAGCCTCTGGAGTAGCTGGGATTACAGGCCCCCGCCACCACATCCAGCTAATTTTGTATTTTTAGTAGAGAGGGGATTTCGCCACGTTGGCCAGGCTGGTCTTGAACTCCTGGCCTTAAGTGATCCGCCAGCCTAGGCCTCCCAAAGTACTAGGATTACAGGCGTGAGCCGCCGTGCCCAGCCTAGAATCTGCTTTTTAACAAGCCCTCCAGGTTACTCTGATACAAACTAAAATGTGAAGAACAGTCTTTGGGAGATTTAGAAAAAAGTCACAGGAGACACAACCACACACAAGAACCTGTAGAGCAGCAGTTTTTAACTTTACCTTCACATTGGTAACACCAGGGAGCTTTAAAAATGCCTAGGTCTCATAGCACCACTGCACTCCAGCCTGGGCAAAAGAGTGAGACTCCATCTCAAAAAAAAAAAAAAAAAAAAGCCTAGGTCTCACTCCACTGTCCACTATCCAATTTAATGATTATGGGAGATAAGGTAAGCCTAGGCACTGGAATTTTAAAAAGACTCCCAAATAATTCTAAAGTGCCAACAAGGTTGAGCGCCAATGATCTAGAGGATTACATTTTCAGAAGCTAGAGTTCATAAAACATCTTATATTAAGAAATGCTGGTGTCTTAAGTTTTCTGTTGCTGTAACTGAGTATCTGAGACTGGGCAATTTATAAAGAAAAGGAATCTATGTCTTACAGCTCTTCTGGAGATTGGGAAAGCCAAGGTTGAAGGGCCATATCTGTTGAGGGCCTTCTTGCTGGTGGGGACTCTCTGCAGAGCCCTGATCTGGTGAAGGGGCAAGAGCATGCCAAACTGGCTTTTAAAACAGACCCATTCCCATGGTAATTAAACCATTCTTCCTGTGATAACCTATTAATCCATGAATGGATCAAACTACTCTACCCTCATGACCCCATCACCTCTTGAAGGCCTCACTTCTTAATACTGTTACATTCAGGATTAAGTTTCAACATGAGTTTCGGTGGGGACAAATATTCAAACCGTAGCATTCCATCCCTGACCTCCCAAACTCATATCCTTCTCACATACAAATACATTCACTCCAGCTCCATATCCTCAAAGTATTGTTTCAGCACCAACTCAAAATTCCGAAGTCCAGAGTCCCATCTGTGAAGCCTGTGTAATCAAAACAAGTTATCTACTTCCAAGATACAGTGGTAGGACAGGTATAGGGTATACATTCCTGTAAAAAGTAAAGTAGAGGATCCTCTTCAAAGAGACTTTCCTCCCTGTCTAATTAGGAATAAATAGTAAATTCTCTTAGAAGCAAAATTTATTCAAAGACCTGTGCTAACATTCTTAGATATCTGCTAGCCTTAATAAAGAAATCAATGTACTTCGTGTTCTTAGCTCCCACATTTAGCCTAAATATTTGCCCTGGCATGCTTATACTGGTCCAAGCAAGCATTAGGTCATAGCCTGTTCCTCTTCCTTATTTGGAGGTGTTTTTACCTTTCTCAGCATTCCACAAGTTACTTCCTCCTTCCTTTGTTCTCCTCTGCCTTTGCCTCTTTTAGAAAGTTCTAAGTTGCTATCCAATTGGGACAAATACAGAATGTGAGGTCCCGTTCCAGCCAATGGAAACCGGACACAGCAGTAGGGTGAACGCGTCAGGTTATAAATTACCCTGTCCCCTTTGTTCGCTGTACTCTTGTAGCAAAACTGCCGGCAAGTGTACTCTTTCTGCAGAAAGTAAAAATGGCCTGGCTGAGAAAATTAAATTTATGTTCAAGTGCTATTTCTTTGCGGCACCGGGGAACAAGGATTTCTAACATTCCCATTCTAAAAGGCAGAAATAGGCCAAAAGAAAGGAGTAACAGGCCTCAATTAAGTCTTTAAAACCCTGAGAAAGAAGACATTAACTCTTAAAGCTAGAGAGTAATCTCCATTCCATGTCTGAATCCTGTGCACACTGGGATGGGGTTGGAGAGGTGGGCCCTCAAGGTATCAACCCTACTCCTAGAGCTTTCTGGGCTCAACCAGTTAAGAGTAGGTAGCTAGGCAGACATGAGCAGGGCAGAGAGCTCCCCCACACCCAGAATGTCAGGTGACCATCAAGTGATGGTCAGGTGGTTGTTAAACTATCTCCCTAAAATAACTGGTCGCAGCTGGCAGCAGGGAAAGGCAGTCTCCCAGTAGACAGAAAACACCTGAAGCTCGTGATCAGCCGCTTCCCATTAAGATCTCAGGAGCTGGGCGAGTGGGCCCAAGCATGTGCATTTAGATGCAAAATTGCAGAGTTTAACTGGTATATAACCTTCCTCTAAAAATGTTCAACTTAGCAAGGGGGAAAATGCCTCAAATGAGCATGCGCACAACTTGAGTAAACACACTGAGCATATGGCCCCTCGAGTGCTGGCAGGCCACTGCACATGTGGACAGCCCACCCCAAGGAAAAATCAAGGGAGAAGAAACTCAAACCCCGGAACCACGCCAGTGTATAAAACCCCAAGTCAAGGGCCAAACAGAACACTTGAATCTCTCAAGTTGCTTGCTTGGCCCTCTTCCAAGAATACTTTACATCCTATTGTTCCTGTTCTAAAACTTTTTAATAAACTGTCACTCCTGCTCAAAAACTTGCCTTGGTCTCTCACTCTGCCTTATGCCCCTTAGACAAATTCTTTCCTTCAAGGAGGCAAGAATCAAGTTGCTTCAGACCTGTACGGATCCACCACTAACAAGCCCACACTTCAGCTCTCTACAGTTGAAGTTGCAAACTGGTGCCATGCTGCCAGTGGGTCAACAGTTCTAGAATCTCAAGGGCAGCTCTAGCTCTGACCTCACAATTCCACTTGGCATTCTCCAGAATGGACTCTCTGTGGTGGCTCCACCCCTGCAACAAAGCTCTGCCTGACACCAGACTGTCTAATATATCCTTTGAAATCTAGGGAGAGGCTCACATGCCTTCCTAGCTCTGCTTTCTGACAGCCTGCAGAATTAGCACCACATGGATGCCACCAAGGCTTATGGCTTATATCTTCTGGAGCTGCAGGTCAAGCTGTACCTGGGGCACTTGAGCCATAGCGGGGACAACTGAGGAGCACTGTGCTGGAATTCTGGGAGCAGAGGCCCAAGCAGCCCCGGGCGGTAAGCTTATAGGGGGAGGCCCAAGTCCATCACCCAAAACCATTTGTGCCAGAGCTCTGGGCCTGTGATGAGAAAGGGAGGCTCAAAGGTCTCGGAAATGCCTTGAGGGTCTTTCTCCCATTGTCTTGATATTCCCTTCCATTAAGTATTACTCTCTTTAGCAAAAATTGCTGCGCCACACCTTGGTTTCCTCTCCCAAAAAGTTTTTTCACTCTTTACATGGCCAGGCTGAGAGTTTTCCAAATCTTTCTGCTTTCTTTCCCTTTTGATTATAAATTTCATCTTCAGTCATTTTTTTCCCTCTCACAGCTTTATGTAAGCTATTAAAAGTAGCCATGCAGCAGCCTGAATGCTTTGCGGATTAGATAGATCTTCTTCCAGGCATTCTAATTCATGGCTCTAAATTCCTGAATTCCATAAAGCCCTCAGACATGGACACATCCAGCCAGGTTCTTTGTCACTTTATTACAAGGATGCTCTTTACTCCAATATCTTGTTCCTCATTTTCATCCGGGTCCTCATCAAAATGGCCATTACTGTCCATATTTCTATTAGCATTCTGCCCATGACCACTTAAATAATCTCTAAGAAGTTCCACATTTTCCCCAGCCTTGTCTTCTTCTGAGCCCTCACCAGAATCACCCTTAATGCTCCGTTCACAGCAATACAGGTTTTTTTCTATCCTGCTCCTCCAAATTCTTTCAAGTGTCTATCCATTACCCAATTCCAAAGCCACTTCCACAATTTCAGGTATTTGTTATTAGCAACACTTCTCAGTATCAATTTTCTGTCTCAGTCCATTTTGTGCTACTGTAACAGGATACACAGACTAGGTAACTTATAAAACAAAATTTAAAAATGGGTTTATTTAGGTGATGGTTCTACAAGCCAGAAAGTTCAAGATTGAGAGGCTGCATCTGGCAGCTTCTAGTGAGGGCCTTATGTTACATGAAAACATGGCAGAGAAATAGAAGAGGTACCAGGCACATGTAAAAAGCCCAAAACATAGGAAGCAACCTCACTTTACAACAACCTGCTCTCGCAGAAACTAACCATTCCCATAAGAACTAACCCAGTCTTGCAAGAAAGATACTAATCCATCTTAACAACATAATCACCTCTTAAAGGCACCACCTCCCAACACCACCACACTGGGAAACAAACCTCAACATGGGTTTTGGTGGGGACAACCCATACTCAAATCACAGAAGTTTGTAAATCAGACATGAAAAGTGTGGCCTTCCAAACCAAGATAAATACAAAACCCCACTACTAAAAAAAAAGAGACTGTTCACTTCCAGCCTGTTGTTTACTCTTTCAACGGCTATACAAGATGTTTATTATTTAGGGTATAATTGTTTAAAAATTTCTCTATAACTGTATATTCCTAGTTGTTACGAGAAGGCCAAAAAAAAAAAAAAAAAGGTAGGATAATCCTTGCCCTTTCCAGACCATCTAATACAGTTGGAAAGATGAGATATAAAGTAACAATAAAGTACAAACACCAAATTTAGAGTACAGACTGAAAGCACTGACTCAATGAAAGAAGAAATCACATCTAATTGTAGTGTAAGTTGAGCATCCTGAATCCAAAACTCTGAAATCTGAAATGCTCCAATGAGCATTTCCTTTGAGTATCATGTTGGTGCTCCAAATATTTCAGATTTTGGAACATTTCCGATTTCAGATTTTTAGATTTAAGATTTGTTAGATATGAGTTCTAAATTTCTCTTCAAAGAGTCAATGTCAGTATGTTCAATTCTTTGCCTTCTACTTTTAAACTTAACTTCCTCATAAAGCAACCTTTTTCGATTACCTGCTCCACCCTGACTCATTCCAATTTACTGCTCTGCCATAACCATTTTTTCTGCCAAACCACTCACCCCATCACTCTCTTTAAAGTAGCCAATCAGAATTAGTTTAGCCTGTGCGGTCTAACCCTAGCCAATAGGGGAATGACACAGCAGCACGGGCCATGTGCATCAGGAATAAGAACTCCTTTGCCTCCCTTGTCCAGGTGTATGCTCACCATTGCTCCATCTGTAAGGGCACACCCTTCTATAGTAGTACATTTCCTTGCTGAGAATTAAAAACAAAATGTTACATTCGAGTGCTATTTCTTTTGCGGCACTGAAACTTTATTTATAACATATTGTAAATATTCCAAAATCCAAAACACTCCTCGTCCTAAGCATTTCAGACAAGAGATGCTCAATCCATAATATTTATGGCTATTAAAAAAGAGGGAAGAACTTCAGTCTTTAAGGATGCATGTGGTTGGGCATACCTGATGGAAGAAAAGACACAATAT
Source organism: Homo sapiens (assembly GCF_000001405.40). Lineage (NCBI taxonomy): Eukaryota > Metazoa > Chordata > Mammalia > Primates > Hominidae > Homo > Homo sapiens. The sequence continues at coordinate 190,283,748 of NC_000002.12, forward strand.
TTTTAAGGGAGCTGATAAAATATAGTATAAAACAAACTTTCTCAGGGGTTCCTCATCTGAACCACAGATCACTGCAAATGATGTGATTATATTCTCAATTCTCCCAAGGATGGTACATAACTAGTACCATTCGAGAAGCACAGGACAGAAATAGGAGCTAATTTATTACATTCAAGGGATGGCTTAGAGCCCTAGTTCTCAAATTAACATGACTCAGAATTACTTGGAGAGCTTGGCTTGTTCAAACAGACTGCTAGGCCCCAGCCTCGAGACTGATTCTCTAGGCAAACCCAAGAACATTTTAGGGCACTAAGACTTAATCCTCTGGTGGAGTTCTGGTTAAGAAAGGCTGATATAAAGTATATCTTTATTTGAAAGTTATTTATGTTCTTTAAATACTGAAAACAGAGACCAGTATGAAGAATCAGCAGCATCTTTACTTCATTTATTCAAGACAACATTATCTTGATCTGTTTCACTGCAGTCTTTTCTTTTGAAATAAATATTCTTGGTTGTTACATATGAGGAATATATACAAACATTATACCAACCTATACAAGCCCCAGAACTGAAGAACATGGCCAGTGCCTTCAGAAATGATGTGCTAGAGCAATATAATTCTCAGGCTTCTGTAAAAAAAAAATGGAAGTTCTGCCCACTTATAGCACCAAAGGGCAGCTTACCAATCCTTTCATATCAGAAGGAGTCTTGAGTTATAACTTTAAGTGATCTCTTGGTCAACTAGACCAAATAGTTACTGAAATATTCTCAGTAATATGTCAGCAATATATTTACCATTTCTGATAATATTTTTATTTTATATTTATACTAAATAACGACTTAGTTGGGGAGAAAACTCTTGGATCCTAACTACTTCACAACTTCTCAACCCATTGACTTCTGTCACATTGTGTAACAGAGAAATCTGAAGAAATCTGTATATAACGTATATCACTAATCACCCCATTTACCTTGATTCCTTGGCCTGACTACTCACAGTTAGCTTTTTTTTCTTAAGGCTTATAATTTTAAAAAATTTACCTGAGCTTTTATCTAGGTATGGGTCTCTTTTCACTTATCTGAAATTTCGTGTTTCCTTTAATTATACATATCTGAGTTTGGGAGTATTTGTTTTTACTTAAAGTCTTATTTCATTATATCTGATCATCATTTCTGTTCCAAGTATCTGATTTACTTTCAGTGGAGTACTTATCACTCCTTTGTTGGGTTCCCAGTAACTTTCTTTCATAGTCATTACCTCAAAACATTCATTTTCATCACTTATATATTTTTTTGAATGCTTTGTGAGAGTTTCTCAAGTTTGTTCTCCACAGATACTTCACTATCTGTAATATTAAATTCATCTCTTTCTAATCTACTGCCATTAAAATAAAATGTCAGCTTTGCTACTGTGTATTAGTTCCCAGTCATCCTCCCTGTTTCCTGTTTCCCTTTTTCAACTTGTAGCCCTTTCATCTGAGTTTGCTCTATCCTTATGGGATTTCTTTCCTGTTTTAATGGGGTCACATTTATTTTTACATGCTGTTGGGTATGCCCATTGTTTTTGTCTTCATTTTTTCCTGGTTTCTTTCACATTCACAGGGCAGCTCTTCCTTCAATGCTTCAGATTCTTTCCCTTCCTCTTACTCTGCAGTACTTTTTTCAGAGAGCTTTCCTTTTCCCCAGGTTAAAGCACAACCAACCCACGCTCAGTTTCTGCCAAGCAGAGGTACAGATCACCCTTGCTAGTAGAATCCCTTCCCAAAATGATGTGCAAGATCTAAGCAATTCCCGGTCCTTATTTAGGGTGGTTCTACTAGAACAAAGGGGGAACTTCCTGTATTCCAAATAGTTAAGTTCCTTAAAACATTGAACAGGTGGAATTTCAAAAATTCCACCTTTTGGCCTCATACTACCTACCTACCTAGGCTCTACCTACCTGGGCCCTACCTACCTATGTCCTACCTATTGTCACGGCTCAGGATATGCTACCCCAAACTACGGCCACTTGGAGGCCACTGTGACCTCCCCCCGCCTTTCTGTGGGACAGCTGGCCGTAAAGAAGTTCTCTAACCTACCTCTTCTGAAAGTATGTCTTTTTGTTTTGTTTTGTTTTTTGAGACAGAGTCTCACTCTGTCACCCAGGCTGGAGTGCAGTGGCATGATCTCAGCTCACTATAACCTCCCGGGTTCAAGCAATTCTCGTGCCTCAGCCTCCCCAGTCACTGAGATTACTGGTGCACACCATCACACCCAACTGATTTTTGTAGTTTTAGTAGAGATGGGGTTTCGCCATGTTGCCCAAGCTGGTCTCGAACTCCTAGCCTCAAGCGATTTACCCACCTCAGCCTCCCAAAGTGCTAGGATTACAGGCATCAGCCACGACACCCGGACTTGAAAGTCATTAAACCCTCATGTGACAAGGGCCCCATCCTATACCTGGAGGAAAGGAATGTTACACACAGAGGCCAAGAAGAATCTCAACAAACAAGCCTACCTAAGTTCCCCCATTTATTACTACTGAATAATACCGTTTTTGTCCAATCATACTTCTATATGACTGTCCATTGTTCACTGAACTTACACACAAAAACAGTTTTTCCTGGATCTGTGGGTCTTTGGGTCTTCTTTTCTGAAGGCTCCCATGTCATGTAAAACTTTGATTAAACAAATTTGTTATGCTTCTCTATTGTCAATCTGTCTTTTGTTATATGGATACTGGCCATGACCCCTGCAATCGGTGAGGAAAAGACATTACTTTTTCTCTCCTCCACTACCTTTCTAGGCTCAGTTCAATTCACCATCTTCTCCATGCAGCCCTTTCCTGCCATGAAGACCAATTCTGACCCCTCACTTCTTCAAAGGCTAATCTTTGTCAGTACCATACAATTTACCAATTGTTTTGTAATTATTTCATGTTTTCTCTAACTCCAGGTCAAGTTAATCAATGCCAGTTACATTTTAGACTTCTCTGTAATAGCACAGAGGCAGAATATTTGTCAACTGACAGAAATGCAGTTACAGAGAACTTCAAAAAGAATCCAAACACTTCCACTAAGGTGAAATTTTGAGTAACAGGTACAATTTAGGCAACCAAATCTCTAATACTGAATTTAAAAAAAAAAAAACTCAACATTCTAGTTTCTCTTCTGAAGTTTCTGAAAAGAATCAGTTTATTTTTAAGTAGAAAAAAGGCTCTATATATTAAAAGATAAAAACACAATCAGTTTCCATTGCTTAAAAAAACTTGCTAATTCAAAAAGTTAAAATAGCATATAACGTGTGTGTGTGTGTGTGTGTGTGTGTGTGTGTATACATATATTTTTTTGTTTTTGAGACAGTCTCACTTTGTCACCCAGGCTGGAGTGCAGTGGTGCAATCTCAGCTCACTACAAGCTCCACCTCCTGGGTTCAAGCGATTATCATGCCTCAACCTCCTGAGTAGCTGAGATCACAGGTGTGTGCCACCATGCTCAGCTAATTTTTGTATTTTTAATAGAGGCAGGGTTTCGCCATGTAGGCCAGGCTGGTCTCAAACTCCTGACCTCAAGTGATCTGCCCACCTTGGCCTCCCAAACTGCTGGGATTACAGACGTGAGGCACCATGCCCGGCCATATAACATAACTAAGAACATAAAATATTCTTTTGGGCTGGGATAGTCTAAAAGTGCTATAAGCAAATATTATATCTCAAATCTGTCAGGATCCAAAATCCACACAATTATGTTTCAATGAGTTCTATTATATTACATTCATCAGCTCACTTCTGTTTAATAATTATTAACTTATTTTTAATACAACTCACTCATACAATGATCAGAGTAAAAAGTCTACTTACCCCACCCATTGTAATTCCATGAATAAGTGCAACATAAGGTTTCTGGCAAGAACCTGAAAGAAACAGAGCTGTAATTTTAGTTACAGTGTTTAAAATACATTCCCTTTTTCTTAAAAAAAAACCCACATTATATATACTCAAGATTTTCCCTAGGAAATTTTAGCAAGAAACACCAAAGACGACTAAATGTATGGCTTATAAAATACATATTTTTAAATGTCAATCCAACACAATCCTATCTATTCATTATCATTTAACAACTTAACCTTCGATTTTAAACAAAAGCCAGGGCCCAGTGTGGTGGCTGACACCTGTAATCTAACCTCTTTGGGAGGCCAAGGTGGGAGGATTGCTTGAGGTCAGCAGTATGAGACCAGCCTGAGCAATACAGCAAAACTCCCTCTCTTAAAAAAAGTATAGCCAGGTGTGGTGGCAGGCACCTGTGCTCCCAGCTGCTCAGAAAGCTGAGGTGGGAGGAACACTTGATCACTTAAGCACAGGAGGTTGAGGCTGCAGTGAGCTGTGATCATGCCACTGCACTCCAGCCTGGGCAACAGACCAAGACCCTATCTTTTTTTTTTTTTTTTTTAAAAAAAGGAAGAGCTATGTCACATTATGGTTGGGAACATTCAATATCAAAGATGTCAATTCCCTCCAAATTAACCCATAATTCATTCTAAGTCTAATCATAATCTCAGTAGAAACTTTTGTGAAACTAGATAAAACAATTCTAAAATTCATATGGAAGATCCAAAGTCCAACAGCAGCCAAGAAAAAAGACATGTAGAAAAAGCATCTTAAAGAATTTGGAAACAAAGTAATGATGCATAAACACTATGATCTATCCATTCTACATATTATTTCTGGAGAAACTTTTGCACATGGGAAATAAGGGACCACATACTAGATAGAGTACAACTATCTATGTTAGTAACTACTGGAAGCTAAAATATCCATTAATGTAGAACAGATAATTAATGTGGGATATAATCATAATATTGGATACCACAGAAGAGTTACATTCCATGTTGTTAAAAACAATTTATGGAATGGTTACACAGTAAGATAGTATTTATGTAAATTGCTAAACACAAAGTAAAAATCTTTTAGTTCAAACTTAAAATAAAAGCTAAAAAACAAAAGGAATTGGAAAGCTTAAAAAGCAGCGGCCTCTATTTGTCTACTTTGCTGTATAAAATATGATACAATGCTCTGCATTTCTATTTTGTCTTTAAACTTACACCACACCAGGTGCGTGGCTCATGTCTGTAATCCCAGTACTTTGGGAGGCCGGGGCAGATGGATCACCTAGGGTCAGGAGTTCGAGAGCAGCCTGGCCAACAGGGTGAAACCTGTCTCTACTTAAAATACAAAAATTAGCAGGGTGTGGTGGTGCATGCCTGTAATCCCAGCTACTCAGGTGGCTGAGGCAGGAGAATCACTTGAACCTGGGAGACAGAGGCTGCAGTGAGCCAAGATCGCACCACTGCACTCCAGCCTGGGTGACAGGGCAAGACTCTCTCTTAAAAGATAAATAAATAATAAATAATAAAATAAAAATAAACTTATGTTTTACTATTTTAAATACTTTAATGTTAAATGAGTATACAGCTTTTTTCATCACTTAGTAATTATTTTCATCAATTCATATTTTTAGAAAAACATATATATCCCCATGTGTTTAATCTACTAGATATTAATTCATGTTTTTATGCCAATATATAAATGTTTATTTGTCTAAAAGGCACATGACAAAAACTGAATTTATTTTTCCAACTATATGTCAAAATACGTTAATATCATGTATTCAATCAAATTCTAACTTAAAATCTTTTAGTTCATAAATATTTAGTAAAAATGTCAAATATGGTCTAGGAGAATACACTAAAAATTAATGACAATGGTTGTTTTTGAGGAGGGATAAATGGTTGCTTCTGGGGAAAGTAATGGCACTGAGGAAAGCAAAAAAATGGGCTGAAATGTAACTTCCAAACTTGCAGTATTATATTTCTTTTGGAGAAATTTTAAATCATCAAGCAAAAACAAAATATTGACGTCTGTTAATTCTGGGCTGGAGGGTACACAAGTACTTATTATGTTATTTCCTGTATCTTAACTTCGCATGCTAGATAAAAGTACTGCTTCACCTCCAATGAAACCTAGAACCTTGAATATAAAGAAATTTTTATTCCTAAGAATTAGGAAATGATACTATACTTCATTTCATAGAGAAAACTGGAACCCAAGTTTTTTCCCCCAAGAAAGCTACCACATGATGAGAAATCCATATTTTCATATTGATTTATTTTTGAGACGGAGTCTCGCTTTGTTGCCCAGGCTGGAGTGCAGTGGTGCAATCTCGAATCACTGCAACCTCCACCTCCCAGGTTCAAGCTGATTCTCCTGCCTCAGCCTCCCGAGTAGCTGGGATTACAGGCACTTGCCACCGCACCCAGCTGATTTTTGTATTTTTAGTAGAGACGGGGTTTCAGCACGTTGGCCAGGCTGGTCTCAAACTCCTGAACTCAGGTGATCCACCCACCTCAGCCTCCCAAATTGCTGGGATTACAGGCGTGAGCCACCATGCCTGGCCTCATATTGATTTTATAACAAATAGCAGTTAAGTATAGCCTACTAATATTAAAGGGTAACTGTTCTGAAATAAGCACTTAAAATAGTTTAATCAACTTTACTTATGCCTGGCACATGGTATTAAAAGTTTAAGTAAGGATGCCTATTGATTGCATTTTTAACAAAGTACATACTGTCCACCTCATTTCTTTATTCCATTTCCAAAGCTCTGAGCAGAATACACATACCAACAGCATTATTCAGCATATATTCTTCTCTGAAGAAAACTGGAGCTATCTTCTGTTTTGCCTTTTCAGCTTCCGAGATCACTAGGAAGGAAAGATTACAAATAAAAAAAAAAAGATTTAATAGTCAACATTGTCAACTAGATCAAAAGTATTATGAAAATTAAATACTGGGGGAAGGGAGTACTCTAAAATGACTTGTTAAAAGTTTTGAAGTTGCCCCTGCCACAGACATTATATTATAGTCACAGATCCATAGTCCAATGTCAAAGCTTCAAGGCAAAAATTCCTATTCTTGTTTTCCATGCTTCTTACAAAATGTTAGATTAGAAATTATAGGCTGGGCATGGTGGCTCAAACCTGTAATCGCAGCACTTTGAGAAACCAGGTGGGAGGATTCCTTGAGGCCAGGAGTTTGAGACCAGCCTGGTGAAACTCTGTCTCAACAAAAAATGTTTAATTAGCTGGCTGCAGTGCCACATGCCTGTAGTTCCAGCTGCTCAGGAGGCTGAGCCGGGAGGATCATTTGAGCCCAGGATATTGAGGCTACAGTGAGCCATCATCACACCACTGTACTCTAGCCTGGAGAGAAGAGTGACACCCTGTCTCCTTAAAAAAAATAATAATATATTGCAACAAGCTACATTTTCTTTTGATTATTTTCTCTAGCACTTAAATTAACATTTGCTAGACATACATTTCCTTTGGTAATATGTCTTAATACAAAATGTATTATACGTGTGTGTATAGTGCTACAACGTATCCCATGTCCTTAAATATTTCTGCCACATTCATTTCCCCCATAAAACATTTATTGAGCACCTACTACATACCAAGTAATGTTTTAGGTGTTGCAGATAATAAAGACAGCAACACAAGATGGCTGTCCTGGAGTTTAGACTGATACTAAAACATATTCTTTGTCCTGTAAGGATTGGGGTGCTGTCAGAATGGGAGCAGGAGATGTGTAATTAATTAAAAGAAGGCTTCCTAGAAGAGGTAACCCTAAGCCAAGTTGGAAAAGGTAAATAGGAATTTCCTAGAAAATGACAGAAAGAAAAATTCTGACTAGGGGAAGCAGTACCCTACAAAGCCTCAAAGTCAAGAAAGAAGAGTAAAATCAAGAATCAAACAGCTTTAAAAGACTAAAGGGCAAAGGGAAAAGGTGAGGCTAGACAGGTAAATAATATACTGACATTCTTATTTATTAACATCGATAGAAATGTAAATTCTCAAAGACATTGCTACAGCATACCACTGCCTGGCTTAAAAAACAAATGCTCAGTAAATATCTACTGAATAGTGAACACTATCAAATGGTTTCACTTCTGTTGCAATCTTCTATTACCCAGAGTTCACATCTCCTACCATATTCCTCCTCCAGTCAATCTCAAGACTGCTATCAAAGTTTCCTCTTCTATATACTGCAACTCATATGCCTTTCTTGTCTTTAAGTCCTATGAGATTTATCTATTAAAACACAAACTAAACATTTCATAGATATGTTTCCTCTTTTATGGGAAAGTATTACATACAAAATGTTGTCTACCAATTCTTACACTAACTCTAGAATTCTCTTGTTTGTTTTTTGTTTGTTTTGAGACAGAATCTCGCTTTGTTGCCCAGGCTGGAGTACAGTGGCACAATCTTGGCTCACTGCAACCTCCACCTCCCAGGTTGAAGTGATTCTCCTGCCTCAGCCTCCCAAGTAGTTGGGATTACAGGCATGTGCCACCATGCCTGGCTAATTTTTGTATTTTTAGTAGAGAGGGGTTTCACTATATTGGCCAGGCCGGTCTCGAACTCCCAACCTCAGGTGATCTGCCGGCTCGGGCCTCCTAACTCTAGAATTCTGATATCTCTTCCTTCAAAATGTTCCATATGTCGACTTCTTTTCCTGGTTTTTTGGGGTGTTTGTTTTTGAAACGGAGTCTTGCCTTGTCACCAGGCTGGAGTGCGGTGGCATGATCTCAGCTCACTGCAACCTCCACCTCCCAGGTTCAAGCAATTCTCCTGCCTCAGCCTCCCAAGTAGCTGGGACTATAGGCGCATGCCGCCATGCCCAGCTAATTTTTCTTTTTTGTATTTTAGTAGAGACGGGGTTTCACCACATTGCCCAGGCTGGTCTCGAACTCTTGAGCTCAGGCAATCCTCCCACCTCGGCCTCCCAAAGTGCTGAGATTACAGGCGTTAGCCTCTGCACCCAGTCCTTTTACTGGTTTTTAAAAGAAAGATCTGACACCTACTTTTATCATTCTGAGGTTTCACTTATACCTAAACAAACAAACAAACAAACAAAAAATGACTATCTTTGTTTATCATCTTTTATTCAGCTCTTATCACTGCTTACCAATTCTAAAAGGAAAGGAATGTAAGTTTTATCGCCTTTGGAATGAAGCTCTTTTACCTCAAAAACCTTCTCAAATTTCCTTCAAATCTTTTTCTGATCTAATTTTTATTCTAATCAATTAGTTCCATCTAAATTAAAATTAAATGTCCTTCACAATCATTTTTTGAAAATTTTCTGAGTGTCCACTTATTGTCTTGGACTATAATCTTTCAAGAAATTACATTTCCTGGACTTGAATCCACTGCTTTATATGTGTAAACTACAATAATTCTACAACTTGTAGCTGTTATTTCCAAACATCAATATAAAATTAGGCCTATATGCAGAAATAGCTCAGTCAGAAAAAGCTAATAAACTCAATACATAAAGCTCTGCCCACCTGTAAACTGACGATCACAGGCCAGACGAAAGGCTAATTCAAGGCTGAAAAACAGTATTTTAAAAATATGCATGTTGTTGGGAGGCCGAGGCAGGCGGATCGCCTGAGATCAGGAGTTCAAGACCAGCCTGGCCAACATGGTGAAACCCTGTCTCTACTAAAAATACAAAAAATTAGCAGGGCATGTTGGCAGGCACCTGTAATCTCAGCTACTCGGGAAGCTGAGGCAGGAGAATTGTTTGAACCTGGGAGGTGGAGGTTGCAGCGAGCAGAGATCACGTGACTGCACTCCAGCCTGCGCAACAAGAGCGAAACTCCGTCTCAAAAAAAAAAATAAATAAATAAATAAAATAATAAAAAAACGCATGTTGTAGGCAAAACAACAGATTCAAAAACAATTCAGTTAACAGATCAGTTTAAGTAATCAAAGTTTTCATTAAACTGCAATTTTAAAATTCATTAATAAGTATTTGAAATTATGTCCTGAATCCAGCTTTTTTCCTGTTCCTAAGGTAATGGTTTACGTAAGTTTGGTGAACAAGCCCAAAGACTGTTGTCTTAATACAACAAACAAACAAACATATAAAATTAAAACACAAAGAAAAAAACCATCCCTGAACCCTACCAAATCCACAAGAAACAAGATACAAAATGTAAAAAGTTTTCAATATACTGTACATATAATATGGACAATTATAGTGATTATAATAAATACATGACACTGATGCTGAGAACAGACATTTCTTCTCTTTTGTCTTTAACATTTAAATGTGTATAGACAGACTGACCTGAACAATTATGAAAAATAAAGAGAGTTTCTCTTTTTATCTCAGCATGTTTAAACACGTAAAATATACTTACAATATATATTTTGTAATATATATTTTGTGTGTATATATATATATATATATATATATATATATAGCAACAGGATAAATGCTATAAATAAGTACATAGAAGATGGTTGCTTTGGGATCTTGAATAGTGGGAAGCATAGGAAAAGTTATGGAAATATGTGAGAGCATGTCATATTTGAAGAATGGCAAGTCAACATGGCCAGATAGTCAGGTTATAAGACCAACAGAACTGCTTAATATCAGCTCTTCTAAAATATAAAGTGGACCCATATACCCTAACTGGACATTTTGTTTGTGATGATTCAGGGAGAGAGACAACATATTTAAATTTCAAATGGGTATTTGTGTAGTGAGAAAAAAAAATCTGCTATTCTCATTTGCTAATACTAACTGCAGAAAGTAAGTCTTTAAATTTTTCTTTTTCCTAAGAATGTATTAACTTTATAATAAAAAGTTCTAAAAAGTAAAGCAAATTATAAATTATTACAAAAATTTGACAATACTTGATCAGTTCTAGTAGGGGGAAAGAGCACTCAGGTGAAAGGGAAAAGTCTTTACCTCTGATATCACCCCCGGCACAGAAAGCCTTTCCTCCTGCTCCCTTTATAATGATCAGGAAAGTTTCAGGATCTTGTTCCCACTTCTATTCAAATGTAACAGAAGATGGTATAAGCATATTATAAACACAAACTCATTAAAGTTATATGCATATGCACATATATTCAATCATATATTCATATACATATGTGTTTGTGACAGTACATATTCTTCTGTAAGGGATATCCAGAAGAACGAATCTCATCCCATTCCTTATCAAATGAACTTCATATGCTTTTCCCAGATAAAGTAGAGGCTATTTCAAAAATGTTGCTAGATGAGTACACTGTGTGATCCAAATTTCAAGATGGCACCTGAAATCTTTGCCATAACTTTGATACCAAGATGAACAAATAAGGGCATAATAATAATATGTTACATAAACGTATAAATTTGGAGAACAAATCAACCCAAAGACTGCTGATAAATATAGCAATAACCTTTCTACTGTGCTGATACAGGGCTCTCTTACTCTTAATACGTAAGTAACATAGTGAAACCACTTATAATATAAAAAATCCAAGTCCTTTGGGATTGGTAAAGACAGCTAATAAATAAGTAGGATGAAAGAATCAAGAGCCGATGAAAATGTGAAAGTCCAGAACAATGGACGAAATGAAAAATTAGTTACCCACAGACAGAAAACTTAACAGGGGTTCTATCAATCTATACAGGTTGAGTATCCCTTATCTGAAATGCTTGGGACCAAAAGTGTTTCAGACTTTTTTAGATTTTAGAATATTTGCATATACAATATGAGATATCCTGGGGATTGGGAATTCCTTTATGTTTCATATCCACCTTATACACATAGCCTGAAAGTAATTAATTTTTCCCATAGGGACCCTGAATAAACAGTGTGTTGTGCACTTGTATTTTGACTGCGAGCAATCATGAGGCCAGGTGTGGAATTTTCCACTTGTGGCATCATGTTGATGCTTAAAGAGTTTTTGAATTTTATAGCATTTTGAATTAAGGATGTTCAACCTGTACTAGAGAATAAATATGTAACGCACAAGGAAGATGTAGCTGGAAAGACGTGATTGTCCAAAAGGTTCATGCAATACCGGACTACATTAATTACATTAATAGAGATGTTATTCTAACATGAACATTTCTAATTTCTTCCACTCTGGTCCAACTTTGATTTGCAACATTTGGCTTATTTCTATGTATCACATTTTGGGACATATTATAATGGTATCTCAAACAGAAACATAAGAATGGAAGACAGACTCATCAAAAGAAGAATTAAGGAATTGGTAGCCAGGGGAAAACTAGTATTTGTTAAACATCTACATGGCAGACTGTATTAGGTACTTATATATACTATTCACTTAATCTTTACATATCATCATCCCCATTTCAGAACTGAGGAGATTTGAGGTATGGAGAGATTAACTTTCCCAGCCTACACTGTTAATAAATAGAAATCCACGTTTCAAACCAGACAGTCTGACTTTAAGTCCTGTTTTTCTACTATTCCATGCTGCTCACTTAGGAAAGTTTACGGCCTTCTCTGAGAAAAAGCAGGCAGTTTAAAAGCAGCTGTCTGGCCGGGTGCGGTGGCTCACGCCTGTAATCCCAGCACTTTGGGAGGCCGAGGCAGATAGATCACAAAGTCAGGAGATCAAGACCATCCTGGCTAACACGGTGAAACCCCGTCTCTACTAAAAATACAAAAAATTAGCCGGGTGTGGTGGCGGGCACCTGTAGTCCCAGCTACTCAGGAGGCTGAAGCAGGAGAATGGCATGAACCCGGGAGGTGGAGCTTGCAGTGAGCCGAGATGGTGCCACTGCACTCCAGCCTGGGCGACAGAGTGAGACTCCTCCGTCTCAAAAAAAAAAAAAAGCAGCTGTCTTCAAATGAAAAGGCCGTCAGGTGGAAGCAGATTCGATTTGTACACTCATCCTCTCAGAGGCAGAACCAGTATCATTGGTTTAAAGGTCAGAGAAATACAGAGTGACAGAACACAAAAAGAAACTTGCAAACAAATCAGTGCTATATAAAAGTCAGAGTCTGTCTCAGGAGGCAGTAAGCTCCCTATCACCAGGGATGCTCAAGAATAACTGCACAGGGGAAGCACTGAAACCTCAAGAATTGATGGGGCTTACTTAGATGCATATCCCAGAGAATTATGTGATTCTATGGGAGAAAATACCAGAAATGTCCTATTATGATATACTTTGAAAAGAATCCATATAATTGCAATAAGAAAATTACAAACCTTTAGCTGTGGATAAATCTGCCGAATCATATTAAGAGTCAGTGCATTGAGGAACTTTGGTCTGTTTAGTGTTATGACTCCCGTGCAACCTTTTTTTTCCAATAGCACCTCTTCTGCTGCATCTGTGTGCTTGGACATTCTCTGTATAAACAAAGAATAACTTTATGACAAAATTTCTTAAGTTTTTATCACAAGCCAACATCAAAACATACATATCAAATGCAAATCTTGCATATTAATGGTAACTAAAGGAAAGAATAACTAGGTACACCTTATAAGTTTCTGAAGTTATTTAGATTATGTAGACGAACAATTCCAAAGCAAATCATACACACCTCCTAAATTTTTATTTCTGAGCTAACTGAATAAGCTGACTTATTATATAGAGCCCAGTCTAGAATTTCTTGGACTTTGAAATACCCTTAAATATTTTAATTTACTACTGTATATCAAGTTCTATGTTACATACTGAGAAAGCAAAGATGAATAAGAGAGGGCAAATAATTCTGACTATTGTAGCTATGGTCAACTTGAAAACAAAGATGATACTTGAGTTGGGGCTTGATGTATCCCAAGAAAAAGGGGAGGTGAGAATTCCAGGCAAAGGAAACAGCACATGCTAAGCCATAAGCAATGACTATTTGGAAATGTTAAGATGTTAAAACATTAGTGGAACAAAGGCTGGCTGAGGAAACGAGTGGTGAGAGGGTAGGCAGAATAAGTAGTTTGCAGCCAGATTATAATATGACATACTTAATAATTGTGAAGAAGTTTCCTGTATACTGACTTAAAGCCTTGCACAATATAACTTAATCACCAGGTCTCACTGCTTATGTATTTTGCAGTATTAACTAATAAAACACCTGTAAGGAACACAGTTTTAACTATACTGTGATTTCCCAGGACTCTGCTATACCCAACCATCAGGACTCATGGCATCACTATTCTAAGTTCTGGGATACATGTGCTGAATGTGCAGGTTTGTTACATAGGTATACATGTGCCATGGCAGTTTGCTGCACCCATCAACCTGTTATCTAGGTTTTAAACCCTGCGTGCATTAGGTATTTGTTCTAAAGTTCTCCCTCCCCTTGCCCCCCACCCCCCAACAGGCCCCAGTGTGTGATGTTCCTTTCCCCGTGTCTGTGTGTTCTCATTGTTCAACTCCCACTTATCAGTGAGAACATATGGTGTTTGGTTTTCTGTCCCTGTGTTAGTTTGCTGAGAATGATAGTTTACAGCTTTATCCATGTCCCTGCGAAGGACATGAGCTCATTCTTTTTCATGGCTGCATAGTATTCCATGGTGTATATGTGCCACATTTTCTTTATCCAGTCTATTATTGATGGGCACCTGGTTTGGCTCCAAGTCTTTGCTATTGTAAATAGTGCTGCAATAAACATATGTGTACATGTGCCTTTCTAGTAGAATGACTTACAATCCTTTGGGTATATACCCAGAAATGGGATTGTGGGGTCAAACAGTATTTCTGGTTCTAGATCCTTGAGGAATCGCCACAGTGTCTTCCACAATGGTTGAATTTACACTCCCACCAACAGCGTAAAAGCGTTCTTATTTCTCCGCAGCCTCACCAGCATCTGTTGTTGCCTGACTTTTTAATAATCGCCATGCTGACTGCGTGAGATGGTATCTCATTGAGGTTTTGATTTGCATTTCTCTAATGACCAGTAATAATGAGCTTTTTTTCATGTTAGTTGGCCGTATACATGTCGTCTTTTGAGAAGTCTGTTCATATCCTTCTCCCACTTTTTGATGGGTTTTTTTTTTCTTGTAAATTTAAGTTCCTTGGAGATTCTAGATATTAGACCTTTGTCAGATGGGTAGATTGCAAAATTTTTCTCCCATTCTGTAGACTGCCTGTTCATGTTCACTCTGATGATAGTTTCTTTTGTGGTGCAGAAGCTCTTTAGTTTGATTAGATCCCATTTGTCAATTTTGGCTTTTGTTGCAATTGCTTTTGGTGTTTTAGTTATGAAGTCTTTGCCCACGCCTATATCCTGAATGGTACTGCCTAAGTTTTCTTCTAGGGTTTTTACTGTTTTGGGTTTTACATTTAAGTCTTTAATTCATCTTGAGTTAATTTTTGTATAAGATGTAAGGAAGGGGTCCAGTTTCAGTTTTCTGCATATGGCTAGCCAGTTTTCCCAGCACCATTTATTAAATAGGAAATGCTTTCCCCATTGCTTGTTTTTGTCAGGTTTGTTGAAGATGGCACCACCATTCTTAACACATTCCTTTATGTAAAGGCAACACTTAAAACCTCACATGGGAAAAGTGTGCAATGTAAAATTGAAAATTGAAATTGGAAAATTTTAACTGGAGAATGCCAATTAAAACTAAACAGCACACTTATTAGCAAAAATCTAATAGAACCTAGAAGTACATATTTTGACTGCATTAAGCAACACGTTTATATAACGTTTAAGTTCTCCTTTATGAAATCAAGTTGCATATTTAATATTGGAGTTAATTTTTGTTAAAATTATCAGATAAAAATAGAAATAATTTATATTCACTTAAAGTTACAGGAACAATTCTTAAACAACAGAAAAAGTTGTGTCTTTTCAATTTCATTTGAATTTCTCAGTTTCTCTAACGAAAAATTCAAATAAAAACTTTAGCAACAGTAAGATATATTTTGTAATCACATTGACAATGATCAAAGTCTGATACACACACACACACACATATCTGATATATTCTTGAGTATAAGTAAACAAACATACTGGGGAAGGATAAACTTACAGAACCTGAAACAGTCTGACACTTTTTTTTCACAGATAGATACACATGGCTTTTATTTTTCTAAATGCTAGGAAACAGTGTTAAGGTTTTGTTTTTGTTTTTTTAACTTTTATTTTAGGTTCAGGGTACATGCGCAGGTTTGTTATATAGTTAAATTCATGTCGTGGGGGTTTGTTGTACAGACTGTCACATAAACCTAGAACCCAACAGTTATTTTTTTCTGCTCCTCTCCCTCCTCCTATCCTCGACTCTCAAGTAAGCCCCAGTGTCTGTTGTTTTCCTCTTTGTGTCCATGTGTTCACATCATTTAGCTCCCACTTATAAGTGAGAACGTGCGGTATCTGGTTTTCTGTTCCTGCATTAGTTTGCTAAGGATGATGGCCTCCAGGTCCCTCCATGTTCCTGCAAAGGACATAGTCTTCTTCTTTTTTATGGCTGTATAGTATTCTATGGTGTATATGTATCACGTTTTCTTTATCCAATCTGCTACTGATGGGCATTTAGGTTGATTCCATGTCTTTGCTATTGTGAAGATCCTGCAGTGAACATACGTGTGCATGTGTCTTTATGGTAGTACAATTTATATTCCCTTAGGTATACACCCAGTAATGGAACTGCTGGGTCGAATGACAGTTCTGTTTTTAGCTCTTTAAATCGCGACACCGCTTTCCACAATGGTGGAACTAATTTAAACGCTCATCAACAGTGTATACACGTTCCCTTTTCTGCACATCCTCACCAGCATCTGTTATTTTTTGACTTTTTAACAATAGCCATTCTGACTGGTGTGAGATGGTATCTCATCATGGTTTTGTTTTGCATTTCTCTAATGATCAGTGATACTGAGCTTTTTTTTTTTTAATATGTGGTTGGCTGCATGTCTATCTTCTTCTAAAAAGTGTTTTTTCATGTACTTTGCCCATTTTTTAATGGGGTTGTTTTTTTCTTATAAATTTAAGTTTCTTATAGATGCTGGATATTGGACCTTTGTCAGATGCATAGTTTGCATGTTCTCCCATTCTGTAGGTTGTATGTTTGTTGATAGTTTCTTTTGCTGTCCAGAAGCTCTTTACTTTAATTAGATCTCATTTGTCAATTTTTGGTTTTGTTGCAATTGTTTTTGGCGTCTTCGTCATGAAATCTTTGCCCGTTCTTATGTCAAGAATGATACTGCCTAGGTTGTCTTCCAGGGTTTTTACAGCTTTGGGTTTTACATTTAAATCTTTAATTCATCTTGAGATAATTTTTGTATATAGTGTAAGCAAGGGGTCCGGTTTCCATTCTCTGCATCTGGCTAGCCAGTTATCCCAGCACCATTTATTGAATAAGGAATCCTTCTGTCATTGCTCCATTAGTCAGGCTCGTCAAAGATCAGACACATGTCTGTCTGAATGGCTGTAAGTTAGTCAAAAGAGAAATCTACACGAATGTTGGAAATGGAAGTGAAGCAGCCACCCCTGCTTACCAGGGGCATAAGCCATAAGAAAGATTAACTTAAAATGTTAATCTTAGTTAACATTTCCCACTCTCTTGCTGAACTTTCCTCCTGGAACCCAACCAGGCTAGGATGACTGGAGCCAGAGGTGCTGGCTCAGGAGGGAAACAGAGGTCACTGCTAAATCCTTTCCCTTTATCTCCCATACAGAACAAAAGGCTTTATCTGCAGGGAGGGGAAGGAAAACCCTCAAGCTTGTAGCCCTAGGTCTATGATAAAGTCTCATTCTAGTGGGGGAAGGAAATAGAGGCCTACTAAATAAAAGTCTTCATCTCAAAAGAGAAGCACTTCAAGACCATAGCCTAAGGACCTTAGTGTTTGTCAACAACAGCTGAAGAAAAGGAAGTGGGGACAAAAGAAAAGGAAAATTTAAAAAGGCAGTCAATCTCAATCCCCAGAGGAGGGAGAGGGAGTTGGGGGAAGGAGTAGTGCCTGACTACAAAGGGGAAGCATGGAAAATTTTAGGGGAATGGAACTCCTCTGCATGTATTGGGGTGGTGGGTACATGCTTTATAAATTTGTCAAAACTCACAGAAATGTACATCACAAACACAACTGTCTTAGTCCATTCCTGCTGCTACAGCAAAATGCCTTAAACTGGGTAATTTATAAAGAACAGAAATTTATTTCTAACAGTTATAGAGGCTAGGAAGTTCAAGATCAAGATCAAGGCAAGTTCAAGTTCGAGATTCAGTGCCTGGTGAGACCCCATTTTGCATGAGTTCTGTGTGTCCACACATGGCACAAGGAAGGAAAAGGGCAAAGACGCCTAGTTGACTCCCTTCAACCTCTTTTATAAGAGTACTAATCCTGTGACAGTGGGGTGCTCACGACTTACCACTTCCCAAAAAGCCCCACCTCTTAATACCATCACATTTGGTATTAGGCTCCAACATACAAATTTTGGAGGGACACATACATTCAAACCATAGCATGAGCTATCTTTTAAAAAGCAAAAAAATTACCTAGGATATCAGGGAATTCCAATATGGAATGCAGACTATGACAAATGAACTGTCAACTGAAGAATCAGAAGATTCATAAATTTGGAAAAGAGAGCTTTACTTCTCCTAAAGGGCTGCAGCCTGCAGGCTGACCATCCCACAGGCTGGGAAACACAGCCTCTGGCAGAAGCCAAGAGCAAGCACTTCTAGTGAGGGAAACAGGAATTTATGCTGAACTGGCTGGCTACATAAACATATTCAACAGCTTACAGGAGGGGCTATGAATATTCACGAACAGGAGGCACATGCATGTATAGTAAGCTAACATGTATGCACATGCATGCCATGTTAACTCTGGGGTGGAGACTTAACAAGTAGTATCACAATTAGGCCCTATACATCAAAAGATGAAGCAGAGGAAATGGAGGCCCACTGTGTGCAGCCTCCCTACATAGACTGGCCAGAACCACTCCATCATCAGTGGTCTTTTATTAGGAAGGAATGCTGGTCAGTTGCTGTGTCAAAACTGCAAAAAGAAGGAACAACAGTCAGGTAGTTGCTTGAAATCAGCAGGGGAAAATTTCGGCTGGTTTCTGTTTAACTCTTAGGGAAGAAAGACTAATGGTGGCTAATAAGGGAGGAGGTATTACAAGGTGTGTCCAAGCTCTCATTCCATCTTGGCCAGGAACTCATTTTTAAGCTTTCTCTGGGGTCCCCTTGGCTGAGAGGGGAGTCTAGTCATTGGGGGGAACAGGATTTTTTCCTTCTCAGAACCTAACTGAATTACACATTATGACATAACCTCAGTGAAGTGACTGTGGTGATAAGGAAGCTAACTAACTTTGGAAATCAGTGAAATGACTGAAAACTGTATGGATGATAAAGGAACTGTACATCAACAGTGTACTCTATCAACATGGCTTTTCATGGTAGCAAGGAGCAGGTAACAATTCTGCAACTGCTTTGCATATATACTAGGTTTAAATTAGTAAGTAATGGAGCCTGGCTCTCACTGTCAGGAGTAGAGTTACAGATAGAACAAGAAGGGAAAGACAGAATGAACCCTGACCTATGGTACTGGATTAAAGACAAAGACATCACTATGAACTCATGTTTAGTTTAATACACATATACAGAAAAAGTACAGAAACAATTAGAGATATGCATGAATACATGGGTAAGTACATAGTGTATATGCATTCTATTACAGATACATACATTACCCTAGCTCTATCCTCTGAGAGAAAGCCATGACACTCAGCAGCAAAGAGCACTCCCAGAGTCTAGATCTTGATTTCCAAATGCAATTCTCCAATAAAGGCAACCAGAGCTCCTTAGAGAAAAGGCTGATTCCAGCACTAAGATAGGGAAAACACGAAATGAGTCCAGAGCATACCTTCTAGCACCAGAAAGGAAATGTTCAAAAAAAAAAAAAAAATTAAAAGGATGGGGTCATATGAAAGAAATACAAAAGCCAAAATGAAGGAATTCCTAATGGCCAGAACTGGAACAATGAAGCAATCAATAATGTGATATTAGATGATAGCCCAAAGAATAAATATCCATGAGTCCACACAGAAAAAATAAATGGAGGAGAAAAGATAATCTTCCTCGCAGAATTCTAAATGACATATGTAGTTATCTCCCTTCCAAGAGACAGAGCTTTGTCCCCTCACCTTTTGAGTTTGGGCTGGACTTACTGACTTGCTTTCAATAAGCAGAGCATGAAAGGGAAAAATAGCAACTTTATAGTGGAAAACAATAAATGGCACTTACACAAAAGGATAAAAGTTAGCATTACCAATGATGTCATGTAGATACCATGTACTCCCTGATGCATTTGTCAAAACCCACAAATACTCCCTGATATGATGAGATTAGAAGGGCACTTTTCCTCTGTCATATTCTTGCCAAAAACCTTAACTCTAGCCTAATTATGAAAAAAACAACAGACAAGCCCAGATGAGATGGTATTCTACAGGCTACCTGACCACTACTCCTTAAAATTGTCAAGGGCATGAAAAATATGGAAAGATAAGTTGAGAAACTATCACAGACTAGAGGAAACTAAAAAGCATGACAAGTGAATGCAGTGTCATTGATTTCTGGAACAGAATATTAATGAAAAAAAACTGGTGAAATCCAAATAAAGTCTGGAGTTAACAGTAATATACAAATTGCCTTAGTTAAGTTTCTGTTGCTCACACCAGAATACCTGAAACTGTGTAATTTGTTAAAAAAAAAAAAAAAAAGGAATTTATTCTTTTCCTTAGTTATGGAGGCTGATGTCCAAAGTCAAAAGGATACATCTAGTGAGGGCCTTCTTACTGGTGGGGACTCTGCAGAGACCCAAGGAGGTACAGGGCATCATATGTCAAGGAAGCTAAGCATGCTAGCTCAGATCTCTCTTACTTGTCTTATAAAGCCACCAGTCTCACTCCCATAACCCCATTAATCAATTAATGGATTAATCCTTCGTGAGGACAGAGGCCTCGTGACCCAATCACCTCCCAAAGGCCTTACCTTTCAATACATCCACACTGGGGGTTAAATTTCGAAATGAGTTTTGGAGCGGGCAAATATTCAAACCACGAAACCAATATTCTCAGTTTTGATAAGTGTACCATAGTAAGAATAGTAGGCAGTTTGCTAGGGCTGCCATAACAAAGTACCACAAATTAAATGGCTTAAACAACACAAACTTATTTTTTTTGTAAAACCAGCAGTTTTATTTTAACCAACATTTGTTTTGATTTCCAAGTTTTATGATCTCTTCTACCTCCAAAAGAAACTGAAGCAACTTATAGATTAAAACAAAGTATAAAGAACTAAAGCATTTAGAGATAAAATAGGACGAATAATGTATCCCTGTGCTGGAATTTATAAGACACAGTATGCTTTAGTAAAAAAAGTGTTAGAATTGAAGCACAAAAAATCCTGGGTTCTAGCCTTAAGTCTCTCTAACTGTGTGGTCTTGTGTAATCTTTATTCCATTGGCAAAACAAAGTCTCTAAAACTTTTTCAATGTAATTTTGTAATATATTTAAAAAATAATATGCTAGCATTAGTATGTGAGGCAAAATGCGGTGGTTGAGGTTGTAGAGGAACCAGTTAAGAGATTAAAGAGTGATTAGGTACAGAGGATTAACAGTAGGAATAGAAAGAAAAGGAGGGGGGAATCCTTTTAAGGAAACGTTTGACAGAGCTTGGAAGTTCACTGGAAATGAGAATGAGCAAGATGAGTCCGAGATGACTTTGAGTCTGAACAACACAAACTTATTGTCTCACAGTTCTGAAGGCTGCAAGTCTAAAATCAAGGGGTCAGCAGGGCAATGCTCCTGCTGAAGGTGCTAGGGAAGGAACTATCCTAGGCTTCTTTTCTGGCTTCGGATAGTTCTCTGGCTTGTGGCAGCATAACTCCAATCTTCACGTGACATTATCCTGTGTACATGACTATCTGCAAATTTCCCTTTTATAAGCATACCAGTCATATTGGATTGAGGCCCACCCTACTCAATTATGACCTTAATTACATATACAACAACCCTGTTTCCAGATAAGGTCACATTCTGAGGTACTGGGGACTAGGACTCCAACATATGAATTTTGGGGGACACAATTCAATCCATAATAGCAATGTAGGATCACATTAGGGGAAACGGAAACTGGGTGAGAGGTACGTAAGAACTCTGTACTATCTTTTTAACTTTTCAATAGATCTAAAACTGTAAAATAATAAAAAATTATCTTAAAAACTTATTTCTATAAAGTCAGGTAATAAAATATAACATTTTCTTAATAAGCAGAATAAAGAGATTTCCCACATCCAGCTGAACCCATAATCTCAGTAAGATTTTTTGTTTTTAATTAAGGGGGCAACCACAGGTAAAATGGTGAAAACCAAAGTTGCCCTGGTTTGCAACACTACTGATTTAGTGTCTATCTTTCTCAGGCACTTTTCCATAAACTATTAGCAAAAATGGAATGCCATACCTTATTCTGCACCTCCCACTGTTAATTCAGCAACTTGCCATGGTCATCTTCCCATGTCACTACTACAGATAAAGCTGTCTTATTTTTTTTCTATGTTTCTATGGTAAAACAAAACACACACACAGACAACCACCGAAAGTATAATATAGAACTTAGTCAATTACTATAATGCAAAACTCTTGTAACCACTACCTAGGTCAAGAAATGGAATTTAGCCGCTGAGGGATGCAATCTGGCATAAGCGCTGGAAATTTCTCTGTACCTTACTGCTGGGTGTGCTATGAATAGGTATGCCATGAACCCAAGGGCCTGACCACTCCTTGCCTGGGTCATTTTCAAGGTAGCCACCATGAAGAAAAAGGTCTTTTGCTGTAGACTCCACGAAGAAGAAGGTTTTTGCTGTGAGCCACCATGAAGAAGAAGGTAATGTCTTCCTCTGGGACAGACAGCAGACTTATTTACAGCTTACTAAAACCAGCAGGTTTCCCAAATTGCATGACAGTTGTACTGTCATGCAATATACTGCATATGCAGGCACTCATATAGGTCCTCTGTATCACTCCCCTGAGGCTTAAGCAAGAGAAACCTTGCTCAGTGTTGCTCGCTGTGCCACTCATAAAAAATTCTATTTTTTCTAATCCAAGAGTGTCACGTCTTCTGCTAGCACCCATGAAATATTAAGAAGCTAACTATTAGCTTGTATAGTACTACAGACTGAATGCTTGCATCCTTCCAAAATTTGTATGTTGAAATCCTAACCTCCAAGGTGATGGCATAAGAGTGGGACCTTTGAGAGGTAATTAGGTCATGTCAGCCCTCATGAATGAGATTAACGCCCTTATAAAAGAAACCCTGGAGAGCTTCTTCACCCCTTCTACCACAAGAGGACAGAGAGATAAGATGGCCAACAAGGCTGTCTATTAACCAGGAAGCTGGCCATCACCAGACACCAAATCCGCTGGCCCCTTGATCTTGAACTCCCCAGCCTCCAGAACCATGAGAAATAAATTTTGTTTTTTATAAGCTACCCAGTTTACGGTTTTGTTACAGCAGCTCAAATGGACTAAAACACTATCATCTACTATATTCTTGGGAACTAGGAATCTAGATGTGGAGGAAAAGAGATTCAGATATAGGATTAAAAGGACTATTAATAATTCTAGGACACCATCTGGACATCATAATAAGAACATGTGTACTGTCATGAAAATGATATACACAGTATCATTTCATGCACTCCAAACACTATACCCTCAATACTGAATACTACTTTCTAAAAGGACAAAAAGAAAATGAAAATAGAAGTTTTCTCCATATCCAGGTCAAAATTAAATGAGCTTTTGCATATTAAATTAAAATGCTGTTTAAGAATTTAAAATAGACCAGCATGGTGGCTCACACCTATCATTCTAGCACATTGAGGGGCCAAGGCAGGAAGATCATTTGTGCCCAGAGGTTCGAGGCCAGTCTGGGCAACACAGAAACCTCATCTCTACAAAAAATTTAAAAATTAGCTGGGGTTGGGGTTCATACCTGCAGTCCTAGCTACTCGGGAGGCTAAGGCAGGAGGATCACCTGAGCCTAGGAGTTCGAGGCTACAGTAAGCTAATGTCACTACACTCCAGCCTGGGCAACACAGCAAGACCTTGTCTCAAACAATAACAAACAAAAAAAGAGTTTAAAATAGATTATGGAGAAAGAAGAAAAAAAAATATTTCCCTGAATATTTTCATAGTAAGAATATGTCCAAATTAGTCTACAGATAGAAATGAGGCCTCACTGACAGGTTCCACTGGCTTTCATTAGCTTGACAAACCTTATATGCAGAAATGCAGAATTCTGTCCTCCCTTCTGGGTTCTATTCCCTACCTTCTATCTTGGAAGGGTCACCGTGAATGTCACACTATAAACACAAAATAATCCTGTCCACTTCTCATAACTCTGCCTGCAATACTGCCATCAATGGCATACTTCCATCACTCCACCATGAAATAAAAAGGATCTCTCCCTCTCTTTCTCTTTCTCTCTCTCTGTCTCAGAAAGGCCACAGAAGAATTGCTTGGGATACATCTTCTCTACCCCTGAGGCACTCATAAAAGCAAACACTGAGATTCAGAATTATTCAACCCCCAGGCCCTGAGAGTCTTTATCTTCCTTCCAGGTGTCTTCTGCCCCATGTCACCATAGTCCTCATATGATCTGGATTCTGTCATGTCTTCCCATTCCACCTTTGTACTTATGTCTGAGTCACTGACACTGCTCCTAGTTTTTTTTCTAGGAAACTCCTCAACCTCCATGTATAACAGCTGAATAAAATAAGTAAGGGTAGTGCTATGGTTCGAGTATTTGCCCCCTCCCAAACTCCTGTTGAAATTTAATCCACACTGTGGCAATACTAAGAGGTGAGTGCTTTAAGAGGTGATTGGGCATGACAGTTCTGCTCACATGAACGGATTAACCCATTCATAAATTAATGGATTAATGAGTTAATGAACCAATGGGTTATTATGGGAGTAAGACTGTAGGTTTATAAGAGGAAGAGGCAGACCTGAGCTAGCACACTTAGCCCCCTTGCCACATGATGTCCTATACCGCCTTAGGACTCTACAGAGGTCCCACCTGCAAAATGGCCCACACCAGATGCAACACCTTGACCTTGGACTTCTCAACCTCCGTAACGATAAGAAATAAATTCCTTTTCTTTACAAATTCCTCAGTTTTAGGTATTCTGTTATAAGCAACAGAAAATGGACTAACACAGTTAGGAAGGGATATGCCAGGCTTCGTATCCCCATCTCCACTTAGGCTTAACAGAGGCACAGTTGCAATAGTTACGTAGTGCCCACTCTGTCAGAGGCTATAGGGCGTACAAAGTAAATCTATGAAAACAGATAGCCAGGATTCAAATCACACCTCATAATTACTAGCTGTGTGACATTTGGGCATGTTACTTAGCCTCCCTGTCCCTCAATTTCTGCCCTGTTATATAGAGATAAGGCTACAATCCCTTAATTCCTAAAATTTTCTAGATTTTGGAAAATAGTACATACTAAATACTTCATAAAACACCCCAAGAGAAGTCTAGGTCCTTGTAATACTTGATTACATAGTAATAAAGGGTTTTTATATTTATGCACCAAACCATAAGTGTTTACACTAGTTAGGATAAAAACTAAAAGAGCTTCAAGTACATCCAGGTCAGATTTTGCCAATGTATTTACCACAAACTAACAAAAAACTTTTGGTTTTGAGGTTTTAGAATTGCAAATAAGAGATCTGTAGTATGTACCCCAGAGGACTATCATGAAAATTAACTGAGCTAACCCATGACAAGTACTTACAATACCACCTAGAATACAGTGATATCAGATGACTTGTTATTTTTATGTGCAATTTACTTGTCAGCCTCTATAAGAGATATAAAAGTGAATAAAATTTATTTCTTCCTTATAATCTGATAAACTTTGGATATTTAACTTTGCAAGGTACCATTACAGTAATAGCTAACATGTATAAAATGACTGTCATATGCCATGCACTATGCTAGATTTTTTTTTTTTTTTTAAGACAGAGTCTCGCTCTGTCGCCCAGGCTGGAGTGCAGTGGCGCATCTTGGCTCACTGCAAGCTCTGCCTCCCGGGTTCACGCCATTCTCCTGCCTCAGCCTCCTGAGTAGCTGGGACTGCAGGTGCCCGCCACCATGTCCGGCTAATTTTTGTATTTTTTTTTTAGCAGAGATGGGGTTTCACAGTCTTAGCCAGGATGGTCTCGATCTCCTGACCTCATGATCCACCCACCTCGGCCTCCCAAAGACTATGCTAGATTTTTTAATGCATTATTGTGATGGTTAATATTGACTGTCAACGTGATTGGATTGAAGGATGAAAAGTATTTTTCCTGGGTATGTCTGTGCAGGTATTGCCAAAGGAGATTAACATTCAAGTCGGTGGACTGGGAGAGGCAGACCCACCCTCAGTCTGAGTGGGCACCATCTAATCAGCTTCCAGAGTGGCTAGAATAAAAGCAGGCAGAAGTTGGAAGGACTTGACTTGCTGAGTCTTCCAGCCTTCATCTTTCTCCGGCACTGGATGCTTCCTGCCTTCAAACATCAGCTTCCAAGTTCTTCAGCTTTTGAACTCTTGGACTTATACCAGTGGTTTGCCAGAGGCTCTTGGGCCTTTGGCCACAGACTGGAGGCTGCACTGTCAGCTTCCTAACTTGTGAGGTTTTGGGACTCAGACTGATCCATCACTGGCTTCCTTGCTCCTCAATTTGCGGACGGCCTATCATGGGACTTTATCTTGTGATCATGTGAGTCAATTCTCCTTAATAAACTCCCTTTCATATATACATATGTCCTATAAGTTCTGTCCTTCTAGAGAACACTGATTAATACAATTATCTTATTTATCATTTATAAGCACTCTAAGGTAGATATTATTATTATTCTCACTTTATACATATCAAAAGGGAAGCTGTAAGAGACCAAGTAATCCACCCAAGATTAAGTAGTGAACCCATTATTTAAACTCAGGCATTCTGACTTGTAAGAACCATGGTTTTAACCATAATCTTATGCCACCTCCTACAAGGTGCGTGTGCCATGTCTTGACACTCAGTTGAGAACCATGATGTACCTAAGGTCAAGGAAATCTGCCATACCAGTATTTCTCTACTTCTCTAACAATGACATTTTAAGTTACACATACAAATAATGCCAGCAAAACAAACACAATAACTTACCAAATGGTGCAGTATGGTATTAGTCCTTTTGAATGCATTAAACCTGAAACAAATGTGGAAAACAATGAGAACAGTAATGTGGGTAGTCATGTCTCAGTTGACAAATAGTATATCACCTTTTGTTTCAGCCTCTTCTAAAAGGTATTACCAGAACAAAAAGTTTTAAAAGGTTTAGCTCTCATTCACTGCTGGTAGGAACATTAAATGGTACAGCCACTTTGCACATGAATTTTATGGTAACTTTATTCATAACTGCCAAAATGTGGACGTAACCAAGATGTTCTTCAATGGTTGGAAGACAAACCAATTTCAATACAACCATATAAAATATTATTCAGCCATGAAAAAAAGAAAAGAGCTATTATGCCACAAAAAAAATTGGACGAAACTTAAATGCATACATACTACTAAGCAAAAGAAGCCAGTCTGAAAAGGCTACATACTCTCATTTCAACTGTATGATATTCTGAAAAGGGCAAAATTATGAAATCAGTAGAAAGATCAATGGTTGCCAGGGGTTTGGGGGACGGAAGGAGGGATGAACAGTTGAAACACAGGAGATGTTTAGGGCAGTGAAACTAATCTGTATGATACTGTAATGGTTGATACATGTCCTTATTATTTGTCAAACTTTTCTGCTCAAATTTGCAGGTCATTTTTTCCATCAACTTATAACTACTCTAAAAAATAAAGTCATTAATCTTAAGAAAAAAGGTTTGTTAAAGATGCAATACAAACAGCATTCTCAGACACTAGAGAGAGGTATAAATTGGTACTGCCTTTCCGGTAAACAGTCTGGAAATACAAATCCACAGCCTTTAAAATGATCACACCCTTCAATCCACTAATTCCGCAAGCATTTGCACTAGGGAAATCTCAGAAATATGACCAAAGTCTGATTGATAAATATGTTCACATTATTTACAGGATGGAAAAACTGAAAACAAAGTAAATGTCTAAGAGTAGAGCATTATTTTAAAGACTGTGTCTATTAATACAGCCATTACACAACCACTAAAAATACTAACATGGAAAAGTAGTGACAAATCACAAAAGGAGAGCAGGCTACAAAACAATAAACACAACACACTTCTATTTTTTGCTGTCTTAAAAGTGCTTGTTGGGCTAGGAATACAAAGCCTGAGACACAGCTTGACCAAAGTGACCACTAATAATGGACATGAGAATGGTGAGGGTGGGGGCACCTGGGAAGGGGCATGAACAAACACGGAATGTTGGAAATTGTCTCTATCCCAATGCTGATTACAGGACTGCAGGTATAAGTTCACTAAGCTATAAACTTCAGAACGGTGTACTCAAGTGCCTTATGTAAATTATAATAAGAAAGTAAAAGACAACACCGGGAACGGCAGTGATTGAGAGAGGCATGAGGAGGGCCTCTGGAATGCTTGTTTCTCGATCCAGGTGCTGGTGATTTAGGTATGTTTCATTTGTGAAAATTCATCAAGTTGTATCATTATGCTTTGGGCTTTTTAAAAAATGTCCTAAAAGACATAGCTCTTGCACTCGAGAAACCCACAACGTAATGACAGATGTGCAAATAAAAACACTATAGTTAGAATATACTAAGATGCATGCTTTTTGTTTAAGAAGCTAAATTTAAGATCTATGGAAAGAGGTCAAAGCTAGAATCAGTAGCTGCAGCAGCCTGATAAGGGCTGTGCACATGTGCAGATACATATACCAACTAATGGAACTGATAAACTGACAATCTGTTAATTTTTCAAGAATACTCTGAGATTATATGAAGACCAACAGCCTGAGGTTTCACAAAAGGCAATATCACCAGTTACCACTTGTAACAACTTGGATGACTGAATTTATAAAAATATTTGTAATCCAACTTGCCTTTCAGAATTTATATGACTTTTTTATATTACATTCAAATTGAATAATACTATACAAAAGAGAGAAACAACCTATTTGTTTAAGTCAGTTATAATTCACATTCCTGAACTAGCATTTTCTGAATTTGTCTCACAAGTAAAATGTAGCCCAGTAATTCCAAGACTGGTCTGTACATTAGAATCACCTGGAGACTCGGCTGGGCATGGTGACTCATGCCTGTAATCCCAGCACTTTGGGAGGCCAAGGCAGGCGGATCACCTGAGGTCAGGAGTTTCAGACCAGCCTGGCCAACAAGGCGAAACCCCGTTTCCACTAAAAGTACAAAAATTAGCCAGGCATGGTGGTGGGCGCCTGTAATCCCAGCTACTCAGGAGGCTGAGGCAGGAGAATAGCTTAAACCTGGGAGGCAGAGTGTAGAAAGTAAAAAGTTTCCTCTTCAAAGTTTTTCTTCCTGTTAAAGAATAAATCATAACTGTTAGAAATAATAATTTCTTTTAAAGACTAACTTTCTTCATGCCTCCTTGCTTTGTGCTAGTAACTCTTTGTTAAGCCCTATCCTACGTAACTATTGGACATGCTCACGGGCATGTTCGAGCTCACAGCCTATTCCCCTTATTTAAAAATGTTATTGCTTCCTTAAACCTTTCATAAGCAACTTCTTTGTTCTTCCCTACACTTACCTATTTAGGCTATTAGCATATTGGGTATCAGTTTAAGAGTGTGAGGTCCCACTCCAGCCAATGGATGCAGGACACAGCATTAAGGACAACCCAAATGCGTAAGGGATAAATATGTCTGCTTTTCCTTTGTCAAGTGTGCTCTCGCCATTGTTCCATCTGCAATTGGGGACCCTTTCTGCAGAAAGTAAAAATGGCCTTGCTGATAAATCTTTTGCCTCCGTGCTGACTTTTCTTCACAACACCACTTATCTAACAATTTTGGTATTTCTAACACAGAGGTTGCAGTGAGCCGAGATTGTGCCACTGCACTCCAGCCTGGGTGACAAGAGACTCTGTCTCACAAAAAAAAAAAAAAAAAAAAAGGAATCACCTGGAGACTGCTAAAAATTCCAAAGCCCAGGTCACACCCAAGACCAATTAAATCAAACTCTGGAGGTGGGGCACAGGCACAGATACTTTGTTTGAAGCTCCCCTAAATGATTTCAAAGAACGAAGCTGTCATTAAAAATCAACACTAACACTTTATAATTATGAAACTGAAGTGACAGATCATATCTTATTTAGGGATACTTTCTAAATAAGGTTTTCATAATTACTTTTAAAGTGTGAACTACACTACCCTAAAACACCACGTCTAAAATGTTTTCAACTTGACTCAATTTTATCTTTCTGGAGATTTTAAGCATAAAAATCCAGAATGACTTTGGATTCCTTAATGAGGCCAGTACCCAAATGTAGGTTCAAGGTTCAAGAGGGTGTTGCCAGATTTGCAACTATTATGTAACAGTGTAAGTACTAACTGCAGTGTTTTAACAAGTAAACAAAGAGAACTCAGGACTAACTCCAAGTCCCAGTTTTATATATAAGACAGAATTTTATTTAACTCAAAGAAAGTTAATGTAAACCTATCAAACAAAGCCACTGTACACAATATTTATAGGTCACAAAAATCTGTGGACCAGTTACTACAAAAAAAATATATATATATGTATATATACATATATATGTGTATATATATGTATATATGTATATATACATATATATGTGTATATATACGTATATATATACGTATATATGTGTATATATATGTATATATATACGTATATATGTGTATATATATATACACACACAACCAAATTCCTTGTCAAATACTATATAATCACATTGCTTCCATTTGGTTGGTTGGTTGGTTTTGAGACAGAGTCTTGCTGTGTCACCCAGGCTGCAGCGCAGTGGCACGATCTCAGCTCACTGCAACCTCTGCCTCCCAGGTTCCAGCAATTCTCCTGCCTCAGCCTCCCGAGTAGCTGGGATTGCAGGCATGCGTCACCACACCCGGCTTATTTTTGTATTTTTAGTAGAGACGAGGTTTCTCCATGTTGGCCAGGCTAGTCTTGAACTCCCAACCTCAGGTGATCCGCCCACCTGGGCCTCCCAAAGTGCTGGGATGACAGGTGTGAGCCACCGCACCCAGCCCATTCGTTCTAATTCAAATTCAGCTGTCACTTAAAATTTGATATTAGCTTTTATACCTCAAAATGTAATTGAGAATTCAGTGTCCCCAGGTAATTCTGAATTTATGATCTTTCTTTTCTATTGGTTCCAAAACTGCCATCTGGTGGAGAGGAAGAGGGCATGCACCTCTCCGCTCCTTTTTTTTTTTGAGCCTGAGTCTCTCTCTGTCGCCCAGGCTGGAGTGCAGTGGTGCAATCTCGGCTCACTGCAGGCTCTGCCTTCCGGGTTCACGCCATTCTCCTGCCTCAGTCTCCTGAGTAGCTGGGACTACAGGTGCCTGCCACCATGCCCGGCTAATTTTTTGTATTTTTAGTAGAAACGGGGTTTCACCATGTTAGCCAGCATGGTCATGATCTCCTGACTTCTTTCTTGATCCGCCCGCCTCAGCCTCCCAAAGTGCTGAAATTACAGGCATGAGCCACTGTGCCCGGCCTGCTACTTCTAATTTCTTAATTAACTTTATCAGGCTTATTTCCTTCAACTGATGTCAACTTGGCTTTTTAGAACAGTTATTCTCAAAGTATGGTTCTTGGACAAGTACCATCAACATCCCCTGGAAACTGACTAGAAACTGAAATTCTCTGCCCCACCCCAGACCTACTGAACAAGAAACTGTGGGGCCCAGAAATCTGTGTTTAACAAACCCTCCAGGTGGTTATGATGCGTGAAGTT
This sequence comes from Homo sapiens, assembly GCF_000001405.40. Lineage (NCBI taxonomy): Eukaryota > Metazoa > Chordata > Mammalia > Primates > Hominidae > Homo > Homo sapiens. The sequence goes on from NC_000002.12 coordinate 190,315,490, forward strand.
TAAATAAACAACTGTCTTAGATGAGAACTTTATCACTCAGGAACTTTTTGCAATTATCCAATAAAACAAACATGGCCTCACGAAATTAAACAACTACATGAAACTGCTTAAGCAGGAAGAAGACATCACAAAGTAGTGCTTAGTGAAAATTATTATCCCAGAAGTAGGCAAGGTGTGAACAGAGCAGAAAATCAAGTCCAGGAGGCCAATAATTTAGGCATGGGGTGATGAAGAACAGCAGATGTGGAAACAGAAGGGAGTGATATTATTAAGAGTTTTTATAAAGTAAAAACTCAATGGAAAGGAATGTCAAAAATGACTTTAAGATTTCAAGCCAGGACAACCAGGAGAATATAGAAAAGACAGGGAAAGAAGCTAGCTGGTTTGCAGGACGAAATACAAATTCAATTTTTTGAATTTGAATTTGTACTGACATAAGCAGAAATAGTCAACAGAAGAAAGAGACTAGAGGTTGAAAGAAAAGTTAGAACTAAAGGTATATCTTATGCCACATGCATGTACAATCACTGAGACACTGGAATCTCTCAGCTTTCTGTAAGGAATAAATGAGAAGGCTGCAGTTGAAAACTAATTGCCAGAAAGATGCCAACTGTAACTGTGGTATTGGTCAGCAGCATTTTATTTTTGTATTCTATTTATTTATTTATTTTTAGAGACAGGGTCTCACTCTGTCACCCAGGCTGGAGTGCAGTGGTATGATACATGGGCTCAAATGCAGCCTCAATCTCCTGGACTCAAGCCTCCTGAACAGCTAAGACTACAGGCGCACACCACCACACCTGGCTGATTTTTAAATTTTTTGTAGAGAGACAGTCTATGTTGCCCAGGCTGGTCTCAAATTCATGGGCTGTGATCCTCCAGCCTCAGCCACCCAAAGTGCTGGCATTACAGACTTGAGTCACCATGCCCAGCCGAGCAGTTTTAAAACTACTAACATTATCTGGATGGAATGGTAGAGATTAAAAAGAAGAAAAACAGAAAAAAACTACTAACATTTAAAAATCAAGACATTTCACCTAAAACTGCACTTTTTCCAGGTTTTCCAGAAAAATCAGTAATAATGGAAACCCTGGGTCTATATTCTATAAGGGCAACAATGGCTGGGGCTGAGAAGCTGCCTCCTCTCTAGAGCACTCTCTCCAGTTCACCAGTCCCCCATGCTGCCATCTAGCCAGCATCTTTCAATGCTTCCTTCTCAGCCTCTGCATTCAGGCTCATGATTCCTAACACAGAAAACAACCTAAAAGAGCAACAAAGATTGAGCCTTTGATCAACTAAGAAACAACTAACTAGAAGTAAAAGAGAAGACAGGCAAAGAGCAAGAACCAAAACAATACAGTTCAGCAGAGGATGGAGGAGATGGAAAAGGCAATGAGGCCTATTAACAACCTAAAAGTACCCTCTTCCTGTTATTTCTATTTTTAGAGACTAGGTTTTTCCATGTTGCCCAGGCTAGAGGGCAGTGGCACAATCATAGTTCACTGTAAACTTGAACTCTGTGGCTCAAGTGATCCTCCCACCTCAGCCTCCCAAGCTGGAAGGATAGGCGTATGCCACCATACCCAGCTAGTTTTTTTATTTCTTATTTTTTGTAGAAACGGGGTCTTGCTATGTTGCCCAGGATTGTCTTGAACTCCCATGTTGGCCTCTCAAAGTGCTAGGATTACAGGCATGAACCACCACACCCAGCGAAGAGCAACCTCTCTGATGAGGCTTCCTGACTCCCTCTCCCTATCTAAATCTGGCTCTCATAACTGTACTTGTCCCTTAAGACACTTACCAGAATTGGTAATCAAAAATTACTTTTGTCTAATTATGTGTTTCCTATCTGCTCTCCTTTCAGACTCCAAGGGCCCTACATAAGGAACAGTAGGAAAACCAAGTAGTCCAGAGTGGCTACAGGATAATAGAAATGCCTAGAACTGTGCTTCCCAGCAAGTAGAACAGAACAGTAGGTAATTGTTCATCCATGAATATACTGGGGCCAAATCTGTGAAATCCAGACTGGTAAAACTGTATTTAATTGCATAAGCAGAAGGGCACCTCTGTGAGATTCTGAGAAGAATGGCAGGCACTGAAGTAAAACCTTAGCGAGATTAACCTGGCAATCTTGTACAGAAACAATTCACACTGGGAAGAGGAAAAAGTGATTAACTTTGAGACTACTGTTGAAACCTGAATCCACAGGAAGAGGTTAAGGTTTGGGAGTGTGGGAGAACTTAGGTAAGTTTGAGAATCTAGAAGAATGATAGTGCCAAGAGAGACAAAGAGTAAGGGTTATACTTACGTGCAAATTTATTTTTCTTTTCCTTTTTTCCTTTTTTTTTTTTTGAGACAGAGTCTCACCCTGTCGCCCAGGCTGGAGTGCAGTGGCATGATCTCGGCTCACTGCAACCTCCCCCTCCCAGGTTCCAGCAATTATCCTGCCTCAGCCTCCCAAGCAGCTGGGATTACAGGGCCCTGCCACCACACCCAGCTAATTTTTTTGTATTTTTAGTAGAGACGGGGTTTCACTATGTTGGCCAGCCTGGTCTTGAACTCCTGACCTCAGATGATATGCCCGCCTCGGCCTCCCAAAGTGCTGGGATTACAGGTGTGAGCCCCCGCGCCTAGCCCTTAAGTGCAAATTTATATATGAGGTGCAACTGAGGCATTCAGAGGGTTGTGACCAGCATTAGAGCTCAGGGCAAGTCAGGTTAGACAAAAATTTGAGTTACCCTAAGACAGATGATTTGGGAACCAAAAAAAAAAAAAAGTCCAAGAGCTAAACTGGCACTGGGGTAAGGAGAGGCGGTGGAGAGTGGCATTAGAAAAGTAGGCCAGTACCGAAGAAGCCAAGGGAGGCCAGAGTTCAAGTGGGGCTGCCCAACACTGTCAACCATGGCCCAAGGCCTTTTTTCCTCTCAGAAACACTTTCCGTGGCACCCTATTCCCTTATACAGTTGTGGGTTAGGGTATTGTGGACTGGACCATCTTGGCCTCTGCTTTCTAGGATAATACCCACTTCAGGGCTGAGTCTGGAAAAGGCATCTCAGATCAAAGCCCCCAAAATGGTCCTGGCCTCACCTACAGAGTACTGCATCTTGGAACGTGGGGTGGAAGAAAGCCAAGCTGAATTGTGGAAATGACAGATCCTTTCCTAAGTCAGCTAACTTTAACAAACATGTCTTTCCAGTTTGTTTCTCTATTTGCTATTTGCTGACAACACTGAAAAAGCGGCAGTAACGATTACGTGTACTGATTTTCTTAGCATTTACTAAATCTCTCCATGAGCTGGTGCAAGGACAACTAATTTTAAGGTATTAAAAAAACAAACAGAAAAGCAACTCTTAAATGTATAACAAAAATTTACTGAGAATTAGGTCTGTGGATACAGTGTTAGACATCTAGACACTTTCCCCTGAAACTATTCTTCTTAAGTCAAGGAAACACCTCCATCCCTTTTCAGGAAACCCAGAAGGCAAACTCTAAGGCTTAAAGAATCCAGTAATTTAAGTCGTCCTTATTTTAAAGAAATAAGGACGGTTCTCCCTTCAAGTGGGCGCAGCTGCTACCTGGTATGACAGTACAGGGCCAGGCAGTGGGCTGTTTAAGGCGCATGCAGCCTAAAGATGATGGCTACCAGATTTCCTAGGCTGAGCTCAAAGCGCAGTGAGGGGTACTTTCAAAAAGTTAAACAATGTTTGCAAACATGCTCCCCCATGCCACGTTAAATGTCCCTCAACACTAGCCTGAAAGTTCCAAATGCCTATACTGACGCTGCAGCCATGCAAGAAAGCTGAATAAAATCACACCACGGGCAGAGAGAGGTGCAGCAACTGGCAAAGCACCTGTGTGTGCTGGCTGCACAAAACATGCCGCACAGTTCCGCTAAGCTAAATCTGTCCGTGTCCCCAGACTGCACCCAACTTTTAAGAAAGGAAAGAAACTGAGGCCAAAAGAATTAAAGTCGTGTGGGGACAAGCCTGAATTAAGAGCCAGAGTGGCAGAAAACCAGAGTGCTGCTGCAAAGAAGATGCTAGAGGGAGAAAGGAAAGACAGGGACGGGGGCTGGGGCTTGGGGAGGGCCAAGGTTGGGGTCTCACAGCGGCGCCTCTGAGCGCGACTCGAAACTTCGAGGCCAGCAGTCTCCACCCCCGGCCCTTTTCCCACTGTGGCGAGTGCCGCTGAAGAGCCTGCCCTTGGCCCCTCGCTCTCTCACTCACCTCGACATGAGCCTCCACATCTCGCGCTGCCCCATCGCCAAACACTCCGAAGCTAAAGCAGCAGAGCGAGAATCTCCCGGACCGTTCCAGCGCCTCGCGTGAGCCCCGCCCACCGCCGTCCTGCGCCGCCGGGCACAGATGACAAGTCCTCCAGGAAGCCAGAGCGACCGTTTCCGCTACGCGACGGGGAAGGGCGGGGCAAGAACGACGCCTGGAGGAAATAGTTGAGGGAGAGGAAGGGATCGGGGACCGGGCCAGGGAGAAGGCGGAGAGCGAGCTGAGGCGGAGCGGGAAGAGGGAGGATAGAACGGACTAGGGCGGATTCGCAGGAAAGGAGATTGCCCTCTAGAGGCTGTCTTAGCCCAAAGCGCAACCTGTTGTCTAGGCTTGGCCTGCCAATTTGACCAGCAGGGACTGATGTGAAAGACTTTTCTGGAATTTTAGTAATTTTTTATTAAAACGTAAACTTAGTATTCTTTGAGACTCAAGTAGAGGAATTACAGTTGATAAAGGACATCGATGTAGTTTATTCATTCCTAACCCAATACAGCCGAATTCCTTTAATATTAGGATTGAGACATTTTCATTTTTCTTGGGAAAAGTTACAGATCTCCCACTCTTCCTCAAAGACACACAAGAGTTGTCTGATTAAGACATAATAGATATGTCTTCCCAACTAAAGTAAAAGTTGCTGTTATCAGTGGAAGCATAATTACATTCAGAAAGTAGCTTACTCTTAAATGAAACCAACATTTAACTCAACTACTAGGATCCACTGTTAAATTGAGGAAAACGTTCCTCCGCTTCCAGATCCACCCAGATGTGTAGCAGAAGACATTTCATCGCCACTATTAAGTATTGACACATTTATCAGAAAGAAGAAATCCGGTGACAAATTTCAGAGAGGACACATGAAAGGAGTTATTCTTAGTACCTTGATATTTAAAGAGATACACTGTTGAGACTTTGATCAAAAATTACGTTGCTAACCTAGGTCAAATGTAATAACCAAATGCCCACTGAGAAGAGGACAGACAACAGACATCACAGAAGGAACTCCTTACCTGCAATTTGGTTTTTAACTGGCTACAGGACATCACCATCTGACATCACCATCATGCCTCATTCACTGCGCACAGAAATGAACCATTCATCTGACCTAGCATGGTTTACTGGAAAAAGCATGGGCTTTCCTGTTAGTCAGACTGAGATTCAAATCTTCCTTGCCGCCCTAGCTTCATGTGTGTGAAACCTGAGTCTCACAAGGCCTCATCGTTAGAAGGGCCCTGTGCTTGTTTTAATGCTGTGCTATTAATAATTTTTGAACAAGGAAACACAAATTTTCATTTTACACTAGGCCTGCAAATTATGTAATCAGTCCTACCCCTAGCACACTAATAGTTTAATGACCTTGAACAAATTATATAGCTTTTCAGAACCTCCATTTTCTCATCTGAAAATGGATGTGCTGATGATTAGAGGTGTTTGTGAAGATCCATTGAAATATAGAAATATGTGCATAAATTACTTAGGACTTCGTAGGTATCAAGACCTGTCAGTTATGCCACACCTTCCACCAAGCTGTCCTTCCTATTCCTAAATTCTCTATTTCTTCTAATGATGCTATCGTCTTCTGGCTTCCCGCTCTAGAAACCTCAGTCCTTTAAAGAAAATTATCTTAACATTCTATTTTGAAGATTTTCAAACATATAGCAAAATTATAAAAATTTAAAGCAAACGCCTATGTGCTCACCACATAGATTCTACCTAGATTTACATTTTATCTTGCTTTATTCCTTATCCCAAATACCTTATTTTTAAATGCATTTCAAAGTTAATTACAAGCATCGTTTTACTTCTCCCAAAATATGGCATGTGTCTTACTACCTAGAGTTAAATATTTGTTTACATATTTTCCCTTTTGAGACAAAATTTACATACAACAAAATGCACAAATCTTAAGTGTACATTCACTGAGTTTGACAAATGTATACACTTGTGTAACCAAAATTCCTTAGATATAAACCATTGTCATCACCCCAAAAAGTTTCCTCTCACGATTTCCCAGACATTCTCTGCCTACCACTGCCTTCCCCACCCCAACCCCCGCCCCAGAAGCAACCACTGTTCTGTCTCGAGAACCACTGTTTGTTTTGAGACAGGGTCTCACTCTATCACCCAGGCTAGAGTACAGTGCCACAGTCATAGCTGACTGCAGCTTCAACCTCCCTGGGCTGAAGCAATCCTCCCACCTCAGCCTCCTGAGTAGATGGGACTACAGGCACATGCCACCACACCCAGCTAATTTTTGTATTTTTTTTTTTTTTGCGAGATAGAGTCTTGCCATGTTACTCAGGCTGGCCTCCAACTCCTGGGCTCAAAAGATCTCCCCGCCTCGATCTCCCAAAGTGCTAGGATTACAGGTGTTAAATACTGCACCCAGTCTGATTTTTCTCTACCATCAATTAGTTTTGCATCTTCTGAAAATTCATATAAAATGGAATCATACAGTGTGCGCTTTTTTTGTATAGCATTTTTCACTTAGCAAAATGTCCATATCGTGTGTATCGGTAGTTTCCTCCATTTTATTACTGAGTAGTATTTCATTATATGAATACCCCATAGTTTACTGATCTGTGCTCCTCCTGATAGATTCCTGGGCTGTTGCCAGTTGGGGCTATTATGAATAAAGCTGCTGTAAACATTCTTGTGTAAATCTATTGTAGACATATGTTTCCTATTCTCTTGGGTAAATATCTATAAATAGAATGTCTTGGTTATAGGGTACATCAATGTTTGGTTTTATGTGAAACAGCCAGACCCTTTTTTCAAGAGTTTGTATCATTTTGGAAAAGAATTCTGGTGGCATACAATCCACAGAATGAGGAATAATGTTTATAAATGATATATTTGATAAAAGGCTATCTAGAATATGTAAAGAACTATCACAATTTAAATAACCAAATTTTAAAATGGATGACAGATTTGAATATACTATACAGCTCTCCAAAAAAGATATATGAATGATCAATACTCATATGAAAAGATGCTCAACATTATTAGCCATCGGGAAATACACATCAAAACCACAATGACTTCACACCCACCATAATTTTTTAAAAAACAAGTGTTAGTGAGGAGAATTTGGAATCCTCAGACACCACTGGTGATGTACAACAGTACAGCTATCTTGGAAAAATGTCTGGCAGTTCCTCAAATGGCTAAACAGAGAGACCATATGACCCAACAATTCCATACCTAGGTATTTACCCAAAATAAATGAAAACATAGTCCTCACAAAAACTTGTACATAATGTTTATGGCAGCATAATTGCCAAGAAGTAGAAATAACTCAAATGTCCATCAACTGATGAATAGGTAAAAACAAAAGTTATATATCTGTACAATGAAGTATTATTTGGCAAGAAACAGAAATGAAGTATCGATACATGGTACAACATGAGCAAACATGGAAAACACTGTGCTAGATGAAAGAAGCCAGTCACAATAGACCACATATTATATGATGCCATTTACATGAGTGTCTAGAATAAGCAAATGTGTACAGATAGAAAGTAGACGAGAGGTTGCCTAAGGTTGGAGAGGAGGCAGGAGAATTGGAGAGTGACAGCTAAGCGGCACAGGGTTTTCTGGTAGAGTAATGAAAATATTCTAAAATGAATAGTGGTGATGGTTGGACTACACTGAAATGAAAATATTCTAAAATGGATAGTGCTGACAGTTGGCTGAATCATATACTTTATATGGGTGAATTGTGTGGTATGTAAATTGTATCTTAATTTTTAAATAAAGAATTCTGGTTGCTCCATATTCTCAGCCACATTTTGTATTATCAGGCTTTTAAATTTTAGTCATGCTGGTGTGTGTGTGGTGTTATCTCCTTGTGGTTTTAATTTTCATTTTCCTGGTGTCTAATGATGTTGAGCACTTTTTCATATGCTTATTATCTTCTTTTAATTTTCTTGCCCATTTTTAAATTGGGGTTTTTGTTGTTGTTGTTTTGTTTTTTGTTTTTTTTTTTAGACAAAGTTTTGCTCTTGTTTTCCAGGCTGCAGTGTAATAGCACAATCTGGGCTCACTGCAACCTCCACTTCTGGCTAATTTTGTATTTTTAGTAGAGATGGGGTTTCTCCATGTTGGTCAGGCTGGTCTCGACCTCCCAATCTCAGGTGATCCACCTGCCTCGGCCTCCCAAAGTGCTGGGATTATAGGCGTGAGTCACCGCACCTGGCCAAATTGGGTTATCTTTTTATTCGTGTTTGATATTGTCTTTTTTTAATTATTGTTCAATTATCTATTTCTGTTACAAATTACCCCTAAAATTTAGCAGCTTAAAGCAACCAACATTTATTGTTTCTCAGAGATTCCAAGGCTCAGGAATCAGGGAGAGACTTAGCCAGGTGGTTCTGGCTCAGGGTCTCTCATGAGGCTGCAAAGCGTTGGCTGGGATTGCAGTCATCTGAATGCTCAGCTTCCAAACTTATGTGGTTGTTGGCAGGTTACAGGTCCTTTCACGTGGGCCTCTCCATGGGGCTGCTCACAGTGTGGCAGCTGGCTTCCTCTGGAGAGAAAGAGCCCAGAGAAAGAGGCACCAAGACAGAAGCCACAGTACCTTATAACTGTCACTACTGTTTATTTTATTGGTCACGCGGACCAACCCCAGTACAGTATAGAAGATTTTACAAGAGTTTGAATACTCGGACACAAGGATCCTTTCAGGCTGTTTGAAGGCTGGCTATCATACTTGATTTCATTTTTTTCTTTCCTCATTGCCAATCAGTCATGAAGCCATACTAGTTATTTCTTTGAAAGATCTCTCAGATTTGTTCTATCCTCTCGACACCTCCACTGCTACCATTCTAGTACCCACCTGTAACTCATTCCAGATCTAACTTCTCTCTTGTCCCTCAACCATCACACCCTTCAATTCATTCTGCATTTCACTGAAAAGAAATTTTCCTAAGATACAACTTTTGATGTATTATTAAGCTGCTAAATAATCTCACAATTGTCTATAGCTATGTTTTCCAAAACTAGACACAGTTGACTACTGTGCACTTAAAATGTGGCTAGTATAACTGAGGAACTGAATTTTTAAAAATTTACATTTAAAAACTAAAGCAGTGTTAAAATTTTTATATTGATTACATGTTAAAGTAACAGTATTTTGGATGTATTGGGTTAGAAAAAATATATTATTTAAATTAACTTTACCTGTGTCTTTTTACCTTTTCAATGGGGCTACTAGAAAATATTAAATTACAGCCGGGGACGGTGGCTCACGCCTGTAATCCCAGCACTTTGGGAGGCTGAAGTAGGTGGATCACCTGAGATCAGGAGTTCGAGACCAACGTGGCCAACTTGGTGAAACCACGTCTCTACTAAAAATACAAAAATTAGCCAGGCGTGGTGGCACATGCCCGTAATCCCAGCTACAGGCTGTTCCTCCCAGGGCTGAGGCAGGAGAATCTCTTGAACAGGGCAGGTGGTGGTTGTAGTGGCCGAGATTGCGCCATTGCACTCCAGCCTGGGCAACAAGAGCAAAACTTCGTCTCAAAAAAAAAGTTAAATTACATGTGCAGCTCACATTCTATCTGTATTAAACAACAGTGGTCTAGAACATTCCCTTCAAACTGACTGACTTTTGAGGCAACAGAAACAAGGCTTCACCTTAGCTATCCAACCTTATTTACCATTTACCTGTTCTTATTCCTGTCCCATGCATCTCTCCTGGATGTCTCTGAGTATATAATGTTGATTTTCTGCCACTGCTCCTCAGCCCATGCAATTCCTTATACCAGGAAAGCCATTCTTCTTTTATCTTCCTCTAAAATTTATTCATCCTAAAGGCTCAAGACTTATCTTTCTGCAGTAGTATTTTACTGTGACCTCTACTGAACTCTCCTACCTGAATTTCAATTACACTTCTAATTCATAGTTCATTACTTCTCTCTCTCTCTCTCTTTCTCTCTCTCTCCCGTCCCCCCACCCCCACCCTTTTGAGATGAAGTCTCACAATGTTGCCCATGCTGGACTCAAATTCCTGGGCTCAAGTGATCCTTCCACTTCAGTCTTCCCAGTAGCCAGTACTACAGGCACACATACTGCACTTGGCTTATGACTTACTTCTTACATGATTTTTTGTCGTAATTTAATGCTAATTTTCTCTCTCAAATTGTACATTCCTTGAGGATAGGAACTGTATCTTATATTTTGTCTGAATCTTTCAAAAACCTAATGCTGGGACATGGTAAGAGGGCTTACAAATTTCATATACTAATTATGAAGGAAATGTTGTATACAAATAACTTTGTTATCTTCTAACCAGTATAAACCTGGCATTAATGTGGAAAAAATAAGGTTGTAAAATTTATTTGTCAAAATGCAAGTGCTCTTTGATATAAGTACCCATAACATGTGAAAGATTATCCAGGAGCCAGCAAAAGGGCTGAAGGATGGAAAAGTAACTCCCTCCTGCTTTCCTTTGTTGGAAATCAATGATTGGCAATCAATGAAGGCTCTGGAGAAACTGCCAAAAAGTCATTCTTGTTGGACTGAGGCCCCTCAGCACACCCAGCCCTGTCCCATCCCCCTCTCCCTGAAGCTCTACCACCAATCAAGGATGTCTGCGAATGCCAGGAATGAAATGCAAGATGCTTATTTTAATTGTCCCAATAGCCCACTCCTGGAAGAACTTCTGAGATCCTGCCTTTTCCTAACTCTAACTGGCTGCGTTACCTAGTCAACTCTACCCTGCCTCCTCACTCATGGGGTGAGTAGGAAATCTCAAGACTCAGCCCTCTACCCCTTTCACGCCTCTTGGAAATGTGCTGCAACCCACTCGTTTTCCTTCCTTTGCATTTGTGATTTTTCTAAAAATTTACAAAATGGTCTTTTGAGTGAAGAGTGTGTTTGACGCCAATGTGCCTTGCCAAGCCAGAGCAAGGTTCTCTGACCCACAGTGAGCTCATTGGTCCCCACCCCAAGGACATAAGCATGGAAGTCTCAGAGTTACTCCTTTGGCCAAGGCCAACTGCGGGATGCATGGATGCACAGAATGTAGACCACCTGCAAGAAGTCCCTGGTGTCTTCCCAAACAAAGAGACCTGGGTCATACAACTAAAGGCCAGAAGTAGGGCATTGCCCAACTACAAAGACAAGAACTGGGGAAAATAGAACTTGATTCCCTGACTCCAAACAGCAGTGTTCATTTCAATTTATCAGTCACAAAATGGTGTTATAGGATACTGTGACAGCTGTAACCCAATAGCACTTAAGGGATTTACCATTTCCTCCTTTGCACTATGGGCATGAATGAGTATCCTTATGGATCCCAAGGTTTTGGAGGTACCAGCAGTTAGGTAATGAAATCCTCTGGATCCTTTCCCTTCCTTTTTGCTTGGTATCCAAAGCAAGTTAAATCAGCCCTGTTGCAAGGCTAGTATTCATCAGATAAGCATCAGTATGGCTATGTGATTGTTAAGACATTGAAATACTTCCAAAATGATTGGTAAATAGCCACTGCTCACTGCCAGACAACCTATTTCCTTGGGCCCAAAGGATTCCCAAGAGGGTACTGATGAAGAAACCAACCTGGCACCTGCCAGGTGACTGGCCATAGCTGACTACACTAGACTCCATCCCATGTGCTCATAGTGGGCCCAGATCCTTTCGGAGATGGCGCTCCTTGTGATAGTGCTTGCATACCAGAAGGGATCCATGGTGTCCATCATGCTGTTCCTTCCAGGGCTGAGACCACCTGCTGCAGGCTGGCACACACAGACTTACCCCCAGGGCACTTTAGTGTACCATAGCTCTTCAGTATTTTGAATATTACTCTTGCCTTTTTGTATGCTTGTGCTAATTATTTTGTGCAACCCAAAGAACAGGACTGGACCCATGCATTATGGTGGAAATATTGAAAGGATCACATAGGTTAAACTGGGAACTGAAAGTATTTGGAAGGGGAGCCACATCTGGGGCCCTTTCCTTTCTATCTCCCTCTCTTGTTGGCCGCATGGAACCTCATGCAAACTTGCGGAATGTCTGCTTCTATTTGGTGCTTTGTCTAATCATGGAGGGGCTATTATGATCCAGCTGCCGTGTTAGTGTTAGGCTCTGAAGGTTACATGGAGCCATGGAAGCACACAGTAGGGCCACCTGTTATAGTGTTGGAATCAGAGAAAGCTTCCCAGGAAAGGTAACTGTTTTAGATAGAGAAACTCTGCGCAGATGAAGCATAATAGGTGACTCCAGCATTTTGACAGTGGCACAATAGAGGTAGGGAAGGGTCAGGTCTCTAGGGACTATGAAGCCTGTCTAAGGGTATTTAAGCAGAAAGATGACATAATCGGATTTGACTTCTATCAGTATCACTTTGAAGCAGGGCCAGCAGACCAGAGAAAACTGATCTCCCTATATGTTTTCTGTACCTTCATACTAATTTGACTTCCAAGAGATTTTTATTTGCCTTCGCTTGTCTGATTCCAACTCTACTTCATGACATCATCTCATAATATTGCTTTTAAATAGTTATTTTTTACATTTCTATTTTGCTTTTATCACACTTGCTAATTGATTAATCTGTTTCTCATTTTCTGAACTCAGCAGAGCAATCTGATTAGCCTAGTGTAACTTTTTTGAGCTGTGAATGGACCAACTTGGATCAAGAGGCCATGGAGTTTAATCATCCATTTACATACTGGGAATGTTCGTGAGTTCCAAGATTATGTGGGTCTGGCAGGCAATTATGGCTTATTTCTCAGATCATCAACCAGTATCCATGCTCAGAGTGTTGATTCAAATAGCAGCTGATAAGCATAGGAGCATTTATAAAATTGGAAAAATTTTAAATAAAGATAGTTCTGTTAGACCAAAAAATGTGTGTATACATGTGCAGAAACATTTTAGAGAAATGCACACCCAAAATGTTAACAGTGGTTATGCACACCCAAAATGTTAACAGTGGTTATCCTTGGGGGATGGTGAAAATACGAGTGACTCGCTTCTTCTCTATAATTATTTACATTTTCTATTGTGTCACTTGAGACTAGATAGTTGTTTTGTAACAAATATAAAAGTGGTTTTTAAGGAAATCAGGGAGCATTACACATATCTGCCACATTTTTCCTTATGGCTAATTCCCAAAATACCTTTTGGACAAGTTTTGTCTTTACTACATGCACTTGATTTCTAGTGAGTTGCCACTAGATGGTGAATATACCACATCAAACAAGATTGAAAGGCTTCCATGTTTTCAATAAGCTAATCCCTCCAAATGAAATTTCTTAGAAAAAAAAGTCTTAATACATTTTTCAACTTTGAGATATGGCATACCAAAATATGTCTCTAAAGATTGAAATAAAAATACATACGTAACACATTCACAACATAACACTGACATTATAAAGACTTTGTACTGTATTTTCCAAGAACACAAGCCTTGGTGCATAGAAATAGTACAATGTCCATTTGTAGATTTAACATAATTTACATATTTCTAGTATGCAATGTCAAATTATCTTTATTATTTAAAAATATTCATTTTATGTAGATACAGTCTTGACCTCACTTTAGCAATAAATATTTAAATTTAGCATTAAAACATTCCCAAATGAGTAAATTGATCTGTCCTGCTAAGTTTGATAAGTTGGTTTACAAATTCTATGATGTTCTATGAAACTAGTATCACCCCGATACCAAAATCAGGCAAGAACACACAAAAAAATTAATCTCTACAGGCCAATATCGCTGTGAACATAGATGCCAAACTCCTCAACAAAAATACTAGCAAACCCAACCGAACAGCACATAAAAAAGATAATTCATCATGATCAAGTGGACTTTATTCCAGGGATGCGAGGATGATTCAACATTCTCAAATCAATAAATGTGATTAACCACATCAACAGAATTAAAAACAAAAACCATTTGATCATCTCAACAGATGCAGAAAAAGCATTTGATATAAACCATCATCCCTTTATGATAAAAACTCTCAACAAACTAGATACCTCAAAATAATAAATGCCATATATGACAAACCCACAACCAACTGATACTCATACTGAATGAGGAAAAGTAGAAAGCATTCCCCCTAAGAGCTAGAACAAGACAGGGAAGTCCGCTCTCACCACTGCTATTCAACATAGTACTGGAATTACTAGCTAGAGCTATCAGGCAAGAGAAATAAATGAAGGACATTCCAACAAATTATCTCTGTTCATTGATGACATAATCTTATACCTAGAAAATCCTAAAGACTCCTCCAAAAAGACTCATAGACTTGATCAACAACTTTAGTAAAGTTTTAGGATACAAAATCAATGTGCAAAAATCAGTATCATTTTTATGCACCAAATATTTTCAAGCTGAGAACTAAAGCAAAAGTTCAATCCTATTTATAATAGCCACAGAAAAGAATAGAATACCAGAATATATTTAACTAAACAGGTGAAAGATCTCTACAAGGAAAACTACAAAACACTGATGAAAGAAATTATACATAACACAAACAGAAGAAAAAAATCCCATGCTCATGGATTGAAAGAATCAATGTCCTTAAAATAACCTACCCAAAGCAATCTGCAGATTCAACACAATACCTATCAAATTACCAATGTCATTCTTCACAGAATTAGAAAAAAACTATCCTAAAGTTGACATGGAACCAAAAAAGAGCCCAAATAACCAAAACAACCCTAAGCAACAAAAACAAAGCCAAATGGCCTTACATTACTTCAAATTATACTATAAGGCTATAGTAACTAAAACAGCTTAGTACTGGTACAAAAAGACACACATAGATTAATGGAACAGAATAGAGAACCCCAAAATAAAGCCATATACCTACAACCAGCTGATCTTTGACAAAGTCGACAAAAATAAACCACGGGGAAAGGGCACCCTATTCATTAAATGGTGCTAGGAAAATTATCTAGTCATATGCAGAAGAATGAAACTGGACCCTTATCTCTCACCATAGACAAAAATTAACTCAAGCTCGATTAAAGACCTAAATGTAAGACCTGAAACTATAAAAGTCCTAGAAGAAAACCTAAGAAATATTCTTTTGGACATTGGGTTAGGCAAAGAATTTATGACTAAGACCCCAAAAGGAAATGCAATGAAAACAAAAATAGACAAATGGGAATTAAACTAAAAAGCTTCTGCACAGCAAAAGAAATAATCAGCAGAATAAACTGACAACCTACAGTATTACCTAAGTAATGAGGTACCTTATATTACAGAAGGACATTATTTAACAAATTAAAAGACAGTATAATCACCACATGAGAGATCTATTTCTTATCTCCTCTTGCCCTTTCAGTCTCTTGTAGAAACTATTTGCAAATTATGCCTCTGACAAAGTACTAATATCCAGAATCTACAAGGAACTCAAACAAATCAACAAGAAGAAAACAAAAAAATCCCATAAAAAAGTGGGCACTTCAGGAATTTGAGGCTACAGTGAGCTATGATTGTACCACTGCACTCTGCACTCTACACTGGGCGACATAGCAGGGCGATCTCTTGCCAACAAAAAAAAAAAAAAAAAAAAAAAAAAGTTGGTAAAGGACATGAACAGACATTTCTCAAAAAAAGACAAACAAGAAGGCAACAAACACATGAAAAATGCCAGTAAGAATAGCTATTATTAAAAAATTATAAAACAACAGATGGTAGCATGGATGTGGAGAAAAGGCAGCCCTTATACACCATTAGTGGGAGTGTAAATGAGCACAACGTCTATAGAAAATAGTATAGAGATTTCTCAACCTACCATTCAACCCAGCCATCCCACTATTAGGCATCTACCCAAAAGGAAAGAAATCATTATACCAAAAAGCCACCTGCCCTTGTATGTTTATGATGGCACATTCACAATTGCAAAGTCATGGAATCAACCTAAGTGTTCATCAATGGATGAATGGATTTTTTTTTAATGTGGTATATATATACCATGGAATACTATGCAGTCATAAAAAAGAATGAAATCATGTCCTTTGCAGCAACATGGATGGAGCTGGAGGCCATTATTCTAAGTGAAATAATTCAGAAACAGAAAATCAAATACTGTGTGTTCTCACTTACCGATGGGAACTACACCAAGGGTACACATGCACATAAAGATGAAAATAATAGACACTGGGGACTCCAAAAAGGGGGAGGTTGAGATGGGGGTAAAGGTTAAAAAAAATTTACCTATAAGGTACAATGTTCACTATTTGGGTAATGGGTATGCTAGAAGCCCAAACCTTACTGTTTTGTAATATATCCATGTAACAAATCTGCACATGTACCCCTGAATCTAAAATAAGTAAATAAACTTTTTAAAAGAGAAAAAACAACCCAATTCTCTGATATTAGCAAGTCCCAGGGAAGTATAATCAAGAAGATCTTCTGTAAAAATTATGGCCATTAAGCTCCACTGGGTTTCCCTATAATTGCTTGCATGTATGTATACATAGCAATAATAATATGTAAGTAGTATATAATTTTTTATGGTATGTTACAGTATATATATATATATACTTCCCTCTGATGGACCCTAGATTCCTCAATATTTGATATTTCTTTCAGGAAGGGGAAATAAAAGCAAATGAGTGTTGAAATGGTATGTTTTTCCACTTATATGGGAAAACGTTGAGTCCTTTACAGTCTCATTTATATTGTCCTGGTATTTAAGTGGCTGAGGCTTTCTACTATTCTAAATACTATATTCTCTTTTCCTATGGCAGATAAAGAAGGAGGTAAGGAAAAAGAAAATAGTAAAAATTGATATTCTGTTTTCTGATATTCACCTACGAGGTTCAGAAACCCTCCTTTGAAACTCTTGCCTCAAACTCCTAAATTAAAAAGGAAAAATGACCCATCCCACAATACTAGTGGTAAAATTAATTTAAATTTGTATAATTTCTGCCTACATTTAGGAGCAAAAACTCAGAGCACAAAGACAGTGGAAGGCAAGACAGCAATGTTTGATATGTGTTACTAAGATTCAAAGTTGCCGGGCACAGTGGCTCATGCCTGTAATCCCAGCACTTTGGGAGGCCAAGGCAGGCAGATTATGAGGTCAGAAGATCGAGACCATTCTGGCTAACATGGTGAAGCCCCATCTCTACTAAAAATGCAAAAAAAATTAGCCGGGCCTGGTGGCAGGTGCCTGTAGTCCCAGCTACTCAGGAGGCTGAGGCAGGAGAATCGCTTGAACCTAGGAGGCAGAGGCTGCAGTGAGCTGAGATTGCACCACTGCACTCCAGCCTGGGCAACACAGCAAGACTCTGTCTCAAAAAAAAAATTCAAAGTCAATGAGGTAGGAAATAATTTTCAGCTGATGAAAGATTTATGATAAATGGTAATATCAAAGCTTTTTTCCCCCAGTTTTGAAAACAAATTAGACAGCTGCTGCTGTACACTGTCTCCTAGACTCTGGAGTCAAAACCTCTGTACTCATCCGTAGATAAGACTGTCTAAACGAAGAGAACGGGAGACCAGAGATGCAGTGAAGTAAGTGGTAACAGGGAATTAGCTTCCTTTTCCTCATCTTGGTATCAAGCAGTGGGTCTCCAACTTTCATTTAACTCCTTGATCCTCACAGAAGTAACTAATAACTGCATTTGTTGCTATTTCCAAGATAAAATTTAACCGCATATGTCAAGTAATATATGGTTGACCCTTGAACAACATGGATTTGAACTGCGTGGGTCCACTTACAAGTGGAGTTTTTGCAACCAAACACAGATCAAAAATACAATATTTGAGGGATGTGAAACCCGCCTATAAAGAGGGCTGAATTTTTGTACACACGGGTTCTGCTGAGTCAGCTGCTGGGCTTTAGGATGCTCGGATTTTGGTATCCACAGTGGGAGGAGTGTTGGAGATCCCGGAACCAAGCATCCCGTGGATATCAAGGGACGACTATATTTAACCTTTCTTCATAACCTTGTGGAAAGAGTAAAAGAAGGAAAAAATGTGTATGAGGGAGTAGGGGGGTAGGGGGAATGTTAGGAAGAAAGAAACTATGTGAACTAAGTTCAAAAATAACCGTGTGTGTTCTTTCTGATTTTCCAGTGTTTTCTTTCCATTTATAACAGTTCATTTGTGGAAACTCTAGATTAATCACAATAAGCAAACATTTCACTGTTGGCACATTCTATTACAAGACTTGTGAAAAGCATTTAGGATCAAATACTCAATACGTATGAAGGGATTTGAAAGTTAAAATTGTTTTTAAGTTGTGAGGTGTTAGGAGTAACAGTACAATCCCATTTTCCCAAATATATTTAAAATGTCTCTACAGTGTTAACTAAATGACACACCTTATATCACAGAAGGAAATTACTTAACAAATTCATAAGACAGTATAATCAGCATATGAGAAATCTACCTCTTCTTGTCTCCTCTTGCCTTTCCAGTCTCTTGTTGGCTTAAGTTTTTACCAGAATGATTTGGTAATATCAGGTGTGGAAGAGATAGAATGGGTGCGGTTTAGGAAAATAATTTGATTCTGTGTATTGGACATTTTAAAGAAGGCTCTTAAGGCTCAATTTTTAATGCTTAAGAAATTAAATGACTTTTAAATGCACTATTCCCTATGAAATTAAATACATACTCATACTTGCCACAAAATATCAAAAGATAGACTGCCAAAATATTCCAAAAATAAAGGTAGGCAAACTTGTTCGAAAGCAAAATACACAAAATGGGGTAAGCAATCAGGATGTAAATATTCAACATAGCAAAGTATGCAATAAAATCATTTTACAAACTAAAATGTATCAGGGAGGATCCAAGAATAAGTTGATTTTAGAGTGGTCTGTGGAAAACTAAAATAAACAAGAAAATATCTAGGGAAGTTTAAGAATGGGAGGAAATGAGTCATTGATAACATGCTTGCTCCAGAGGATAACCTTTGTACCAAACGGCAGAGAACTGACATCTAATCAGCAGAGGTTGGCCTTGGCAGTTTATGAAGGAACGTCCAGAGGGAGCACAGGAAAGGCAGTCCAATGATCCTTCCCTGAATTTTTTACTCTTCGATGTCAGGCTTTAATTCCCTTGAGATGGGGGAATTCAAATCCTAAGGATTCGTAAACTCCAAGGCTTTGGCATTTACTATATTTAACATCTGCGAATTTAGTAAACAACACTTCTGTGGAAAGGTAAGGGAAAAAAAAGATAATTTCCATTTTATGAAGTTTAACGTATATGCAGTTTGTGTGTGTATGCATATGTGTGTGTGGATAGAGTGTGGTAAAATAAAGATTAAAAACTCAAGGCCCAATGAAAGCTTTTAGAGAGATGCCTATATTCCCATGCCTTCATGACTGTAAATATATCCGCTATGACATACACTAGAAATTTATCCTTTGCTTTTCATATCTTATCTACTTGTATCACTCAGGACCACATTCTACTCCCACTAGTTTACATAGGTTAGTAACCTTGCACCGTACCTTAAAAACACTCAGAGTTTTAAATGTTCTATCACAAATGTTAAGGATTCCTTCCCTGAATCATAAATGTGCTTTGCTTTCATTATACAATCTTTTCTAAGGCAGGTATTAATGATTTATATTAGTTAATGATTTAAAAGGAACACAAAAATAAGATTGTGCAACATGGAGTTAGGAATCTCTTACAACTTTATCAGTTCAAGTCTGGTCCTTGTTGTGAGTCAACCACATTTTTAAACTACCTAATAGCCTATGGTCAAGTCATTTTTACATATGCCTAACAAAAGAGATATAGGTGACAAGTGCTGTAAAACTATTTTTTTTTTTTTTGAGACAGGACTTCACTCTGTTGCCCAGGCTGGAGTGCAGTGGCACAATTTCGGCTCACTGCAACCTCTGCCTCCTGAGTTCAAGAGATTCTCCCACCTCAGCCTCCCAAGTAGCTGGGACTACAGGCACATAACACCACACCTGGCTAATTTTTGTATTTTTTGTAGAAATTGGGTTTCACCATGTTGGCCAGGCTGGTTGGTCTCGAACTCCTAACCTCAAGGGATCCACCTGCCTTGGCCTCCCAAAGCGTTGGGATTACAGGTGTGAGCCACCACACCCGGCCTGCAAAACTTATTATAGTCCAGTGAACTACAGTCAACACCAATTTCAAGTTTCCAGTAGCTGATTTCAAGTTATGAGGTGGAGCAATGGCAAGCCCCACAGTGCTGATCCGTGTGACAATTGGTAACTTCAATTCTAGTTTGATGTGATTGACATGACTGAGGAAAGGATATGACTGAGTCCAGAAGGGTTGAGAGTTGCCTACTGACATTGCTACCATTCACCTTCCTTATTCTAGAGGTCTTGGCTAATGTGTCATTAAAAAACGTATTTCAAAGGAATACTTCATGACAATGAAGTGCTCATATGTGGTGATTAGACAACAGCTTACAAAACAATATGTTTAGTAATATTTGCAAAAACAATACATACGTACACACAGAGAGATGACTGGAAAGTTATACCCTGAAATGTTACAACTGTAGTACATAGAGTAGGTTTTATTTCCTTCTTTATACTTTTTCACATTTTTCAGTTTCCACAAATTTTTCTTCATAATGTGTTACTCTTTTATTTATTTATTTATTTTTACTTTAAGTTCCGGGATACATGTGCAGAATGCGCAGGTTTGCTAAATAGGTATATGTGTGCCATAGTGGTTTGCTGCACCTATCAACCCGTCATCTGGGTTTTAAGCCCCACATGCATTAACTGTTTGTTCTGATGCTCTCCCTCCTCTCAACCCCTCTCCCACAGGTCCTGGTGTATGTTGTTCCCCTCTCTGTGTCCATGTGTTCTCATTGTTCAACTCCCACTTATGAGTGAGAACATAAGGTGTTTGGTTTCCTGTGTTAGTTTTCTGAGGATGATGGCTTCCAGCTTCATGATCTCATTCTTTTTTATGGCTGCATAGTATTCCATGGTGCATATGTACTACATTTTCTGTATCCAGTCTATCATTGATGAAAACTTGGGTTGGTTCCATGTCTTTGCTATTGTGAATAGTGCAATGCATTACTTTTATAAACACAAACAAGTCACTTGAAAAGAGTAAATAAATTTCATCTCGAGGTATAAATATTAAAAATATTTCGAAAAAGTGAATTTGAGCAGGAAATTACCCTATTGTTATTAAAATGCTATGCCATTGACACAGTAATCCAAAGAAGGATGAATGAAACTAAATAGAGGATCCAGAAATACGGCCTAGTGCATAAAAGAAGTTAATTTATGATACATCAATCATCACAGAATTGTGGGAAAAAATGTTTGCTCAATAAAACTTAAATAGTAAATAGTAAAAAAAAATTTGAGGAAATATAAATGAATATTGATCTGATCTTTGATTTAAAAGGATCTTAGGCATATAAACAAGAAAAAAATCCAGAGATTTGACTAAATAAAAACTTTTTAAATTTTGTAAATAATAAAAACACGTAAAACTAGGAGGCAAACTAAGAAAAAGTATTTGCCACAAATGTGATAAAAGGTTGTGACAAATGATTAATTCAATTGTTAATTGGATTAAACAAGATAAATAATAAGACTACAATATTGCTACTCTGTGGACATCATGAAAGCACAGACATAATGTGTTGTTCATTAAACCATTAGCATAATGATCAGAACATCATACAAGGAATTCTTATGTATTGATGAATTGAGAAATGGTCAAACATGAAAGTATGACTAAAAAAATGTAGAAGGTGTTGGAGGAGAAGGGAAAGTATCAATGGCCAAGAGACGTGGGAAAATATTTTATCAGTAATGAAAATGCAATTAAAAGTATGATGAGAAGTCAGGAGAGGTTTTTTGGCATTCCGCATGTGGTAACAGATGCAGTCATGAGATGGGTCACATCATTCACAGTGAGGAGTGTCTTGAATAGGTAAAATCATATTGTCAACCGAAATTCTAGGAATCTAACCTAAAGAGATACAACAGACACTTGATACTTAGGAAGGGTATATCTTCCAGACTCTAGGATTTTCCAAATCTGTGTTTTCACACTGTGTTCCAAGGAGCCCTGGGGTTCTGCAGAGGCATCCCAAAGTCGGCTTCAAAGATAGGAAGAAGGTTTCCCCAATGCTGCCTCAACCAGAGCAATTTGACATTTATCTAATTTGTATGTTAGATTACATGTAAGAACTTTTTCTTAAAGATTCCACTGAAAACATCAAAATGTGGACACCACTGTACTGTATATATAATTTCTTCAATAAAATGCAATGGAGCATTACTTCTCAAAAACTACCGGAGAAGTGGAGAATAGTCAGAGTGTTATATTCCCAAACACTAGCCTCACAGCATAAACTTAAATCCCTGTTTCAGGAAATGTGTAAATCACTCTATAATTACCTTGCAAATAGTTCAAAGCTCGGATATAAAATCTGCAAATATCCAGGCCCTGTTGCAGTAAGGATAAAAGATTTGTGTTCTATGATGATCAACTGTTTCCTTTAGTATATTTAGTCTGTCATAACAGGAATCAATTTCCACTCAGATGTTTCAGCTGAAGAGACTTTATTGCGGGAACTATTTATAGAAGTTAGGGTTAGGGTTGGATGAAAGGAAACAAGAAACATGGAGGTACCTAGGAGTTAGCACAGCTAGGCCTGAAGAAATAAGGGGAGGGAATCACGTTAGTAGAGCCCAGTGAAGGCTGGCACAGTGGAGCAGGGCTGCCTTGCAGGAGGAGCCTTCAAGGGACAAAGCCACCATCAGAACCCAGCCAGAAGCAGGAAAAGAGGTGGTGAAACATATCCTAACCTTTTTTCCTTTTCCATCCTCCAATCTACTGATGGTGTTACCCATTGGTCAAAACCAACTGGCATGAGACCCCAGCTGGAATAGTTTATGAAAAATTCCACCTTCTGAGGCACAGAGTCTAGCAGAGAAGAGCAGAAGATGGCACTAAAACACAACAAGTGGAGAATAACCAGCATATTTATAACAGAGAAATACAAGTCCCCCCTTACCTGTGGGGGATACGTTTCAAGACCCCTCATGGATATCTGAAACTGCAGATAGTACTGAACCCTTTATATACAATGTTTTTTCCTATACATATCTATCTATGATTAAGTTATTAATATAAATAAGGCACAATAAGAGATTAACAACAATTACTGCTAATAAAATAGAATAGCCAGGCACAGTGGCTCATGCCTGTAATCCCAGCTCTTTGGAAAACCGAGGCGGGAGGATTACTTGAGGCCAGGAGTTCCTGGGCAACAGAGTCAGACTCCATCTGCACAAAAAATTAAAAAATTAGCTGGGCGTAGTGATGCACACCTGCAGTCCCAGCTACTTGGGAGGCTGAGGCAGGAAGATCACTTGAGCCAAAGAGTTTGAGGCTGCAGTGAGCTATGATTGCACCTTTGCACTCCAGCCTGGGTGACAGAATGAAGCCCTGTCTCTAAAAATAAAACAGAAAAGTAAAATAAGAACAGTTATACAAATATATTTTAATAAAAGTTATACACTGTGGCCATAACTTTTGCAGTTTGAGGTACAACAGCAAAACTAACGTGAATTTCTTTTTCCTTCACAATTTCACAGGTAGAAGATTCATTCTTATCATAGATCTTAGCGACCTCAGCATATGGATTTTTTTCTTTCCTTACTAATTCAAAAACTTTTGGGTTTTCACTTAAAAGAAGCACTTTATGACTTTTCTTTGGCATACCCAAATTGCCAACATTACTACTCTTGTGTTTAGGGGCCATTATTAAGTTAAATAAGTGTTACTTGGACATAAGTACTGCAATACCTTGACAGTAGGTCTGACAACCAAGCCAACTACAAAGTGACTAACAGACAGGGGAGCATCTACAGTGTGGACACACTGAACAAGAGGGATGACCCATGGCCTGGACAGGATACAGCAGGATGGTGCACAATGTAAAACTTATGAATTGTTTTATTTCTGGAATTTTTCATTTAATATTTTCAGATCTTGGTTGATCATAACTGAAACCTTGGAAGCAAAACCACAGATAAGGGGAGACTAGTGTACTGGGAACTCAGATGTTCGATAATAGAGGAAACCTTAACTAAATAATGATATCAACCATTCTGCTATTAAATAAAAGTGCTCAGAAGAGCATTATGTAATCAGGGAGTACAGAAGAGAGAGCAACCAACTCCTTACAGAGATTGTAATAAAAGATTTTCCCAAATTAACAAATGAGGTGCTTTGTTGTCCCCCAAGCAAAGTTTCGTATATTTTTTAATTATATAAACAATACATTTCATTATGGGAAACATATACATAAAACAAAAAGCAAATATCTACAATTCCATCCCCTGCCCTAGACCACTATAAATATCTGTTTATATCTTTCCAGATTTTTTTCTATGCATTTATACACACATGATTATGTTGTTTTCGGGATCACACCATATTATTTTGTAAACTGTATTTTCCACTTAATAAATCATAAATACTATTTTATCCAATAGATACCATTCTGCAACATTTTAAAATTTTAACACTTTTTAAAAACTTGCCTCCGTGTATCTAGTTGTAACTAATTTTTATTCTCGGACATTTAGTTTGGTTTCTCTTTTGGCCATTACCAAATGTACTGTGATGAGACTTTACATTTTGGGGGTGATACAGTTTGGATGTCCCATTCAAATTTCATGTTGAGATATAATCTCCAGTGTTGGAGGTGGAGCCTGGTGGGAGGTGTTTGGATCATAGGGGCGGATCCCTCATGAATAGCTTGGGCCATCTCCTTGGTGATAAGTGTGCTCTCACTCTGAGCTCACAGGGATCTCATTGTTTATGTGGCTCCTCCCCCCCAACTCCTTCTTGCTCCCGTTCTCACCATGTGAGACATCTGCTCCCCATCACCTTCCAGCATGATTGGAAGCTTCCTGAGGCCCCCCCAGAAGCAGATGGCATTATGCTTCCTGTACAGCCTGCAGAACCATGAGCCAGTTAAACCTCTTTTCATATAAATTAACCAGCCTCAGGTATTTCTTTATAGTAATGCAAGAATGGCCTAACAAGGGTGGGGGGAGGGGGGGCAGTTTTTTTTTTTTTTAAACACACACACAAAAGAAAAGCCACAGAGACATATGTGGCCTTCAAAGCCCAAAGTATTTGCCATCTGACCTTTTATAGAAAATGTTTGTATTATAAATTTCCAGGAATGTAATTTTTAAGTCAAAGTGTGTGAACATTTTTGACGCTTTCACTACATTCTGTCAAATTGCTCTCCAGAATCGTTGAGCCAATTTACACCCTTCTCAGTAATGTATGAGTTTCTTTAGTTGCTATACATCCTACTCCAAGGGTCACTGGCCCAAATTACTAGCTCTGAGTATTATTTTATTCTCAATTTGATGGTGCATTATCGTTTTAAGTTTTTACTTCTCTTAAAAATGTTTGGCCATTTACATTTTTCTCTCATGATGACGAATTTGCATTTTGCTCATTTTTAGTAGGCTATTTTTTCTTTCTAAGTTCTCTTTAATGTTATGCTTATCTGTCATGTATATTGCAAATTTTTTGTAATTTTTACTTGTTTTTAAATTTTATTCTATGGGGTTTTTTTTTGGATAAAAGAAGTTAAAAGTTCAACAGTCAGATCTGTCACTTTTCCTTTGTAATTTCAGCCGTTGTTTCATGCTTAGTTTGAGATTAAAAGCAATTCACTTGTATTTTCTCCTTGCCCTTTTAAGACTTAAAAACATTTAAATCTTTTAATCCTGTTCAAATTTAGTGTCTGGGAAACATTTTAGAAGGATGAATAGGTAATATTATGTTAGTCCTGGAGTCAGATTGCTGGGTTCAAATTTAGCCTCACCAAATACTACATATTTCTGCAAATCACTTAAACTCTTTAAGTCTTAGTTTTCTTGTTTATAAAATGGAGATAACAGTAACATTTACCATAGGGTTGATGTAAGAATTAACAGTTATAAATCACAGAAAGTACTTAGCACAGTGTCATTAGCTATTATTATAGCAGCAAGAGAATACTCTCCCAGGCAAAAGCAATAACATGTATAAAGGTGCAAATGTATGAAATCTGTTTGCATATTCAGGGAACTAGATGTGGTGTAGTAAAATGAGGTGTAATATTCAAGGGGCAGAGTTGACAGATGCGAGGGGTGATGGGTCTTGAATGAGTTGTTCAGGAACTTGCTCTTGATATTATCAGAGATTGGGAGCCAATGAAAGCTTTTAAGCAAGCAAGAAACCCTGCAGATGTGTGGTAGCAAAGTGGAAAATGGACTAGATTCCGCCAGGTGCAGTGGCTCACGCCTGGAATCCTAGCACTTTGGGAGGCTGAGCTGGGCGGATCCCCTGAGGTCAGGAGTTCGAGACCAGCCTGGCCAACATGGTGAAACCTCGTCTCTACTAAAAATACAAAATTAGCTGGGCATAGTGGCAGTCACTTGTAATCCCAGTTACTAGGGAGGCTGAGGTGGGAGAATCGCTTGAACGAAGGAGGCAGAGGTTGCAGTGAGCCAAGATCATGCCACTGCACTCCAGCCTGGGCGACAGAGTGAGACTCTATCTTAAAAATAAAAAAAAAAGAAAAGAAAAGAAAAGAAAAATGGACTAGATTTATATCCCTTGCTCCACCCTGTCTTCCCCAAATTTAAATTCCTGCTTCCTAGAGGCAAATTCTTTCACCTTCTATGTCTCTGGTATTTATCTCCTTACTTTTAAGAATCATGTTTAAATTGTTTCTTGATTTTGCCATCATAGATATGATTATGAGGCTAATTAAACAGTAATCCTAACCGCTCTGAGAATGGACCTAAGAAATGAATGTGAGAAAGAAAGTAGAAGCAGCCCACTTGCTAGTGAGTGAAAGCCAGGGAAGGGTGGGGGGATGCGGGGAGAAATTGTCTCAAGTTGGAGAACCCAGGTGCAGGCTGGGAGCAGTACCATGAATTCCATTCAAGAAGCCAAACGTTTTAAGCACCATTTCCTGGAGTTTGCCAAGTTGAGTATTGACCCAGCCTCCTGTCTTGTTGGTTCCTCACTGCTGAAGAAGACCAAGTGTTGACAACTCAGTGAGGCAGTCTCAGCTGGAGTGGAAAAATGTAGCTAAGAAAACGTGCCAGACAAAGCTTTAAGCAGAGCTTCCCAACTGGATGCCGTGAAACGAATGACAGGGATGCAGATACAGCATGGGTCTTCCCAGCCCTCCAAGTGCAAGGGCTTCTGCAGGAAGCCTTCTGCAGGAGCAGCCTCTTCTGTTTACCCCCATTTTGACCCTTGTAATATCATCCTTTCCTACCTGTGCCAAGAAGTGAAAAGGTGTGTGAAGCGCCGCTTTAGAAGGCCCAGTACATTCACAAACATCAGCTTCTGGGCGAGGCTGCTTGGCCTCTTCTATTCAAAACTTTGTGTTGCCCTTTTAAGGTTTCTATTCCCCCCACCCCCACCCCGCCCACCAACACCCATTCCTACCTAGGTTCAACCCAAACCATCCTTAAGGTACACTGAGTATCACAGCACCAAAGGCTGGAGAGAGATAAGTTCCCCACCCTTGATGCGCTTCCTGTCCAGGTGGCCCGAGGCCCACTCCTTAAGAGGCAAGGCCCAGAGACACTGCTGTGTCTTGAGGAACATCCAGTACACCTGACATTTCCATTAGAACAGTGGGACCCGGATACCACTGGCAGGAAGTCCATCTTCACAGCTGCCAACCCATCTGTCAAACCCGCAGTCCCCTATGAGAGTACAGATGAATGGAGGAGGAAGATTTAAAAGTGAATTCGTGGGCGGCGACAAGGAAACAGCAGCCGTGGCCAAGCTGACCCCAGAGCCCTTCCCTTCCTGGCCCTCCCTCTGAATCATCGCGCTCCACTTGTGACGTCGCGGACGCCCGGCTCGGGCAGGCGTGGGGGGCCCGCGCGTCCCGGGAGCCCCGAGGCGGCAGCGCGCGTTTCCACGCCGCGGTCCCGCGGGAAAGCCGGGGGCGGCGGCCTGGCTGAGGCCAAGCTCGGATCCGGTGCCGAGCCAAGCGGGGCCGTGCGTCGCCGGGGCTTCGCCTTCGCTCGCGTGACCTCCGCCGTCCTCCCCAACCCTCGTCCTCTGGCCGCGCCTGCGGCCGCACGCCCAGCGCCCCTCGCCTAACCTCGCGCCCGGGCCGCGCCTCCTCCTCCTCCTGCTCCCCGCCGCTTCCGTTTCTCGAGGGAAAGGCTGCTGCCTCCTGCTCTGTCCTCATCCCCGGCTTAGGTAACACGTTTTCCTCCTTACGACACCCACCACAGGGTCCCCGCGCCGCTGCCCCTCCTCCTTGGATCTGGGGCCCGGGCTGGTGAGCGGCGCGCGCCGTCGCCTCTCCGCGGGT
This sequence comes from Homo sapiens, assembly GCF_000001405.40. Classification (NCBI taxonomy): domain Eukaryota; kingdom Metazoa; phylum Chordata; class Mammalia; order Primates; family Hominidae; genus Homo; species Homo sapiens. The sequence continues at coordinate 190,344,077 of NC_000002.12, forward strand.
AGGTGAGTCGATGGCGCCGGGAGGGTTCCTCGCCTCTGCGCGCCGGCCTGCGAGGTCCCTGCCCCGGCAGCGAGGCCGCCCCCGGCCGGGCCCGGCCAGGCATGCCCGGCATCGCCGCTGCAGCCAGCGCGGAGGGGAGCTCGTGAGTCCCGCGGCGCCCTTGGCCCTGCCCGAGCGGCCCGATGGGGTTGGGGGGCGGGAAGAAAGGGTGGCAAACAACGATTTTAAAAATCCAGTCATTAGTATTTGTAGGACGAAGAAGCTGATCTGACAGTTGTCCAGAGCAGTGGCCCAGCTGCAACAGGTAGATGGCGCAGCTGTCAGTGACCCCTTGGTCTCAGCCTTGGCTTTGAGAGATGCATCTGAGTGTCCCTAGCTGCCAGCTACCTCCAGTGACCTACTTGATGAGTGTGAAATAAATATGATGGGACTATATTTAGAAAAATCTTTACTTCCTTGCTGTTAATTCTCTCTGCATTTTGAAAGGTGGTTTTGTGAGGTGTGCATAATTAGTTGGTGTGTCCAGAGTGGTAGCTGGAAAAAAATATTTAACCTGGGTTTGGCCCTATCATGTAGACGGTTAGGCGCAAAGAGTGTGAAAGGAAACGCTTACTTTAGTACATCTGTGAAAAACACTTATAAGAAACCACGGCTTGTTTTTTGGAGATTTCTCATTTTAAAGGTATTTTTAAAGTGTTGAATAAGCAGAAGTTTGCCCACTGTATGATGGTGTTCACTTCAAAAGAACAGTGGGTTAAAAGTATGGACAGACCACTTAAGTGGATCCCATCTGTTGAGTAAAAGATTTTTTAGCCCTTTTACACTGATTCCTAGCTTTGAAGCCAGAAAAGTTGATAAGGATCAGCCCTGCTCAACTTGATAATAGTATAAGGATGAAAGTAATCCACTGAACTACTCTTGATTGGTGAATTAGCTAAGTGATCTCATTCTTACCTTTTAAAATAGAGAACATAAGGGAAAAAATAAAGGCAATGGAAGAATTCATTTTTTCAATACAGATATTTGTTTCCATTCTTATGTAGAGCCTACTTTATTTTTAAGTTTTTATGGATTTTTATACTACTTTTGAAGTCAGCTTAGTCATGAAGAGAATTATGTCAAATACATAGAGTTACACTGTACTTTTTGTGTAGAATAAGCTACCACTTTTCAAGCTTTTGGACTAAACCACCGCTTGCTTGGAAATTGCAGCTTTGACTAATGCCCTTTAAAATGATATACCTTATTATAGATTTAAATTATAGCTTTCCTTGTTATAGTCCTGAAAAAAATGAAAAGATAATTTCTTGTTTGACATAGAAGGCCTGTGAGACAAAAGTTATAAAGGTTATTATATATTTATTTTGCTTTTTAATTCTGTCTCTAATAACAGTTAGAAAATGTCTCATTCTATTTCATGTTATACAGAAATTGCTTAAAAGATAATTATGTTATATAAAGTGATCAATGAAAACAAACGTCATCTTCATTTTTTAAAGGTGAGGATGGTGTATATAAGCACTTTTTCCCGATGTGAGTCCTTATGAATGTTCTTGTTAAAATACTTTGAATCTTGTAATGAAGTTAATAAAACTATGTTAATGTGTTTGGCTGAGAGCTTAGAAATAAAGGCTCTGGCTGGCGTGGTGGCTCACGCCTGTTATCCCTGCACTTTGGGAGGCCAAGGCAGGTGGATCACTTGAGGTTAGGAGTTCGAGACCAGCCTGGCCAACATGGTGAAACCCCGTCTCTAGTAAAAATACAAAAATTAGCCAGGCGTGGTAGCAAGCACCTGTAGTCCCAGCTATTCAGGAGGCTGAGGCTGGAGGATCCCTGGAACCTAGGAATCAGAGGTTGCAGTGAGCCCAGATCGCGCCACTGCACTCCAGCCTGGGCGACAAAGCAAGACTTCATCTCAAAAAATAAAAATTAAGTTAAAATTAAAAAAATAAAAGTTCTGCTTCCCGTCTCCTGTGATTGATGTTGGGTACTGTTTCTCAAACTTGTCTGATTGTAAAATTCCTCAGGGTAGTAGGCAAGTCGGGGAGTGGGTAGAGTATAATAGTGGTTTAAAAGATTCCCAGATTGCAACTTGAGACTTCCTGGATCAGAATTTCTAAGAGAAAGGAGATATTTCAAATAGACAAAAATGATAAAATTTTAAAATAGTCAACAACAACAAAAAAGGTGAGTTTGGGAAATGCAGGTGGGAAATGACTATTGTTGGAATGAATAGTTGATAAAACTTATTAGGACTCCTGTACATAAAATGTTCATATATGGAAACTGATTTTATTAATATGATGAGGCCACTCATTTAGGAAATCTGAAACTTTTATATTTTTTTCTGGTCAAGCTTCTGCTGATCAAATTTAGCAAACATATTTTTGCATGTTTAGTCTTTTTTATGTGGTATGTAATGTTAATTCAATTTCTTGAATGTGATAAGAGCATTTTATTAATGGATGACTAATGCAGATTACTGTAACTAGTAATCCACAGCAAAATATTGTACCTAATAATTTCTCTTTCTTTTTTTTCTTTTTTTCTTGAGAAAAGGTCACACTCTGTCATCCAGGCTGGAGTACAGTGGTGTGATCATGGCTTATGCAGTCTCCACCTCTCAGGCTCAAGGAATCCTCCCACCCCAGCCTCCCGAGTGTCTGGGACTACAGGCACGTGCCACCATCCCAGCTAATTTTTAAAATTGTAGAGATGGGGTCCCACTATGTTGCCCAGGTTGGTCTCAAACTCCTGGGCTCATGACATCCTCCTGCCTCAGCCTCCCAAAATGCTGGGACTACAGGTGTGAGCTGCTGCACCCAGCCTAATTTCTTTCATATTATAGATTTATTTGTTACCTCTTCCATGTGCCTGATTAAATAATTATAGGCAAGACAGGCATGCAAATTTGAATACCTTATTAGTAGCTTTTTTTTTTTTTTTTTTTTTTGAGACAGAGCCTCACTCTGTTGCCCAGGCTAGAGTGCAGTGGTGTGATCTCGGCTCACAGCAACCTCTGCCTCCCAGGTTCAAGCGATTCTCCTGCCTCAGCCTCCCGAGTAGCTGGGATTACAGGTGCCCGCTACCACACCAGGCTAATTTTTTGTATTTTTAGTAGAGATGGGGTTTCACAGTGTTAGCCAGGATGGTCTCGATCTCCTGACCTCGTGATCCACCCGCCTTGGCCTCCCAAAGTGCTGGGATTACAGGCGTGAGCCACCACACCTGGCTCCTTATTTGTAGCTTTTTAAAAAATGACTCTCAACCCCATTCAAAAAAGAAAAAAAAATTTATTTGGCCCTAAAACTTGGTCAGTTATATATAAAAAAATTAAAGAAATAGAATATTAAATACCTATAAAATAATTTGACAAGATGAGTTACCATAATGGAAAATGTCAGAATTTATTTTCCTTTTCCTTCTTCCTCTTTACATTGCTTTTCTTTCTCCTTTTTTGGGGGGGGATGGAGAGTGTGTGTTATTTGCTCATTTGTTTTTATTTTTAACCAACTAAATATTTAAAATATAGTAAATTATCCATGTTTAAATTAATTTAAATATTTGCCAACTTTACCAATAGATATTTAAACTTGCCCTTTTCCTCTAAAGTGACAGTGGTAGGCTTTGCTCAATGCAAATGAGAGTAATAATTCATATCAAAGGAGTTAAATTCAAGTGACCAAAGAAAATTGTTCTTTTAACATTGCTTAAGGAAAGCATAACTTAAATTGATGCCATAATTTTTCATTATCAGCAACTCTTAAAATGAGGATGGAGGCTGGGCATGGTGGCTCACGCCTGTAATCCCAGCACTTTGGGAGGCCAAGGCGGGTGGATTACCTGAGGTCAGGAGTTCGAGACCAGCCTGGCCAACATGGCGAAACCTGGTCTCTACTAAAAATACAAAAATTAGCTAGGTGTGGTAGCGCGTGCCTGTAATCCCAGCTACTAGGGGGGCTAAGGCAGGAGAATCGCTTGAACCTGGGAGGCGGAGGTTGCAGTGAGTCAAGATCGTGCCACTGCACTGCAGCCTGGGCAACAGAGCGAGACTCTGTCTCAAAAACAAAACAAAACAAAACAAAACAAAACACCGGTGTGGTTGCTGTATGAAATCAACTTAAATAGCCTAGTGCCCTTCTTTAAACCTAATTTTCCTATCGCTACCCCCACTTGTTTTTTAAAAATATAAGTCAACAAATATTTATTATGCCCTTATTATGTAGATGATAAACATCAAAAGCTTTTGAAATGTGCATTTCTTTGAACCTGTAATTTTTTGTTTTTTTTTAACTTTAAAAAAATTGTGGTAAAAGATATCTAATATCAAATTTACCATTTTAACCGTTTTCAAATTACAGCTCAGTGGCATTAAGTACATTCACTTTGTTATGCAACCATCAGCACTGTTCATGTCCAGAATTTTTTCATCATCCCACACAAAAACTATACCCATTAAACAATGACTCTACCCTCTCTTCCCAGCCCTAGTAACCACCATCCTACTTTCTGTCTCCACGAATTTGACATTCTGAGTACCTCATACAAGTGGAATCATAGAGTATTTGTCTTTTTCAGTCTGGCTTATTCATGTGCCATAATGTCTTCAAGTTTCATCCATGTTGTAGCATGTGTCAGAATTTCCTTTCTTTTTAAGGCTGAATAATATTTCCCAATCTCATTTATATGAGAAGTAGATATAAAAAACAGAGAAGTTTTGAACTGGAACAGATCATAGAAATCATCCAATCCAACCTCTCTGCCCCTGCTTTTCTTTTCCTTTTTTATGTTTACAAAATGGGGAAAACAAGTCCTTCAGAGCTTACATCATGTGGCCGAGTTTATATACCTGATTGGCAAAACAGAGCCTAAGAACCAGCTCTCCTGTATCCCAAGCAAGGCTCTTTCTACCGCACACCCTGCAGGCCCATCCAGGCCCATCCAGACAATAAACAGTAAGTGTTAAAGGAGTTGGTGTCTCCAATTAGTATGGCATGAGTTCTAAAGGAAAGATAAATTGACTTTGGAATCTTCCTTAATTAATGAAAAATGTTACATTCAAAATAGATTGAAGATTAAGGCTAGGTGTGGTGGCTCACGCCTGTAATCCCAGCACTTTGGGAGGCCGAGGTGGGCAGATCACCTGAGATCAGGAGTTTGAGACCAGCCTTGCCAACATGGTGAAACCCATCTCTACTAAAAATACAAAAATTAGCCAGGTGTGGTGGCATGCACCTGTAGTCCCAGCCACTTGGGAGGTTGAAGCAGGAGAATCACTAGAGCCTGGGAGGCGGAGGTTGCAGTGAGCTGATACTGTACCATTGCACTCTAGCCTGGGTGATGGAAGCGAAACCCTGTCTGAAAAATAAAAATAAATTAGTAAGATTCTAGATTCTGATTAGCAGTGATCAAAATTATAAATAATATTCTATTGGAAAATATTCTTGCTTCAAACCATACATCTGACCCTTTTTTCTGCCTTGAATTTTGCATCAAATTTGTATTTTTAAAAAATTTATTCTTTCTGATAGTTAAGATAGTTACATTGCATCTGCTTCTATTTGTATACTATCTGATTTCAGGTTTCATTTGTGGCAACAGGGTTCTAAAAACATCTCTTAGCATACAAAAACTTAAGCATATACTGTAGTTGGAACACAGCAGAAAAAAAAATATCTAAATGAACAAAGTTTCTCTTTAGTGAAAATATTTCCAACTATGGAAAAGGGAGTTTAAAAAATAAGGTCACTATCAAACTTTAAAGTTTTTGTCGGTTTGTTTGTTTTTGAGACAGAGTTCACCGTGTCACCTAGGCTGGAGTGCAGTGGTGTGATCTTGGTTCACTGCAACCTCTGCCTCCCAGGCTCAAGTGATTCTCCTGCCTCAGCCTCCTGAGTAGTTGGGATTACAGGCATGCGCCACCACGCCTGGCTAATTTTTGTATTTTTAGTAGAAACGGGATTTTGCCATGTTGGCCAGGCTGGCCTTGAACTCCTGACCTCAGGTGATCCACCCACCTCAGCCTCCCAAAGTCCTGGGATTATAGGCATGAGCCACCATGCCCAGACAAATTTTAAGGTATTTCTAAATGGAATACTTTTTCACAATTTTCAGATGAGTTCTGAGAAGTATCCGAAATTCATCCTTTATAAAATTGTTACGTTACTACAGAATACTTACTATGTAGATCAACTATTTTTTTCCGAGCATTTAATTTACTTTACAAAAAGGCAATATAAGTTGACTCTTAGTGGAACAAGGCTCCCTGTTCTGTTCTTAAGCAACCAGTGAGTGTAGAGCTGACTGTTGCACCTGTTGTTTCCTTAAATTGTTGGATAAAAATCAGCTGACATTCCCCTTTCTAAAAGTCTCTATTTTTAATGTGTCTTACTTCTTGATCTTAGCTGATTTGGAAAACACAGCTTTAGCACAGGCTTCCATATACAAGCTATCAGAACAGCATTTGAGAACAAGGGACATCTTTGTAGCCTATTGCTTTGAGCAGCTTCAGTGAGCAAAAATGTAGGCTAATGTGGTCCATTGGTACACTTGCTCACAATAGAGCAAGTGTAGACTGACCAGCTTAGAGTAATGTGTATGTCATCATCATTTGAGATGGAATTGAAGTTTGAAGGTTAGGGAGGAAAGAGAGAGAAATGTTAGGGTTAAATAAAAGATTCACATATACCATATTTAATATCTTTTCTCACAAAACCAAATTAAACTCACTATTTTGAGTGATTTAATTAAATTAATCTTGTCACAGATAGGTCACCTCTAGATGAAAGGGGATAATTTTAGATTCTGATTTGGTGCTCCAAAAATGTGGTTCAGTTGCTAGTTATTCAGATACAGCCTTGGTTTGTTCTTGTAAATGAATACAGAATATATGTAGACTTTTATACAAATATGGGCCTGTATGTCTAATGCTGATAAAATCCAAGTACAATAAACAGTGTGACAAGGATGAATTCTGTATTCACAAAGCTAAGGGAAAATTCATCAGCCAACATTTATTGAACACCTCTGAGTTATGCAGTACGAGTCCTAAGACAGCAAATGCATTTAAATCTCTTGTTAGAGCATAAACAAGTAAACCAATGCATAGAGTGTTGGAAAGCTGGGATAGAGATTTGGCCCATCTCCATTCCCCCATGGCCCAGGTGCCTAAGATGGAGGAGGAGTCAGAAATGTCTCCTGAAGGAGCCAACAGTTGAAATGATTCTCCTTTTGCACATACATTTTTAAAAAACAAACCTTTTTAGTGAATTAGAAATATACACATAAACATTAGGAATCTCAGCAGTTAGCTAATAAATTGATACAAAGTCAACCCACTCGTGTAACCATCACTCATATCCAGAACATTACCAGAGCTGCCATCAGTAACCCCACCTTCTTCTCCAAGGACACCACCATTGTGACTTCCAACGTTGCTATAGGTTGGTTTTGCCTGTTTTTGAACTTTAAATTGATTAAATGGCACAGCATATATCTTTTGTGCCTGACCTCTTTCACTTGACAGCATGTTTTTGTGAGATGCATCCATGTTGTTGCCTATTGTCGCAATTCATTCATTTTCTCTGCTGTATAGCATTTCATTACATGAATATGCTGCAGTTTATTCCATTTTACTATTGATGCTTGTTTGGGTTATTACCAATGTTAGATTATTACAAATAATGCTGCTCACAAGTACGTGTCTTTTAATCCATACCTGCATGAGTTTTGTTGGGTAAATATCTACAAGGGAAATTAAATTGCTGGATCATAGATTATACTTATAGTCAACAAATTACAAATAGTTTTCCAAAATGATTATACCAATTTCATTCATGCCCGCAGTTCATAAGAGTTTCTGTTGCTCCATACCCTTAGCAAAACTTGAAATTTTCAGTCTTTTTTATTTTAGCTATTCCATTGGATACATAGTGGCACCCTGTTGAGATTTTAAGTTGCATCTTCCTGATGACTAATATGGTAGACTGTGTTTCTGTATGTTTATTGGCCATTTGGATATCCTCCTGTATGAAGTGCCTATTCAAGCTTCTTGCCCTTGAACTGATTCTGAGAAGGTGAGTGAGCATTAGGTCGAGAAAGCAGGAAGAAGGGCGTGTCAACCAGAGGGAGCAGCATGTGCAAATTTACAATCTTCCCAGAGCAGGAGAGCAAATGGATAGTGCAAAATCAGCTACTAAAAGGCTAAACTTAATCAGAGCCCATGAGGTAATGACAGCAACATCACCCGGATCAACATGAAATAAGACCCAGGAAGTACAGGCAGTCCCAAACTGTAATATTTATTGGATCCTGAGAAATGTTTGACAGTCAAATATCTGAAAGTTGAACATGGCTTATACACTGGGAAAACAATTTAGTTTTCAATGAGCTAAAAGGCAGTATTGCAAATCTCTAGTAAGGCTTGTAGTACAGTTTCCCTCTGGCCTCACAGGAATCTCAGGGGAGGCTACCATTAGCAAGTGACACAACACAGCGAGCCCCCCCTCCATATTTAGTGTGGGCCCACTTCCATTCCCCTGTCCCTTCTGCACAAACAACCTCCAATCTTTAAAACTACTCCCCAAGGCAGCCCTTGAGTATGGAGCAAAGGAGAGGTGGGACGAAGTCTATGTTTCCCCTACAACAGCAATGTGATCTGAATAGAACCTTGGCCACTGCCATCATGTGGCCACCTACACAGACTCCTGGACAGCTGTACCCCCTTGGAAAAGGTCATGAGAAACACCTTCTTGTAAAACACCCAGATATTTCACGGAAGCTTGGCCTTTTCCACTAGCAGCAATAGCTGTCAGGCAGGCCCACCACGCAATAGCTTCAAATTGCCATTCCTCAGAAGATGAGAGCCAGAATTCAGGATGTGAACCGTGGGGGTGGGGTGGAGTCAATGCGCAATGGGCAAAAATGTGTACTCTGTAAAGTGTTGAATTATCTGCCGGAAGAGGGAAATGTCAACAGAAGTGCTTTGACCCGCTTGCCTATTGATTAGAGAGCAGTTCTGTTTTGTGGCAGGCCCTTATCTATGTCATCACCCTTCTGTCACTGTGGACAACAAAAGGGCACAGCCAGCTTCTGCTACAACCAGGCTCTTCACATGAGAAGGAGCACTCTGGGCCCTAGAATCCTCACAAAATATCTCCCTTGACAGAAAAATGGCTCTCCCAAGCCAGTCATAGACTGTCTACCATGAAGCCAGAGTAGTCTCAGCCTCTAGGAGCCAGGGTTTCCACCCAGATGCCCAGAAACTGAAGCAATCAGATCTGGCCGACAAAAAGGAACTTTATTTGGGTTACTCAGAGAATTGCAAGTAGTTCCCAGGCTTTGGATTTAATGGAGTAGTAAGTTTTAAGAAAAGGTTTCAGTGACCCATATAAACTTGCCAACCTCTTACTTTCTCAAGTTAAGACATGTGACTGTGGTTTCTGTGAGGTTGTATTTCAGAGTCATAGCTATCATTTATTATCTGCCATGTGTAAAGCTCTGTGCTCTGTGATATTTTTCCAGAAATATCTCATTTGATCTTCACAACATCACTGCAAGGTAACTATTAATCTTTATATTAAAGGTAAAGAGAGAGTCTCAGAGAGGGTAAGAAAATACCTGATGCCACACAGCTAGTTAGTAGCAGAGTTATGTTTTGAACCCAGGCCTTTCTGATTCAAAAGCCTGTGTATTTTCCACTATATAGTTTATCCCATCTGAAATATGTCTAAATTATTCAGATAGGATTTTTAAACCTCTGATGTTCTGATAATGGCTGGAAATTTGAGATTTATCTTTGTGGAGAGGTTTGGGTTTCCAAGAAAAGTCTTAAGAACCTTTTTTCCTTCTGACATACTTCAATTCCTTTAGTAGCTCTCCAACTGGACTAGACAATCCTACAAAAGCAAAAGAGACCCTAATTCTATCTGACATTGTGACACAATTTTATGTTAAACATATAGATACGTACATTTGGTTTGAGATGGAAGGAATGAAACTTCTTTAAGCCCATTTTGCTGAAATGTGACTTGAAATAGATTGTTACAAAACAAGGCTTATGAGAGGTTCAGTGCTCACTGCAATATTAATTACTTGGCTGTTAAAGCGAATAGCTTTTAGTGGGAACGACTGCCTCACAGATGTTTCTTATTGACGACATAAATGGGGAGGAAAACACTATCCCATTTTCACTTTTGGCCAGAAAACAAAAGACAAAGGAATAGATTGTGTCAGCTAATAGATTGGGTCGCTAAGGTAACCACGGCCTGTCTTTCAGGAGAGGTTTTAGGGGCTAAATTATGTTACTTCAAAATTCACATGTTGAAGCCCCAACCCCCAGTACCTCAGAATGGGACTGTACTTGCAGATAGGACCTTTAAAGTTTATGTGAGGTCATACAGGCGGATCCTTATCCAGTCTGACTGGCGTCCTTGTAAGAAAAGGGAGACATGCCAGAGATTAACGCCCACGATGGAAAGGCCAGGTGAGGCCACAATGAGAGGGGCCGTCTGTGAGCCAAGGAGCAAAGCCTCAGGAGAAACCAGTCCTGCTGACACCTTGCTCTTGGACTTCCAGTCCCCAGAACTGTGAGAAAGTGCGATTTTATTGTTAAGCTACCCAGTCTTAACAAACTAACACCAGAAGAATTAGGTATTGGGCATGCCCCCTGCCATCAATGCCATGACAGTTAAGGGAGACATCAGTGGAACTTAATAGATGAGCTTTTACTACCCAGAAGGGTCCTTAACAGAGGCTGAAGATCAGCTGGAGAAAAGGTTTTTCTGAGAGTAAAAGGGAAGTCAAATAGTGACGTATAATGATCAAACCTAGTGACAGATATCAACTAGGGGTGTGTGTGTGTGTGTGTGTGCATTTTTTTTTTTTTTGCTATATAATGTACCTTATAATACTAATGTACTTATGATTATTATCCAACAATTACTGATTTTCCCTTATTTTAATAGTTAACAATTGATGAAAAGATTTCACTGGCTAGAGTACTGGTCAACAGTGGGGGCTTCTGCCAGCTTGCCTAGGTTTGAATCTTGTCCCACAACTTCCTAGCTCTGTGATTTTCAGTAAACAATCTCCTTGTGCCTCAGGTTCTTCATCTGTAAAATGGAGATAATAGTACCTACTTCCTAAGGTTATATAAGAATTAAATGAGTTAATACATGTAAGGTGCCTAGAAGGATGCCTGGCATATAGTAAGCACCTAGTAAATGTTAGCTGTTTCAATTTTAACCTATCTCTGCACAAGAATAACAGATAGCAAAACCATTGTACCTACATTGTTTCACCAAGATACCTGCCAGCAGGTGCCAGCTGCCACTAAAATTGCCAGCATAGAGGTAAAGAAAAATAAGCAACCTGGAGAACTGGAGCTATTAAATCTGTGTTTAGAGTTATACAGGTTGCTGACAAAAATACAGATTCCTAGGGCTTGTCTCCAGAGATTCTGATTCACTAAGCTGGGGTAGAGTCCAGCAATCTGTTTTTTTAGAAGGCCATCTTGGGTAATTCTGATACAGGTAACTCTCAGAACATCCATTGAGAAATACTAATCAAAAGGAATTTCTTCTATAGTCAAGGCTATTAAATTATGGTAAATGCCATAACTTACTAATCATAAGTCTATAATAATTTTTATTTAAAGTACAGTGTTGAAATAAAGTGGTCTTAGGTGAATGATGAGTATGTAAACTTACTTTTTAAAAAATCATCTACTTCATCACGCAGTTATCAAGCCTAGTACCCATTAGTGATGAAAGAATCTGTACAACAAACCCCATGACATGGGTTTAGCTATATAACAAACCTGCACATGTAACCCTGAACTTAGAATAAAAGTTGAAAAAATAAATAAATTAATTAAAAAATCATCTGAAAGATAATTTCCATGAGTTTTAATAAATGTATTGATAAAATGGAAGAATAAATTCTGCATTAGATGTAGCCTTCAGTTTCTCCATAGACAAATTATTTCAAGTTGAGCCATTCAAGGTTAGGATGAATTGTGCAATGCTTCCTTCAGGTTTGTGGCCTGCCTGTGTGAACTGAGTTGAGGATACATGGAGAGCCAGGGCCTTGGAGAAAGGGAAGTAGCTGAACAAATGCTGGGCTCATTAGCATGGCTGGTGAAAGTGGTTTCAATCTGAAACTGGGCAGTTCAACCTGGAACTTGACAAAATATGACAGTGTTGCCTAGGGCCAAAACGAAGAGTGAACTCTGGGATAACCTTGGAACTGAAAAACCTGATTATTGTGTTATGAGAAATTCCTAAAATCGGTAGACCTGTTCATTACAGGGCTGCAGTGAATAGCCAGTACTTCTTTCCCATTGGTCAAGTTGCTGTGCTCGCTAAGCAGCAACTGCTCAGGTCAGGTGAGAGTGGTCATTATTGAGGAAATAAAGGTTGGGCCCAAAGAGGACAAATTCCAGATTACTGCAGCATTTGTGCTGAAACTCACCAGGGTTAAATTGATGAGCTTTCTGCGTGAAAGAAGGGAGTGGTGGTGATTTCCGGAGCTTGTAGCCAGGGTGATTAGCTCGCCTGAGTGTTATTAGGGTGTTATAAGGAGTGTTTCTTGGTTATTCAACAGTGTAGTTAGTATCGTTTCTTTTAAGAAAAAAAATTGATTTTAACACTTGAATAAAAGAAACACTGCTGATATTGTTTATCTTGAAAGCTTTCAAATCGGACTCCTTGAGATCTTCACGCTACTGTTAAGGTAAAGAGGTATTTTGATACTGTTGATTCATTGATTCTTCTGCCTTATAACCACAGAACATTTACTAAGAAATAAAAATTAAGGTTACTGAATGTATACTTTTGTGGCCATGTATTATACTGAGATATGTATGCATATCTGTGATTGTATATTATACTTAAGTTATAATTTGTGGTATATATATGTCATATATGCCATCAATTATTTCTAAGGCAACGTGCCGCAGCTTTATTAACGCAGCTGTTTTTCCTAATGTTTAGATTCAAGTCAACTAAAGTAAATCTTCCTACATAGCATTCATTCCTGAAATAAAAGGCATTTAAGTAGGCAGGTGCTTTTGTTTGAGTTTTCACTAGATCTTTTCTATCACCTGAAAGCTTTTTGCATTATTACCGCAGTCTCATTTTATTTAGACATTTGCCTCGAGGGGCTGAGACATTCTTATACCTTCATACTTAATTCCCCAAGACATTTAAAAATGTAATTTATTATTATAAAAGCACTGTATATTTCCTGTAGAGTATTTGAAAATTATAGAAAAGCATAATAAAAAATCATCCATAATTCCATTACTCAGTTATAACTACCATTAAAACATCACCTACTAATCTTCCTTTCAAGCTCTTTCTCTCTGTGTATGTGTATAAACACAAATGGATAACATACTCTCAAATTATATATGGTCATAGGTAGTTTTTCCACTTAACATTAGTGCATTGACATATTTCCATATTATTAAATATTCTTCAAAAACATGATTTTACCAACTGTATAGTATTTTGTTTTACCAATATTTCAGATTATTTTCAACTTGTTGTAATATTAATCCTCCTTGTGCAGAAATATTTTAACTCAACTCTGATTGCCTTAACACAGATTGAGGGAAAACTGGAGTTACTGACTAAAGGCAGTGACATCTGCAGGGATCTTGACACATTTTTGTCAAATTGCCCTCTGGAAACCTAACTTGTTTGCGTGCCCATTAGCAGAGCATCTGTTTCACCACATCTCCAAGAGGGAATGTAAACTTTAAAACATATACAATAGTCAAAGAGGATGTCTCGTTGCTTGTATGCCCTTTTCTTTTATTACTACTGAGACTAGACATATTTTCTCATAGTGGTTGACCTATAATCTTAAGGAGAGAACATATTTTTTAGCAAAATTGTTTAAGATCAACTATTACAAATTACATCTTACTCCCATTGCATCTATGTCTTCAGAGTTGTACTAATTCTCAGCCTCCCAGAGTCCATTAAGGGAATTTTTTTTTTTTTTTTTTTTTTTTTGAGACAGAGTCTTGCTCTGTCACCCAGGCTGGAGTGCAGTGGCGTAATCTCGGCTCACTGCAACCTCCGCCTCCCAGGTTCAAGTGATTCTGTTCCTCAGTCTCCCGAGTAGCTGAGACTACAGGCGTGGAGCACCACGTCTGGCTAATTTTTGTATTTTTTTTTAGTAGAGATTCACCATGTTGGCCAGGCTGGTTTTGAACTCCTGACCTCAGGTGATCCATGCGCCTTGGCCTCCCAAAGTGCTGGGATTACAGGCATGAGCCACTGCGCCCAGTCCCGGCTAATTTTTATATTTTTAGTAGAGATGGGGTTTCACCATGTTAGCCAGGCTGGTCCTGAACTCCTGACCTCAAGTGATCCGCCTGCCTCGGCCTTCCAAAATGCTGGGATTACAGGCGTGAGCCACCATACCTGGCCTATTAAGGGAATTTCTTTTAATGAAGGAAACTGTATTATGATAATAAATAGCCTGGGCTTGTGTGCAGGAGCAATGCCAAGCCTTGCAGTTTAGCCTTCTGTAACCCTGAAGAAGTTACTTAACCTTGCTATACTTCAGCTTAACTATAAAACAGGGTTGATAATACAATAATTCTCATGAGATAGGAATTTTTCAAGCTTTTCCAGTAAGAGGTAGCTATTATTAAAAATGAGAACTGTTTCTCTCCTAATTGCAGGAAAGCCCCAACAGATATAATCAAGGTATGATAGCATAACACTCTTAGAAGCCAGAACTTTTCAAGTCTCAACAAGTTGCATGTTTCACCTCATTATTCAACCGTTTACTGGGTAAAGGAGCAGCATAGATAGTGGGACTTTTTTTTAACGGGGTGTGAGGAAGTTGGCAATGAGATGGCTTGTGCTACTAGCCTAAGAATGACCTCAGGGCCTTGCAGGACACACAGTGCTTGCTGGTCTGAGGCTGGGCGCAGTGGCTCACACCTGTAGTCCCAGCACTTTGGGAGGCCGAGGTAGGAGGATCACTTGAGCGCAAGAGTTTGAGATTAGCCTGGTCAACATGGTAAAACTCCATCTCCACAAAAAATACAAAAATTAGCCTGGCGTGGTGGCATGCATCTGTAGTCCCAGCTACTCAGGAGGCTGAGGTGGGAAAATGACTTGAGCCCAGGAGGTCAAGGCTGCAATGAGCTGTGTTCACACCACTGCACTCCAGCCTGGGTGACAGAGTGAGACCCTGTCTCAAAAACAAAAACAGCAAAAAAGGTGCTAGCTGGTCTGGTACTTAGTACTTTAGAAAAGTTGCCCTGGATAACACGGTGAAACCCTGTCTCTACTAAAAATACAAAAAATTAGCCAGGCATGGTGGTGGGCGCCTGTAGTCCCACCTACTCGGGAGGCTGAGGCAGGAGGATGGCGTGAACCCGGGAGGTGGAGCTTGCAGTGAGCGGAGATCGCACAGCTGCACTCTAGCCTGGGTGACACAGTGAGACTCCGTCTCAAAAAAAAAAAAAAAAGAAAGAAAAAAGAAAGTTGCCCTGGAACTGACAGCATAAGTCCTCATCCATTTCTTCTCCCTTCTTCCCACAGGGTGAAAGAAAGCACTACTTCAATATTGCTGCTAAGCATATGATCATTCTAAGGTCATTACAAGAATTTGACTTGCCTTTAGCATTGTGCTTGTGTGTCCATCTGCCTGTCTCTCTAGGGATTTAGATTTTCATTCAAAGATTTTTCTGTCACTGAGAATTTAATTCTTGGTATATTTTTGAGAGTGTAAATTTTTTTTCAAGATTTAAAACAATAAGCTTCAAATGTTAGATTGTATCTAGAGTCTTCCACACTGAGGATGTGAATATGATATAGACTAGCTGTTCACCAGGCTGACCAGGTTGACTGCCAAATGGGTTGTTAGTAGTGCCAGAGGCACCCTGACATCACTCTCTGAACTGCTTTCTCTTTCACATTCTTGTATTTTTCCAGCTGACGGCCCAGAGGGTGGGTGCCAATTCCACCAGCAGCTGCAACTGAAAAGCAAGGTTCAGAAATGTCAGATATCCTCCGGGAGCTGCTCTGTGTCTCTGAGAAGGCTGCTAACATTGCCCGGGCGTGCAGACAGCAGGAAGCCCTCTTCCAGCTGCTGATCGAAGAAAAGAAAGAGGGAGAAAAGAACAAGAAGTTTGCAGTTGACTTCAAGACGCTGGCTGATGTACTGGTACAGGAAGTTATAAAACAGAATATGGAGAACAAGGTAAGAAAGGTCATAGCCAAGGTAACTGCAAAATAGTTGCATCTGTGGCTTTCTCCATCATAGAATAGCATGCCTTTTGCTCCTCACCCCTATCAGTATACTAGCACCTTGATTTCAAGTAAACATCTTGGATTTTCTTCCTCCTTGTCATGATTACAGTATTGATAAAATGTTCATTGCAGGAAATCTTTAAAATACAGAAAATGAAATAAGAAAATAAAAATCACTCACAATTCTAATACCTAGAAATAAACACTTCAGTATAGAACCTTCCACTTACTAATGAATTTCTTCTTAATAAATAATACATGTTTTCTGGAAAATAAGCAAAAATAAGAACCCTCTTAGTCCCACCACTGGAGAAAACCACAGCTATGCTTTGATAAATATTATAACATTTTCCTTCTATGTGTATGTGTGTACATGACACATACAATGTATTGCAACAGAAATAAGAGCACACTGCTTTGTAACCTGTTTTTTTTTTAACTTGATATGTTAAGTCCTACCTTGTGGATCTCATCATTTATCTAGTGGTTTCTTCAGTTATGAGATTGTAGCTGGAGACTTAAAGTCTCCTTTATTCTAGTAGAAAAATACTGTTCTTTGTTATAAACACACAAAGATGTTTATATGTTAATATAACAATGATTACGACTCTTTCTGGAGCTGACTAGAGAAACCGTATTAATAAGTAGAAATAATAATACTAGCAGCACTTATAAATGCTATGTGCCAGCCACTATTCTAAAGTCGTCGTTAAATATATTAACTTATTTAGCTCTTATAACAATTTGATGAAGAACTACTATTACAATGCAATGGGTGAAAAAAGGGAGGCACAGAGAGGTTAAGTAACTTGCCTAAGGTTGCACATCAAGTAAATGGTAGGGCCAGTTTTTGAACACAGGCAGACTGGCTCCAGAGTCTGTGTTCTTTGCAATATTATATTGCCTTTTATATGATAATCTAACCATTACATTTGGGAGAATAGAACTTTATGGCAGAAAGCATTATAAAATATTGAAATAATTTCTATGAAATTTTCAAAATATTGAGAATCATTTAGAATCGTTTCAGTGAAATCTTGACCACAGGCGAAGAGATGAAATGCCATCATGAAATCTCTACAAACTATACTTTTTCATGTCATATAAAATCTTGCTCCGATAAACTAAATGAAGCAAATTTATTTTTCTTTTTTACTTATCAATATAGTTGGGTGCAAGGGATGGTTGAGCAACTGGATTAAAAATGTATCAACATTAATTTTTATGGGCTAATATTTGCCTCAAAGCATTATAAAAATTTCAGGCAGTTGTTTATTCATGAGCTAAAATAAATGATATTCCATTTTAGCTGTATAAAATATCTTTATTTCATGAGGCTTTTGTCTTGTAATCTCAGAACTGGTCTTTAAGCAGGCTTGGGAGACTGAGTTTCAGCCCTTGATGAATGGGCTGGTTGCCAGCCCTTGTTGATTTGTACTGTCCCACAAAATAATATGAATAATAAGTGTTGTGGGCATTATTAAAGCTATTGGTCATCTGCAAATGACCGAGTTCAAATATTTGAAGCACGTCCTTGCTTTTGTTCCCTGAGAATATGTGTATCAAAATTTAGGACATATTTTGAGAAAAATTATCTTTATTACAGAGAGGATCAGAAGCAAAATGCATCAGAAAGCTTCGTGATCATACAGAGATGACAGAAGATTCTTACTTGACTCCATTTATTCACTCTATATATTGATACTTAAATTATTGGCCAATAAAATCTTTCTCTTTTTTCATATCCCCTTCCTAGCCTGAATGATGATACATCTGAGAGTGGGGAAACAAACGCCTGAAAATAAAAACAAAATCGAATGTTATCTATCCTCTAATTCCTTCTATCCAGTCTCAAGTCGTGCTTTTAGATACTTGATCAACGAAATTGCCTTGTATAAGCTACTGGGATGTTGTTTAAGAGCAATAGTTAAAACATGTCCTTTGCAAATATTCGAATTCTATGGCCCTTAAGTAGAAGGATGAAGTTTCTAGAAGTACTTTTGCAAACTAAACAGGACATAAGGGAACCAGGCATCTACCATGATTTTGACTTTCTAGAGGGGCAAAAGAACAGAAAAATATTAGAAAATTAAGCACTGAGCCAAGTTGACTTCGTTTTTTTATACTTGGATTGGTTTCTAGAATTGGAAATTTTGGAATTTCAGTTCTGATTGTGCTATTTAATTTGAAATATAAAATTGAAATCTGTTCAGAATTGAGCATATGTGTGGGTTTTTGTTTTGTTTTTCGTCATACTCTGAATCATTCAGTTTCCAGGCTTGGAAAAAAATATTTTTGGAGAAGAATCCAATGAGTTTACTAATGACTGGGGTAAGTATAAGAATCTTAATGTGTCTTTGTAATTTAATTATCATATGGTATTCTAGTCTCTAGTTTATACCATGAACTAAATGTTTGGAAGCCACTTACTGTAAACAACATAATATATTTGAATGTTAAGGTTCATTCAATTTCTACCTCAGAATATCATGCCATTTAACTTAAGTAGAGAGATGTGGTATCTTAGAATAATTTAGCAAGTCCATGTATCATTTTAGATATAAATCTGTGGCATTTAAGTAACTTATAACTCAAGCTTTGGGAAAATTGCATGGCCCTTTGGGAATCTAATGTAAGTTATTAATGCCCCAAAGATGCCCATCTACAAAATTATGCAGACAATTTCAGATCCTAGGTTTAAACCCATCTGTGCGCTCTTGGGGGAAGTCCATGGACCTTGGCTAAAAGTACAGAGGTGGCCATGGTTCTGAAATACTGTGTGATCTTGAGCAAATTAACTCATCATTTCTCTAAGTCTCAGAACCTCTGTGAAGTACTTGGATTAACTAAAAGATTCCTTTTAGTACTAAGTTTTTTGGTTTGTTTGTTTGTTTTTGAGACAGAGTTGCTCTGTTGCCCAGGCTGGAGTGCAGTGGCACAATCTCGGTTCACTGCAACCTCCACCTCCTGGATTCAAGCCATTCTCCTGCCTCATCCTCCTGAGTGGCTGGGATTACAAGCATGTGCCACCACACCTGGCTAATTTTTGTATTTTTAGTTAGAGATGGGATTTCACCATGTTGGCCAGGCTGGTCTCAAACTCCTGACCTCAGGTAATCTGATTTCTTTCAGAGAAACAATTTTTTTTTTTAGTTTGTTTGGATTTAATAGTAGAAGAATAAAATAGTGAACATTAAATACTGATCATGTGACAAATACTTATATATCTAGAAACACAATTACAAAGAAAAAATGAGTTTCTAGATTAACTCTGAAAATTTTTTAGTCTCCTTCATGCACCACATATTAAGATGCAGTTAGTTCTATGTTAGTAATACGGGAAAGAAATCTTTTAAACCTCTGAAGGTTAAAAATAACACTTATGCCTGACTTATAAGCAATCTTACATTTAAAAATCTACGCTTGACTACTTCACAAACAGCTATTTTAATACATCATTTGTCTAGAATTATAGAGGCAAAAGGCATAGCCACATCCATTTTCCTGTTTGTTAAAAGGGCAGAGAAATGTGGAGAGAGGAAGAGGAGAGATGGTGATGATGATATTGCAGGCAAGACCAGATCATAGGAAGGGATTTAGATTTCCCTCTCAGTGGGATGGGAGGTCTCTGGCAAATTTCAAGCAAAGGAGTGATATAATTTCTTCCTTTGAATGATCCCATAAGTTTTACTGAGCCCAGAGTAGGTGTGCAGTAAGTAGCCATTATTAGCTTTATTATTCCCCAACTTTAACAGTCTAATTTACTTTGAATTAAGTTAATTTAACTAAATTTGACTGTTTCTTGCTGATTCAGTCATCACTGTAATAGATGTATATTGTGCTTCCCACACTTTACTGGTCATGTAATCGCCTCAGGATCTTGGTTAAAATTCAGTAGGTCGGCCGGGCGCGGTGGCTCACGCCTGTAATCCCAGCACTTTGGGAGGCCAGGGCGGGTGGATCACAAGGTCAGGAAATTGAGTCCATCCTGGCTAACACGGTGAAACCCCGTCTCTACTTAAAAAATACAAAAAAATTAGCCGGGCGTGGTGGCGGGCGCCTGTAGTCCCAGATACTCAGGAGGCTGAGGCAGGAGAATGGCGTGAACCCGGGAGGCGGAGCTTGCAGTGAGCGGAGATCGCACCACTGCACTCCAGCTTGGGTGACAGAGCAAGACTCCGTCTCAAAAAAAAAAAAAATTTCAGTAGGTCTGGGGTGGCATCTGAGGTTCTGATTTTTTTTTTTTTTTTGTTAGATGGAGTCTCCCTCTGTTGCCCAGGCTGGAGTGCAGTGGCACAATCTTGGCTCACTGCAGCCTCCGCCTCCCAAATTCAAGCGATTCTCCTGCCTCAGCCTCCCAAGTAGCTGGGATTACAGACATGCTAAGCTACCTGCCACCACGCCTAGCTAATTTTTTTATACTTTTATTAGAGACAGGGGTTTCACTATGTTGACCAGGGTGGTCTTGAATTCCTGACCTCAAGTGATCTGCTTACCTCAGCCTCCTAAAGTACTGGGATTACAGGCATGAGCCACCACGCTCAGCCTAAGGTTCTGACTTTCTAATAAGCTCCCAGCTGATATAGACACTGCTGGTCCTTGGAATAAGAAGGGTAGAAGTAGCTACCTAGATAGCTACTAGATAGCTAGGAGTATCTAAAACGTTCCAAAGTGCCATGTTTTCTTAGTTTTTAAGATTTTTTTTCCTCCACTGCTGTCACTTCTTGTTGCTATTAACTTGCCTATTTTTTACCAGCCTCTTCCCTCACTTCTGTCAAGGGCTGAAACCAGATTAATCAAGGGTCTAAGAAGCATGTTTAAAGCGATGGTAAAGCACCTGGCCTCGGTAACTTATCGTTTCATTTGAAGAAGCAGCTTTGCTTATGTTCTGGTTCTCAATGGGCTCCACAGAGGAGAGCTATTTATATGTATACCATTTAGAGGCATAAAGTTTTACTACATTTAAAGATTGGTATATACCATTTTATGTTACTTAGCATAAACAATTTTAAGTTAAAAGCAATATCATATAAGGAGGTAGAAGCACTTCGGTGTGTTGAAAAACCTCCATTCTTTTCAATAACATATTCAGACACGGACAGGGTGACTTAAGTATATAAAAAGTCAAAAGACAAATTTTAAAAAGATTAATGATCAGGAATTCAGGAATTGTTAACTGGCCTATGTATCCCTTAACTGGGATACAAAATTGTGCCCACATGGGCATTTTTCTAGGGAGGTCTTTTGATTCCTGAAACCCATCTCTTACTATTCAGGTTAAGTGCCTGGGTAGCCACTGAGCATCTGACTTGATGAAGCCCCACCAGGTGATTCTGGCAGTCAGCCAGGCATAGGAACTGCTGGGATGGATATATTGCCCTCAATCTAAGTGCACAGCTTTTGATTCACTCTCTCACTGGCTCACTCTCTCTCTGTCTCTCTTGCTTGCTCTCTCGCTCTCTCTGTCTCAATCTTTGTCTCATTCTCTCGCTGTCTCTCTCGCTCTCTGTCTCTCTTGCTCTGTCTCTCTCTGTGTCTCTTGCTCTGTCTCGCTCTCTTGCTCTGTCTCACTGTCTCTCGCTCACTGTCTGTCTCACTCTTTTGCTCTCTCTCGCTCTCTCGCTCTGTCTCGCTCTCTCTCGCTCTCTCGCTCTGTCTCGCTCTCTCTCGCTCGCTCTCTGTCTCACTCTTTTGCTCTCTCTGTCTCTCTGTCTCTTTCACTCTGTCTCTCTCAGTCTCTCCCTGAATCTCTCGCTCTCTGTCTCGCTCTGTCTCTCTTGCTCTCTCTCGCTCTTTCGCTGTCTCTCTCGCTCTTTGTCTCTTGCTCTCTGTCTCTTGCTCTGTCTCGCTCTCTCGCTCTGTCTCTCTCTTGCTTGCTCTCTGTCTCACTCTTTCCCTCTGTCTCTTTCACTCTTCCTGTCTCTCTCTCGCTCTCTGTCTCTCTCGCTCTGTCTCACTCTCTCTGTCTCACTCTCTCGCTCTGTCTCTCTCTTGCTTGCTCTGTCTCACTCTTTTGCTCTGTCTCTTTCACTCTCCCTGTCTGTCTCTCTTGCTCTCACTCTGTCTCACTCTGTCTCACTCTGTCTCACTCTCTCTGTCTTGCTCTCTCTGTCTCTCGCTCTTTTGCTGTGTCTCTCGCTCTCTCTGTGTGTCTCTCTCTCACTCTCTTGCTCTGTCTCTCTCGCTCTTTCGCTCTGTCTCGCTCTCTGTGTCTCTCGCTCTCTCTCTGTCTCTCTCTCTCGCTCTCTCTGTCTCTCTCACTCTTTAGCTCTCTCTCTCTGTTCTTTCTCCACTGAAACTCTTGAAATGTAATGGCTTATCGTGTGGCTTTACCCTAGGGGAAAAGATTACCTTGAGGTTGTGTTCAACAGAGGAGGAAACAGCAGAGCTTCTTAGCAAAGTCCTCAATGGTAACAAGGTGGCATCTGAAGCATTAGCCAGGGTTGTTCATCAGGATGTTGCCTTTACTGACCCAACTCTGGATTCCACAGAGATCAATGTTCCACAGGACATTTTGGGAATTTGGGTGGACCCCATAGGTAAGTATAGGAAAGTATGTTTGTTCTTATTTGCAATCTTTTTTTTGGTGGTGGGGTTGGGGATGGGTGTTGGAAAAATAAAAATTATTGAGTGTAGTTTAACTCTGCTAGAAGTTTTTAAAATTTTAAAGTTTTAAAACAATGAGAGTTGAGGTGTATGTGTCATGTGTTCTGTATATATACATATATATTATAGCCGTGTGTATATATATACATATCTATAACAGGTGTGTGTATATACACACACATACATACAGGCACACATGCAAAGATGAATTAACTTCTCTTCAAAAGACTTCAGGGACCAGACTGGTAAGTAAATGAGAGAATGAAGTGAGAGCAGTTATGACCAATTGAGCACACATACCATTTAAAGAGCACTTAGCTTTAGCAGATTGTTACCATATGGG
Organism: Homo sapiens; assembly: GCF_000001405.40. Lineage (NCBI taxonomy): Eukaryota > Metazoa > Chordata > Mammalia > Primates > Hominidae > Homo > Homo sapiens. The sequence goes on from NC_000002.12 coordinate 190,367,306, forward strand.
AGTACAGGCCAGCTCTTCAGATTTTTAAAGAGAAACCAAAATCCAAGGTTTTCAGCGATATATCCCAATTTCTAACCGTTAGCTACTAATTCAGTTAAAGAAGGAAACAATCAAAAAAACACAGTACAGGTCAAGCAAAAAGCTGAATGTGACGCATGAGCAGTTTGTGAGCCCTGCATGAGCTCTACATTTTTTTTGGTCATGATTGTGATAGAACCATAATGTATAATCCATTGTTTTGAAAATGTAACCCTTTTTTTTGAGACAGAGTCTCGTGTTGCACACAGGCTGGAGTGCAGTGGCACAGTCAGAACTCACTCACTGCAGCCTTGTCCTCCTGAGCTCAAGCAATCCTCCTATCTCAGCTTCCCAAGTAGCTGGGACCCAAGTAGGTGGCAGAGTTGCATGCCACCTCACTAGGCTAATTTTTTATATTGTTTTTAGAGAAGGGGTTTTTACCATGTTTCCCAGGCTGGTCTCGAACTCCTGGGTTCAAGCGATCTGCCTGCCTTGGCCTCCTAAAGTGCTAGGATGATTACAGGCATGACCTACCATGCCCAGCCAGCCTTTATCTTCAATGATGCTATTAATACAAGTTCTAGGTAATAATTTTAATAAGCTCCCCCTTCCTTTTTTTTCTTCCCCACCCAACACAATGGGACCATTCAAGGACCAGGCAAACTCCTCTCTGGGCCCTTCCCATCCTACAAGTGCATTCACAGGATGATACTGAAATGGGTTTAATCTTCAGATAATTATATCACATTCAGCCAGTGGATGATATATGGAAACTAAAAACCTTTCCCCAAATCTTTGATCATTTAAGGGTAAATTGGCATCAGTTATAGTTTCTGAGGGACAGAGATCTCCTGTTTCTTGGTTCCACCCTGAATTGATTCTGTTTTTGAGCTCTTTGAGTCTTTTGCCAGGCACATCCTTAGCCGTGTGTTGACTCCCTAGACGTCAGCAGTCAGCTGCTGGCATGTACATCTCTTAAGGGGAAACCTAGTTTCTCTGCCTCTGTTTCATAGGAGCTCCGTTAATTTCTTTTTTTGGTGCCACCATCATTGTCTCTTTCTTCCTTCTAACTTGAGGGACCAAATAATAATAGTAAAAGATAATATTACCTGTGACCTATTACAGGAGGGGGGCTTTTCTTTTTTTCTTTTCCTTTTTAAAATGTTTGTGGGTACATAATAGGTGTATATATTTATGGGGTAGATGAGATGTTTTGACACAGGCACACAATGTGAGATAAGCACATCATAGAGAATGGGGTATCCATCCCTTTGAGCATTTATCCTTTGAGTAATAAACAATCTAGTTACACTCTTTATTTTAAAATGTACAGTTAAGTTCTTATTGATTATAGTTACCCTATTGTGCTATCAAATAGTAGGTCTTTTTTTTTCACCCATTGGAAGGAGGCTTTTCCATCTCACATTGTACTAGTCCTCTGATTAGTAGTATTTCTAAAATAATCCCACCAATTATTCTGGTTATTACTTTTTCAATGCTTTTGATAAGTAACAAATATTTGAATGCCTGTTATATACAAATTGCTATGCCACAGGAACTATAGACACATCCTCTCCCTTCAAGAGTTCTCACAGTCAGGAAAATGAAACACAAGCAATTTAAAAGTAAAGTACAAGAGGCCAAATAACAATTCAATACAGTGACATCCAAAGGTAAAAAATTATTGGTTACCAAATCAGTAGAAGAGAGAAGTCATATGGAACAGAGTCTTCTAAATGATCTTTACCTGAATCCAAACACATTTGTTTCCTTTTTCAGATTCAACTTATCAGTATATAAAAGGTTCTGCTGACATTAAATCCAACCAGGGAATCTTCCCCTGTGGACTTCAGTGTGTCACCATTTTAATTGGTGTCTATGACATACAGACAGGGGTTCCCCTGATGGGAGTCATCAATCAACCTTTTGTGTCACGAGATCCAAACACCCTCAGGTAAAAGGCAAATATTTTTGGTATATTATGGTTGTTAGAACTTACGACCTCAGCTTTGCTTGTTGTTAGGATTATCACTATATGACATTCCCATGACTTAACACATGGGAGTGTTGCCATTGAAAGTCTGCGTATTTGAATTAAAGTTCTATTTTCAATCTTGGATTTGCGTAATTTTATTTCAGGCCAAGTGCATGCTGGTAGAAATTTTAAAATTAATACTATCCTGTAGAAATCATAGTTTTACATTTGGAATATAGTAATCCTGTTCCCTGTTTCTAGAATCCACTCAAAACCAGATAAGTAGAGTGGTGGTAACACTGCCTTCCAATACATTGGGAATAAGACAGCTGCCATCGCTGTATAGCCAGTTGAACTTTGGTATAATTTTAGAAGTTCAAAACAAAATGTGAAAATTATCCAATGAAAAGATTGGTAGGCATGGCCAGGATCAGAACCTAACTCACACTCCCTTTCTGCCTCCTCCCTTCCACTCTTCCATGCACTCTTAAACAGAGCGTAGAAAGTGGCCAGGACTCAGCTGCCTCTGATCCATGGCCTGTGCTTTGGGGTTGACTCCAGGGCATGGCAAAGTCCAGGTGGAACAAGCAGTTCAGCTTTTTATTGAAATAGGTCATATTTTTTCACTTATATAGGATTACATATTTTTATTGAACCTGAGCTGCTTCAAGTAACAATCATTTGCTCTTTAATAGTCATAAGTTTATACCTCTTAAGTTTTAATATTTTCCCCCTACCCCCACCATCTTCCAAACTAAAAATAGGTTTCTGCTATCTTTAAAAGGTTAATAAGAAATTAAAAAGAATTGGAACAATATGCAGACATAATCATGGCCTAGAAATGGAGGTGGTCAACAAAATAGTTTATGGCACAGATTCAGAGTGAGACTTTGTGGGTTTGAATGCAGATTCTACCACTTTCTAGCTGAGTGGGCCTCAGCAAGCTACTTACTTTCTCTAAGCCTGTTTCCTTATCTGTAAATATGTAACAACATAGACAGTAAGTTAAGCATTGATAAAGGGAAGGTGCTATAATTATTGTGGTTGCCAAAACTAATAACATTGAGTCCATCTTTCTTTGTGTTGGAAGCCAACGTGAAACTAGTGAATAAGAGAATGAAAAGGAGTTACCAAATAAAGAAAAACTTGTTATAGGGATTGTAGAATATTTGCAGATCAAAAAGAGATATCACTTTTCTATTCCTTTTTCCCTACTAAACTTTAAATACTAAAAGTTGTAATGAAATTTTGCAATGGTTCTGGAAGCTGGAAACCCCATAAATGTTTTAGTGTTGTCCTAGATTGATGTGATAATGCCATAAAATTGAAAGCATTTCTAATTGCAACAACTCAGGCAGCTGCATGCATATAAGTAACTTTCTGAAATAAACTAGCTACCTGATATCTATTCCTAGACTTAAAGGTGTTAAGATTCACCATGTTATGATGAATTGTGTATTTCTTCGTATCATTAAGTTTGAAAGTGACATGAGTAATGAAAAACAAATGTGATAATCATCACCAATTGAAATTTTTCTTCTACAGGTGGAAAGGACAGTGCTATTGGGGCCTTTCTTACATGGGGACCAACATGCATTCACTACAGCTCACCATCTCTAGAAGAAACGGCAGTGAAACACACACTGGAAACACCGGCTCTGAGGCAGCATTCTCCCCCAGTTTTTCAGCCGTAATTAGTACAAGTGAAAAGGAGACTATCAAAGCTGCATTGTCACGTGTGTGTGGAGATCGCATATTTGGGGCAGCTGGGGCTGGTTATAAGAGCCTATGTGTTGTCCAAGGCCTCGTTGACATTTACATCTTTTCAGAAGATACCACATTCAAATGGGACTCTTGTGCTGCTCATGCCATACTGAGGGCCATGGGTGGGGGAATAGTAGACTTGAAAGAATGCTTAGAAAGAAATCCAGAAACAGGGCTTGATTTGCCACAGTTGGTGTACCACGTGGAAAATGAGGGTGCTGCTGGGGTGGATCGGTGGGCCAACAAGGGAGGACTCATTGCATACAGATCCAGGAAGCGGCTGGAGACATTCCTGAGCCTCCTGGTCCAAAACCTGGCACCTGCAGAGACGCATACCTAGAGGAACTCTAACCCCGGTGTACCTGTATAAACTGAACTGTGAAACTGTTTCGGTTATCTCTGTCTTTTGAGGATGGCTTTGTCCTGTTGCTGGTTAACATTCACCTTCCTCTTTTGAGGAGTATTTTTCCATTATGTATTCATAATAATGTTAATTTCAATAAATGACATTCATGCAGCAATTATATTGGTGTATGAAATTCTTACAGTGAATATTGTGCTGTTAGTGCTGCTTGAAACATTTCAATAAAATATTGACCAGGAGCAGTGGCTCATGCCTGTAATCCCGGGACTTGGGGAGGCCAAGACGGGCGGATCACGAGGTCAAGAAATCAAGACCATCCTGGCCAACATGGTGAAACCCCATCTCTACTAAAAATATAAAAATTAGCTGGGCTTGGTGGTGTGTGCCTGTAGTCCCAGCTACTCAGGAGGCTGAGGCAGGAGAATCGCTTGAACCCGGGAGGCATAGGTTGCAGTGAGCCGAGATTGTGCCACTACACTCCAGCCTGGTGACAAAGCGAGACTGTCTCAAAAAAAAAAAAAAATTGATGAACGAGGAAAAAATCCTGTTAAATTAGTAAAACTATGCTAAACATCTAAGCGATAGAAATTTCTCTGAAATATAAGGGAGAATACAGGAGGGGTTTGCTTGAGTTTTGTTTCCTCTCGAAGGGAAAAATCTGCAATTTTAGCCTGTTGGCAGAACATTTAGAACTTAATCTGCGTAAGTTAGCCAAGTTTATGTACTTTTAACAGTATTCTTGTATTTCTTATAGGAAGTAAAGCCTGGAACACTGTGGGCTCCCCCTTTGCAGAGACAGGGAGAGACAGGGATACACACACACACACACACACACACACACACACACACACACATACACAGTGAAAGACACAGACAAACAGAAAGACACATATACACACACAGAAGCAAAAGAGTACAATGAGTAGAGGTTTCTGCAATTTTTGCATATTTACTACACTTTACCAAAAACCAGAGGTGGACTTTAGATATATACAACCCTTGTGTACCAGCATCCCACAGTGAATGTTCTCTGAAGTGGACATAAAGTACTTTTTCTGTATTCTCTGTGGCAGGCCTGGTAACCAGAGAGTGCCAACTGCAGGGATCAAATCCTCGGCTCTGACTTCATTCTGCCCTACGCCCCCTGGGGGCCAAAGGATGTTTCTACAGATCCTCTATTTACAAATGCATGAAAATAACAATCTTATTTTCTAATGTCCTTACACTTAAAAATTTTTGACAAATTATGTTTATGTCATATGATATGATGCTTTGACATATGTATATATTGCAGAAGGGCTAAATCAAACTAACATTACCTTACATTTTTTTGTGTGTGTGTGTAGTGAGAACACTTAAAATCTGTTAGCAATTTTCAGGTAAACAATACGTTGTTATTAACTATAGTCACCACGTCATAGGATCTTTTGAACTTATTCTTCCTGTTAACTAGGATTTTCTATCCTTTGACCAACATCTCCCAAACACTCCAGCCCCTGATAACCACCATTCTACTCTCTGCTTCTGTGAGTTTGACTTTTTCAGTTTCCATGTGTAAGTGAGGCCGTGTGGTATTTGTCTTTCTGTGCCTGGCTTATTTTACTTAACAATGTCCTTCAGGGTCATCCAAATGACAAGATTTCTTTTTTTATGGCAGAATAGTATCCATTGTGTATACATATTAATACCACATTTTCTTTACCCATTCATTCATATCTTGGTTGATTTCATATCTTGGCTATTGTCAATAATATCAAAATGAGCATGGGAGTGGAGGTATCTCTTTAACATACTGATTTCTTTTCGTTTTTTTTTTTTTTTTTTTTTTTTGTTTTGTTTTTTTTTTTGAGATAGGGTCTCACTCTGTCACCAGGCTGGAGTGCAGTGGAATGATCATGGCTCACTGCAGCCCCAACCTCCTGGGCTCAAGCGATCCTCCCACCTCAGCCTCCTAAGTAGCTGGGACTATAGGTGCATGCCACCATGCCTGACTAATTTTTGTGTTTTAGTAGAGATGGGGTTTTGCCATGCTTCCCAGGCTGGTCTCGAACTCCTAGGGCTCAAATTTCTCAATTGGAGGGGTCAAAAGCTGGATGGAAGAGGGAATCATTATATTCTGTGAACATCTATAATGTATATTATTCACCATCAATCTTTGCAGAAAAGCCAAAGCCCTTTCTTTAAGCATGTGCCTCTGATGGGTCTGCATTGTTTTTCTTGCAGAAGCCACAACCAGGTGACTATGATTTCTAGTTTTATTTTCTGTAGAGGAAGAACTTAAAAATATTCCATTTTTACAGTGGTGTTTGTTTTTGAGACAGAGTCTTGCTCTGTCACCCAGGCTTGAGTGCAATGGCACGATCTTGGCTCACTGCAACCTCTGCCTCCCAGGTTCAAGTGATTCTCCTGCCTCAGTAGCTGAGCATAAATCTCAGCTACTCTCCTGAGTAGCTGAGATTACAGGCACTTACCATCATGCCCGGCTAATTTTTGTATTTTTAGTAGAGACAGTGTTTCGCCATGTTGGCCAGGCTGGTCTCGAACTCCTGACCTCAGGTGATCCATCCACCTTGGCCTCCCAAAGTGCTGGGATTACAGGCATGAGCCACTGCGCCTGGCCACAGTTTTCTTACCAACTAATTTTTTGGTTCACCTTTACCCACACTTACTAAAGCCTCCAATTCTTTGTTTTCAAACCCACACTCCATTACTTTACGTTATATTAATTTAATTATTAGAAATAAAATTGGAATATAGAGTTGTGGAAAGAAGTAAACAATTTTTTTTTTTTTTTGAGATGGAGTCTCACTCTGTCACCTGGGCTGGAGTGCAGTGGTGTGATTTTGGCTCACTGCAACCTGCACCTCCCGGGTTCAAGCAATTCTCCTGCCTCAGCCTCCCTAGTAACTGGGATTACAGATGCCTGCCACTATGCCCAGCTAATTTTTTGTATTTTTAGTAGAGACAGGGATTCACCACGTTGGCCAGGCTGGTCTCCAACTCCTGACCTCGTGATTCACCCGCCTTGGCCTCCCAAAGTGCTGCCACTGCACCCGGTCAACAATTCTTGGTATGCAGGCAATTTATCTGATGGGAACAGGAGTTGGAGGTAGTGATGGAGGGGTGTTCTACAGAGGAGCCTCTTGGCCATGAAAGTCAAGTGTCTTTTGCATCAGTCTGTGTTTTACAGGAGGATGGATAGAGAGATTAGTCTGCCAGGTCACTTAGACACAGAGTAGTACAAAGAGAGCCTCAACTGCACATCAAGAAGAGCAGTCTTTGGGAATCCAAGTCAACATCCCTTCCTTTCTTGCTCTCACAACCTATATGCAATCACTCAGGAAACTCTCTGGTCTCCACTTTCAAAAATATATCCAGAATTCAGCTATTCCACATCACTGTCCTATACCCCACCCTGCTCCATGCCTTTTTATGCATCACCTGGATTATTGCAATAAACTTCTAACTTGCCTCCATACTGTTCATTCTCAAGACAGAAGCCAGAGTGATCTTTTTCAAACACAGATCAGATCATGTCCCTCTTCTGTTCAAAATTCTCCAAAGCACAATAAAATACCATCTTACACCAGTCAGAATGGCCATTATTAAAAAGTAAAAAAAACAAAAACTGATGTTGGCAAGGATGTGGAGAAAAAGAGATGCCTATACACTGATGATGGGAATATTAATTAGTACAACCTCCATGGAAAAGAGTATGGAGATTTCTCAAAAAACTAAAAGTAGAACTACCATTCGATCCAGCAATCCCACTATTGGGCTACCCAAAGGAAAAACAAAATAATCACCTCAAAAAGACATTTGCACTCATGTTTATCACAGCATTCTTCACAATATCAAGGTTAAGGACTCAACATAAGTGTCCACCGTCGGAGGAATAGATTTTTTAAAAATGCGGTATATACATATAGAATACTACTCAGCCATAAAAAAAAATCATGTTTCTTACAGCAACACGGATAGACCTGGAGGCCATTATCCTAAATGAAATGACTTAGAAACAGGAAGTCAAAACTGCAGGTTCTCACATAAAGGTGGGAGCTAAATAATGGGTACACATGGACACACAGTGGAATAATCAACATTGGAGACTTAAAAAGGTGGGAGTGTGAAAGGAGGTAAGGGATGAGATGCTACCTATGGAGTACAATGTGCACTGTTTGGGTAATGGGTACATTAAAAGCCCAGACTTCATTGCACAATGTATTTAAATAACACAACTGCACTTACGCCCCTAAACCTATAAAAAGAAATAAATTTAAAAAGGAAAGGCAAAAAATGCTTCCAAATGTTTCCTCGGCTCTCTTAGGGAAAAAGCCAAAGTCCTCATATAGCCTATAAGGCCCACATTCCACCCTTCCTTCTCATCTTCTCTTACTCTCTGCTATGGTCTAAATATCTGTATCCCTCCCCTACCAAATTCATATGTTGAAATCCTAACCCCCAGGGTGATGGTATTAGGAGACAGGGCCTTTGGGAGGTGATCCAGTCATGAAGGTGGAACCCTTATGACTGGGATTAGTGCCCTTATAAAAGGGGCCTGGGAGAGAGCCCTTGACCCTTTCACCACGTCAGGGCCAGCAAGAGGTGCAGTCTGTAATCCAGAAAGCAGGCCCTTACCAGACACTGAATCTGCTTAGATCTGGGACTTCCCACCCTTCAGAACTGTGAGAAATAAATTTCTGTTGTTCAAAAGCCACTCAGTTCATGACATTTTGTTATAGCAGCCCAATAGGCTAAGATTGTTCACATTGTTACAGCCACACTGCCTTTCTTGCTGTGCCCTGAACTTGCCAAGCATGCTTCCTCTGCCTCAGGACCTTTGCACTTGCTGTTCTAACTGGAAACCTTTCTCCAGATATCAGCACATTTCCCTCCCTCATCTCCATCAAAACTTTGCTCAAATGTCACTGTATCAGTATGATCTTCACTTATTGCCACCCACCTTTCCCCACCCCATCCTGCACATCCCATCTCCTTCCCTGTTTTGCCCTCCATAGTACCCATGGCCTCCTTATAGAAGTTAATTTGTCTTGTTAGTCTCTCCCTCTAGAATGTTGGCTTCAAAAAGGCAGGGATTTTCATATATTATGTATCTCCATTGCCTAGGCACATTGTCAGTGTTAAATAAGTGGGGACAGAAGGAATTAGGCTCAGAAGCTGAACAAGAAGTAATATGCAGTATCAACTACATCTTTACTTCTACCCATTATTTCCAAAACACTTCAGAAACCTTTGCTATAATGCTGAGAATTAGTCCTACAGTTGGTCAGTTAAATTCTCAATGTCAAACAACCACTTTAATGTTGAAAGTAAGCCATGGACTTTTGTGACAGAACAAGCATTGGCATATTACCAAAGCTAATATTCAAGTCCTGGCTATCAGCCCTATAAAGAGGTAAGAGGGGAAAGTAATGGTTAAGTCACTTTTCTTCCACTCTCATGGAACAGAGAAAGAATGAGAGCTTACAATAACTAGAATACAAGGAAACTGGCTATTTCTCCCTATAGCAAAAGCTCAGTCCTTCCAGCTGGATTTGAGAATGGGTTGCCTGAGACGCAATGTTTAAATTCACCCACGTTGGGTCAAGTATTTCTAAAAGCAGGAAGCTCTATGTCAAGATGGCTTATCACCCTCAATCTTTCAAACAAGCTCAAACTATGACCATAGTAAATTAGTAGGACAGGTGTTGGGACAAACTCATCATGTGGTTAAATAACCGTATCAAGGTAGGCAAAATAATGAAAAGACAGAGTTCATACATTATTTCCCTTAGGATATAGGCAGGAGTGTCATTAAACTCGGAAATTTGTAGCTGTTTCTTTTTCCACCAAGACAGATTTTTAAAAATCAATTTATCACACTAATATACCATGAGGTAGGCCATGCATGTGGCAGTTTAGTGCTATGGTTCTTTAAATTCTAATGATTATGATCTGATTATGCAGATTATCCTGAGAATCATTATCTAATCTACAGGTAATCTAGATTTACACTGCCCAAATGGTAGCCACTAGCCTCAGGTGGCTATTGTGCACTTGAAATGTGGCTAGTCTGAATTGAGATGTGCTGTGAACATGCACATTGGATTTTATTTTAAAATAATGTTTAAATTTTATTTAAAAATAAGAACATCATAATTCTTTATATTGGTTCTAATGTGAAATGGTATTTTGGGTATGTAGGGTTAAATCAAATATATTGCCACAATTAGTTCTACTTGTTTCTTTGTGCTTTTGTGAATATAGCTACAAGAAAATTTAAAATTGCATGTGTGGCTTGCATTATATTTCTATACAGCACTGATTTAAACCCTCAATTTTTGTCTGTTAGTGCCTGACTCATGTCCATTTTACTTTTTTTTTTTTTGGTTCTTTCAATAAACCACCCAGCTAAAGAAAAGTATAAAACCCAAATCATTCAGATTTGCTTATCTTTAAGCATCTTTGATAATTTTTTTTTACTTAAAAACATATTTTGTAGAGACAGGGTCTTACTGTGTAGCCCAGGTTGTTCTGAAATTCTTGGGCTCAAGTGATTCTTCCATCTTGGTCTCCCAAAATGCTGGGATTACAGGCATAAACTACCACTCCCAGCCAGGTTTTTCACTTAAAAAAATTGTGGTAACATATACATAACCTAAAATGTACCATTTTAACCCTAAGTGTACAGTTTAGTAACATTAAGTGCATTCACATTCTTGTACAACCAGTGACATCATTCATCTCCAGAACTTCTTCATCTGCCGAACTCCATACCGATTACATAACTCCCTATTTCCCCCATCCCCCCACCAGGCACTGGCAACCGCCATTCTACTTTCTGTCTCTATGAATTTGACTATTCTAGGTACCTCAGATAAATGGAATCATACATTTGTAGGGTTTTGTTTTGTTTTGTTTTGTTTTGTTTGTTTGTTTGTTTGTTTGTTTGAGACGGAGTCTCGCTCTGTCGCCCAGGCTGGAGCGCAGTGACGCGATCTTGGCTCACTGCAAGCTCCGCCTCCCGGGTTCACGCCATTCTCCTGTCTCAGCCTCCGGAGTAGCTGGGACTACAGGCGCTGCCACCACGCCCGGCTAATTTTTTGTATTTTTAGTAGAGACGGGGTTTCACCTGTGTTAGCCAGGATGGTCTCCATCTCCTGACCTCGTGATCCGCCCGCCTCTGCCTCCTAGAGTGTTGGGATTACAGGCGTGAGCCACCGCGCCCAGCCTTTAATACATTTTCTACACTTCCTTTTGCCTGTTACTCCGCCAGCCATCTGCTTCTACTTAGCATCATCTCTGACTCAGCCCAACTGTTCCTAAGGACTGGGTCCTACACTCAGTAGAGTCTGAAGATCATTGTACTGGGTATCAGTTGCCAATCTTTTGCTGTGGCTCCTGACCCCTTTTGTAACAGGCTCCTGGCATGAGATTGTGAAGTGCCAAGGCATGAGTATTTTCGTAAAGGGTTTTCTGCTGTGTTAAAATGATTGGAGTATGAAAAACAAACTATTGAACCTCAATGAACACAGGTCCCTAAGGGAGCCCTGTGTTCGGAGGAAGTCCAGCAAGAATAAGTCTGCAGTAATACTCTGTATCAGTAACCAATAGGCTTATCTAGGAGAGGCAGAAATGACAAAATAACAATGGCCTAAGTAAGATAGAAGTGATTTCTCCCTCGCTTAAGGGAAATGGAGTGGTAAGTGCGTCCAGAGCTGAAAGGCGGCTCTATCCTAAAGTCCTCAGGAACTCACGCTCCTTCCATCTCACTGCTCTCCCATCTCCAGACTGTGACAACAGGATCTGCATTTTGGGCAGCAAGATAGAGGGAAAGACAAAGAACAAGAAAAGGGTGAATGATTTTTCATTCCTTTGGCCAGAACCTTGTCACATGAGTACACGCGGCTACAAGGGAAGCTTCCATTCTCAGAAGCCATGTACGCAGCCAAAAACTAGGAGTTTTAGCACCCAGGAAACAGGCATTTGAGGACAACTAGCAATCTCTATCACTCACCACAACTGAGCTGTCCCAGCTTTTACCCTCTGATTACATCCCTTGGACTTATCACTGAGGTCTCATGACATTCATAGCCCGATAATTTAAACTCTTACCCACATTGACTTATCTACTTATGATGCATTTATCCACTTCATCTCCCAAAGAATTAAAAGTGCCCTAAATATGTGCATTCATCAAGATGATAAGGAAAAGGAACTTCCTAGCAACAAAAGCATAATGGAAATAAAAGAGAAATGCAAGTACAGTTATTCCTCTCATGAGACCTATGAGAAATCGCTGAGAATCTTGACCCTGGCAACTCGCCTGGACGCCTGCTGACCCCTCCTCTCCAACCACACCTTCTGCCTCTGTGTGTTGAGTGCTCAGAATGCAGACGAGCTTATGTCACATCTCTACTGTGTACATACACTCTGCTGAGCCATTCCACTTAAGGAGTCTGTACACTCAGCGCAGGCCACAAACTGGGCATGACTCCTGGCCTCATATTCACAGCCCGGAGTATGCTGTTATTTTCATCAGCCTTTAAACACCCCTACTGTACCAAAAACAGCACTGCCCATCCCATGGCAGAAAAGATAAAATACGGAGGCACACATTTGCTGTTTGCCCAAATGGGAAAGAAACAAACAAACATTTTCTACATTTTTCTTCCTATTTCCAAGTTTTCTTCTTTATGTTTTTCTTTAAGTGCTAAATGCAAAAAGAGAGCATAAACAGTAAGTTGTTACCTTTACCATTCATGCTGAGCAGCTCTAATTGTACCTGGGTTGGCAGGTAGGTTGAAAAACATGTTTCTAAAGCAAACTTAAGTAACTGCAAATGTCCTCCTAAAATGCCAGGGAACTCAAAGCCTGGGTATGCATGCAAATAGACCTTTGAAACTGGTCTGATGGAGCGGCTGTTTTGATCATGGACACCTTTAAAAAAGGTTTTTTGTTTGTTTGTTTGTTTGTTTTTTTCAGATGGAGTTTCGCTCTTGTTGCCCAGGCTGGAGTGCAATGCCATGATCTTGGCTCACTGCAACCTCTGCCTCCTGGGTTCAAGTGATTCTCCTGACTCAGCCTCCAGAGTAGCTGGGATTACAGGCATGCGCCACCACACTTGGCTAATTTTTGTATTTTTAGTAGAGACAGGGTTTCACCATGTTGGTCAGGCTGGTCTTGAACTTCTGATCTCAGGTGATCCACCCGCCTCAGCCTCCCAAAGTGTTGGGATTACAGGCATGGGCCAACGCGCCCAGCCAAAACAGGTTTTATGTATTTATTATTTCTATCTGATACTCAAGGCTAGCCCAAGTTCTGGCTCTAACAAAATGCCTATAATTCTAAATATGATTTTTCTTTTCTAGCCTGTATTTTCAAAGTTCCTCATCTTAAAGGAGCCTTGAACATGTAGGATTAAGAGCTTTCTCCCTTTACCCATTTGCAAAAAGCAAACCAGTCCTGGGCTGGCTATATGGTCTTATGACCTGTGCCGGCTCACAAAGCTCCACCCTCAAAAATGTGCCATGCTTGGTTCTGCTATTGCCATGTTGAAGTTCTTAAAAATTTTACCTTCAAATTCATAAGTTTTGTAAGTGAATGGAGGGGCAATGGAGCATGTGCATGAATGGAGGTGTTACGTAGCTCTGAAAATATTCCAAACACTTTCTGCGTTAAGTGACAGATGTTTTGCTGTGATAAGAACATGGAGCATAGTCCCCTTCCCTGTCAGAATGTTACATCACACTTTTCCAGACCACATATGTGAGTTATTGGCCTCAACGACTAGACTCCAAAACACATATAAACCCAAGATTTTGGCAGACAGATTGAGAGCTCAGGCTGCAACAGGGCTAATCTCTGTCAGCCTTTGAGCTAGCTTTCAAAGCCTCGCCAGCCCACACAGCACTGGCACCACTTGCTAGTGTCCAGGGATCTTACAAGTTGTCTCGGATCTCCCTCACATCCACAGAGGCCTACTTCCATTCTAAGCAACTAAACTGTAATCACTGGACTTGAAATGAAATTATAACTAATTATGTGGATAATGTACCTCATCTGCGGAGTATAATCTCTGCGAGATTTGTTCTTGTTATTTCCCCCCTCTTTGAGCATTAAAAAAAAGAATCTCTTTGTATGGCAATAAACCATGTGATTCCTGAAATCATACTTTGATCATCTTCTTATTGTAGCCATACCAAATAGGAGGAGAAATGTACAAAATGTGTGTGCTTCGTCCCCTTGCAGTTCTGGTCACATAGGGTTCACAGCACCTGTGAGCACAGAATTCTTGTGGACCTATGTTGTATGGGGGTTCAATGAGACTCAAAGCAAGTGCATGGTAAGTGCATTACATTGCTGATGACTGAGCAAGTGGGGGCACTGACAGTTCCCAGAACCAGAACCTGCTTCCAAAGCAAAAACAAGGCAATGGCATTCTAAGAAACAGGAAAACTAAGGAAACCTCCCATGTCCTTTCTTATTTGTGCTATTTTCCTATATTAGCCAATCACATAGGCTGAAATGATGGCACAAAAGGAAAGGTAAAGATAGGACCACACATAGTTCCTTTCCTTTTCAGTTCCTTGCCAGTAAGCTGAAGGTAGGGAGGGCTGGTAGAATGCCGGGGTATCAAGAAGTGAAATAAAAAGAGTTGAGTTAGTTTCCTGCAATGTTTTCACTGTTATGGTAAGAACAATATATATATTCATGTGTGAACTGTGAAAAATGATTTATGTAATTTTGGTGATACCACATATGAGTTAAATACTCTCCAATCTGCATTTAAAACTGGCATTGGGCTGGGCACGGTGGCTCATACCTGTAACCCCAGCACTTTGGGAGGGCGAGGCGGGTGGATCACTTGCAGTCAGGAGTTGGAGACCAGCCTGGTCAACATGGCAAAACCCATCTTTACTAAAAATACAAAATTAGCTGGGCGTGATGGTATATGCCGGTAGTCCCAGCTATTCAGAAGTTTGAAGTGGGAGGATCACTTGAGCCTGGGAGGCAGAGGTTGCAGTGAGTCAACATGGCACCACTGCACTCCAGCCTGGGCGACAGAGCAAGAAGAGAGAGAGAAAAAAAGAAAAATTGGCATTGCATGAGGTAAACATGAATATTAAAGTTCAGACTAATCATTAAAATTGTTATTTTTCTTTATCTATAATGATATCAAACAGCAACAAACAAACACAAAACAACAAAACTCCCAAAACCCAAAAACCATGTCAAGTTGAGAGAGACCATGGAAGAGAGTAAAACTCTTTTTCCTTTATGTGCCTGTAAGGATACTTTTCTCCCTACTTTTTGAACAAGGAGCCCCACATTTTCATTTTATACTAGGTCTCACAAATTATGTAGCCAGCCCCAAATAAGTCCCAGTTCTACTTCTGAATTTACTGTCTTTTGTTCTATCTAAATTTTTGTCATATTTGCTAGTGAGGCCCAAACACAGCCCACTTGCAAGCTAGGCTTGCCCCATCTGAAGGCTCTTTCCAGTTATTTGAAAGCTGAGTTAATAAGGGAACCAGGATGTGCATTAGTACATTTCTCATCTTGTAAGTAAGCAAGTACATTCAGCACATTCTAACACTTGCTGTAAACCTATCAACACTCTCCACCAGGTGTCTCTAGCAGATTTGTGCAGGTGCAGATGCAACATTAAAGGCAAATTGTGGCAAACATCTTGTCTTGGCTAACTTCTTCAATGGGTCACTTTTTAACTGCATCATGTTTTTTTGTTTTTGTTTTTGAGACAGTCTGGCTTTGTCGTCCAGGCTGGAATGCAGTGGCAGGATCCCTGCTCACTGCAATCTCTGCCTCCTGGGTTCAAGTGGTTCTCCTCTGCCTCAGCCTCCCAAGTAGCTAGGACTATAGCCAAGAGCTACCACGCCCGGCTAATTTTTTGTATTTTTAGTAGAGATTGGGTTTCACCAAGTTGACCAGGCTGGTCTGGAACTCCTGAGTTCAGGCAGTCCACCCACGTAGGCTTCCCAAAGTGCAAGGATTATAGGTGTGAGACCGCGCCCGGCATTTTTTTTTTCTTCTTTTTTTTTTTGAGACAGAGTCTCACTCTGTCACCCAGGCTGGAGTGCAGTGGTGTGATCTGGGCTCACTGCAACCTCCACCTCCCAGGTTCAAGTGATTCTCTGCCTCAGCCTCCCGAGTAGCTGGGACTACAGGCACGTGCCACCATGCCCGGCTAATTTTTTGTGTATTTTTAGTAGAGAAGAGGTTTCACCATGTTGGCCAGGATGGTCTCGATCTCTTGACCTTGTGATCTGCCTGCCTCGGCCTCCCAAAATGATGGGACTACACAGGTGTAAGCCACCACGCCCGACCCTTTTTTTTTTTTTTGAGACAAAGTCTTGGTCTGTTGCCCCCGCTAGAGTGCAGTGGTGTGATCTCTGTTGGCTCACTGCAACTGCCACCTCCCAGGTTCAAGTGATTCTCTGCCTCAGCCTCCCGAGTAGCTGGGACTACAGGCACGTGCCACCATGCCCGGCTAATTTTTTGTGTATTTTTAGTAGAGAAGAGGTTTCACCATGTTGGCCAGGATGGTCTCGATCTCTTGACCTTGTGATCTGCCTGCCTCGGCCTCCCAAAATGATGGGACTACACAGGTGTAAGCCACCACGCCCGACCCTTTTTTTTTTTTTTTTGAGACAAAGTCTTGGTCTGTTGCCCACGCTAGAGTGCAGTGGTGTGATCTCTGTTGGCTCACTGCAACTGCCACCTCCCAGGTTCAAGAGACTCTCCTGCTTCAGCCTCCCGTGTAGCTGGAATTACAGGTGCCCACCACCACATCCGGTTAATTTTTGTATTTTTAGTAGAGACGGGGTTTCACCATGTTGGCAAGGCTGGTCTCGAACTCCTGATCTCAAGTGACCCACCCACTTTGGCCTCCCAAAGTGCTGGGATTACAGGCATGAGCCACGGCGCCCAGCTTGCATCATTTTAAATAAACCATCTTCCTTAACCAATTCGTTCCCTTTATTGTGTTTTAAATTGTCATTAAATAATCCTTAAAAAACTGGAAAAATATGGAGAAGTAAAAAGGAGGAGAAAAATCCAACATTCAAGCATAGCTACTGAGAACATTTTAGCCAATGTTCCTAGAATTGTTTTTCTTCTATGAGTAAAAGAATAAAGATTCAAACCACAGAATGGCAGAAGATATTTGTAATACATATCTGATGAAGGACTTGTGTCTAGAAGAATAATTAAATCAATTCAAAAGTTTACAAGAAATAAAGAGCCAATGAACATGCTTGATAATGTACATACTTGAACAATTCTCTGTTTCATTAAGATAAATGTTTTTATTTGTGTTTTTGTTTTTTGAGATGGAGTCTTGCTCTGTCGCCCAGGCTGGAGTGCAGTGGCACAATCTTGGCTCACTGCAACCTCCGACTCCAGGGTTCAGGCGATTCTCCTGCCTCAGCCTCCCAAGTAGCTGCAATTACAGGTGACTGCCACCATGCCCAGCTAATTTTTGTATTTTTAGTAGAGACGAGGTTTCACTGTGTTGGCCAGTCTGGTCTGAAACTCTTGACCTCAGGTGATATGCCTGCCTTGGCCTTCCAAAGTGCTGGGATTACAGGCATGAGCCACTGTGCCTGGCCAAGATAAATGTTTAGAGGTAAAACTGCTAGATCAAATATGTACATTTTAAATGTGGGTACCTATTGACAAAGGGCCCTCTAGAAAAGGTACACCAATTAACCCTTCATCAGTCGGGTGTGGTGACTCATGCTTGTAATCTCAGCACTTTGGGAGGCTGAGGCAAGAGGATCACTTGAACCCAGGAGTTACCAGCCTGGACAACATAGCAGCAAAACAAAACAACCTCTCATCAACAGAGGATGAGAATGCTCGTTACTTATATCCTTGCCAACACTAGATGATATCAGTCTTTCAAAATCTAATACGTAAAAAAGGTAAATCAGGTTGTTTTAATACTCTATTGCTTTCTTTAGAACTAATCATATGCTGATGAGATTAGTTGGCCAATTGTATGTAATTAGTGAAGGCCACTGTGTTACTTGACTTGTATGATTTTATGATGCAAAGTAGAAAAAAGTTTAAATAGTTGTATTTTACAGTCAGTGAGAAACATTATAGAGAAGTGTGAACTCAATAGAAGTTTGAACTTCAAGAAGCTTTCGAAGGATTTGAGCTGTCCAGCCACACAATGAGCCACATTCTAACTGCTGTTAATCCTACAGATATTAGACACATTTAAGTAAAATCTAGATGACCTTTTTTTCTGGGATTCCAGCCGTGATATCTAGTATTCATGATGAATCAGATACCCTATATTAAATTTTTTAAGTATAAAATTATTTTTGAGACAGTGTCTTGCTCTGTCACCCAGGCTGGAGAACAGTGATGTAATCATTGTAGCCTCAAGCAATCCTCCCACCTCAGCATCCCAAGTACCTGGGACTACAGGTGCATGCCACCACACCTCACTAATTTTTAAATATTTTTTGTAGAGATGAGGTTTCGCCGTGTTGGCCAGGCGGGTCTTGAACTCCTTGGCTCAAGCAATCCGCCTGCTTCGGCCTCCCAAAGTGCTGGGATTACAGGCATGAGCTTCCACTCCCAGCTGTAAAATTCAAATATGTATACTTTTATTTTATTTTATTTTATTTTATTTTATTTTATTTTATTTTATTTTATTTTATTTTATTTTATTTTATTTTATTTTATTTTTTGAGACAGTGTCTCGCTCTGTTGCCCAGGCTGGAGTGCAGTGGCGTGACCTCGGCTCACTGCAACCTCTGCCTCCTGGGTTCAAGCGATTCTCATGCCTCAGCCTCCTGAGTAGCTGGGATTACAGGTACACATTAACATGCCTGGCTAATTTTTATATTTTGTAGTAGAGATAGTGTTTCGCCATGTTGGCCAGGCTGGTGTTGAACCCCTTACTTCAGGTGATCCACCTACCTCAGCCACCCAAAGTGCTGGGATTACAGGCGTGAGTCACTATGCCAGGCCTAATATGTATACTTAAAAATATATACATTCTTTATGCATTTTCACCTAAAGATACCATCTATTTCTGCAGCTTCAACTATGACTATATATTTGATCCCCAAATTTATAAAAGGAAGAAAGGAAGGAAGGCATAAATTGGAATAGGAAAAAGCCCTAATCTCTCTTTTCAACTCCAAACCCACATTTCCAACTGCCCACTGGCCATTTCCACCTCCATGTCTTGCCAGTCCATGGAACACAACAGGTCCCAAAGTAATCATCTTCCCTCTCCCCCTCACCCTGGCTCCCAGTTAGACTCCAGTATTATGGTTTTCTGATCATAGATCTCCCCTTTATATTCTTCCCTGAGGAAAAATTCTGAAGTTCTGTTCTCATGTAGGGGCTTTCTCCCTGCTCTCTCCCCATTTCCTGACTTTCAACATTTTTTCTTCATTTCAACTTCCACATCACCACTTTGGCAAGACCTCTTCTTGCCTCTGACCCATGCTAGTACACTGCTACAGTCTGAATGTATGCGTCCCTCCAAAATTCATATGTTGGAACTTAAACCCCAAAGTGACAATATTAAGAGGCAGGGTTTTTAAGAGGTTTTAAGGAGTTATGATAGCTCTGCCCTCATGAGTGGGATTAGTGCCCTCAGAAAAGGAGTCAAGGAGCCAGGTGCGGTGGCTCATGCCTGTAATCCCAGCACTTTCGGAGGCCAAAGCGGGTGGATCATTTGAGGTCAGGAGTTCGAGACTAGCTTGGCCAACCTGGTGAGACCCTGTCTCTATTAAAATACAAAAATTAGCCAGGTGTGGTGGCACGCACCTGTAATCCCAGCTATTCGGGAGGCTGAGGTAGGAGAATCGCTTGAACCCGGGAGGCAGAGGTTGCAGTGAGCCACGATCTCACCACTGCACTCCAGCCTAGGTGACACAGTGAGATTCCATCTCAAAAAAAAAAAGTCAAGGGCTCAAGGAAACCAGGTAGGCCCTTTTTGCCTTTTTGCCCTTCTATCTTCCTCCATGTGAGGATGCAGCAACAAAGCACCATCTTGGAAACAGAGCACCACCCTCACCAGACACCAAATCTACTGGTGCCTTGATCTTGAAATTCTCAGCTTCCAAAACTGTGAGAAATAAATTTTCTTTTTTGCAAATTACCTGGTGTTAGGTATTTTGTTATAGCAGCAGAAACATACTAAGACACACACACCCACTGCCAGCAGGGCTTTGAGCATCGGCAGTCGTTTAAGGAAGCCTACATTAGGGGTTCTGCTGCCGTGGATGATATATGGCTGTAGGTGGGGCACAACTCTCTGTGTTACAGTCTCTTCATTAGTAAGATAGTCACAAGAGGCCCTTCCAATGCCAACATTGTAGAACTGATTCTTAGGCCCTTGTTTCCCTAATAACTCTGGTGACTTTCTGCTAGCTCCTAGGCTTTAGCTTGGCATTCAAGGCCTTCTTCCTGCTCGACCCCATCCCCCACAAAAAAGGATTTGAAAGAATAACAGGTAGGCAGTGAAACTGCAGGCAGAGCACCAAGCTCCTGCTCTACATTCCCCTTTTCTCTGAGATCTGAAGCCCTTCGATGTTGGCTGCTCAAAGTCCCTAAACTCCAATTTCTGTCTCACCAGGCCAGTGAGGCAGCTGCAAGCAGGAGTTCTCTTTCTCTGTCTCTAAGTCCCTCAATATGAATTTGCAAATGTCTTGGGCTAGGTAAAGATTTTTTAAGCAAAATACTGAGCACTAATCATAATGAAGAAACAGGAAATAACCTTGATGATCATCGATAGAAGAATGGTTGAAATAAAATGTCTAAATATAATGCTATATTATACAGCCAATAAGAAAGAGGAGTTAGATCTAGATGCATTGGGATGAAAAGATATACATGGTATACTGTGTTGCTAAGTGAAAAAAGCAATTTATAGAAGAGTGATCCAGTTTGTAAATTTAAAAAATATTTTTAAAAATCTAAGTATATACAACAAACTACTCACAGTAATTATGCCAAAGGGAGGGCCTACAAAAGTATCTTCATTTTCTCTATTATGGTTGTTGTTTGTTTGCAATAAGCAAGAATTACTTTTATAACTAGGGAAAACAGTGATATAAAAGTTGATACAACATTTCATTTAGAAAAAAGTAACATTTGGGCTACAAGTTATATATATTCTCTGGAATATAAACTTGATGAGAGTAGAGACCTTGTCTGTTTTATATATGGCTGTGTTCCCAGCACTTAGAACAGTGTAAATCACAAAGTAGATACTTGGTAAATATTAGTTGAATTAATAATTGAGTGAATGAATATGACCAGAATTATTTGACGTGAATGTTAAGACACTGGAGAGAGTTTCCTATATCTAGTTATCTTCAAAGGAGTATTACATGTGGTATTATGCAAGAATATTTTAAGGGGGATTACTTGAATACTGATATGTACTTTCCCCCAAATAAACATTCCTGGAATATGCTTTATTTTTATTTTTATTTATTTATTTTTTTGAGATGGAGTCTCACCCTGTTGCCCAGGCTGGAGTGCAGTGGCGTGATCTCAGCTCACTGCAACCTCCGCCTCCCTAGTTCAAGCAATTCTCCTGCCTCAGCCTCCCGAGTAGCTGGGATTACAGGCATGCACCACCATGCCTGGCTAATTTTTTTTTTGTATTTTTAGTAGAGACGGGGTTTCACCATATTGGCCAGGCTGGTCTCGAACTCCTGACCTTGTGATCCACCTGCCTCAGCCTCCCAAAGTGCTGGAATTACAGGCATGAGCCACCACTCCCGGCCTGGAATATGCTTTAAACATATTTATTTATCTATTTATTTCTCTGCTGAAACTGCAATTTCCTTAATATCATGGCGTATTCTTTCTGTGCTCTGTATCACCCCATTTCAATAAGGACTGTACCAGAACTTTGGGTGCCTAATAATTAACTGAATAATTGCTCAATTATTGATATTTCATTACTTATTTATTATCAATGATAAAAAATGATGCCTTGGGGCCAGGTACAGTGGCTCATGCCTGTAATCCCAGCATTTTGGGAAGCCAGGCGGGAAGAATGCTTGATTGAGCCCAGGAGTTCAAGACCAGTCTGGGCAACATAGGGAGTCCCCGTCTCTACAAAAAATAAAAATAAAAAAATTAGCCAGGCATGGTGGCATGCAGCTGCGGTTGCAGCACTCAGGAGGCTGAGGTAAAGAAATCACTTGAGCCTGAGAGGTCGAGGCTGTAGTTAGCAGTGGCCGTGATCATGCCATCGCACTCTAGGCTGGGTGACAGAGCAAGACCCTGTCTCAAAAAAATAAAAATAAATTTTGAAAAAAATGTGTTGGTATTTAAGGATGGAAACTTTATTTCTATTTGATTTTGGCAACATTAAACTTAGTAGAGTGTCAACTTTCAATCAAGCTGAGTGAGGATGGAATATGGTTCCTTTTACATTCTCTATGTGCCATATCATAATATTTTTAATATAGGATACACAGAAAAATGTTGCTATTAACAGTCAAATTTTCAACAATAGCAACAACACAAAACTTATGTTTACCACTCAGGGCTTTTTGCTTTGAAGGGAAACTTTATTTACTGCAAAATATTTTAAAACCAAGAAGATGAAAACACTTGATTTATACAGATTATGGAGAATAGTAAAATTTTTAGCTGAAGAGACCTTTCAGATACCAATTCCCAGCTTATTTATTTTATATTACAGCCTCTCAGACCTAGAAAAGTTGAGTAATCTGTGCACAGTGAGGGGACTCAGTGCCCTCAGACTAATGGTCTCACCATGAACAGTTGTTATATTTTTAATAATAAATGTTATTTGATTTTAAGTAATCAAAGCATTTTTAATTGTTTCAGGCTTTTATGTTGATATATATTTTAAAATATCATGCAGTAAAAACATCCAAATTCTATTTGCTATTTGTACAAGTCAGTGAGTATACAAATATCTGTTTCCTTATTGTTAAATCTGCAATTATTAAGATATTGTTTTACCTACACAGCTCCTCCTGAATTATATAAGTCTACTATCATATAGCAAAATATCTAGTTTGAAGAAGGATCATTTAAGTTTAAAGTAACTCAGTAAATTCCCAGACAACCAAATGGTAAGATGAATCAAGCCATAGCTTATGGCATATAGAACATTGTTCTATGTGATTTCCTGAATGGAAAAGAAACCAGTGTATTATGCTGAATCGATAGGAAATGGTGACACTCTGGATATCACAGCAATAGGTTCTCCAGAAAGAAATAATAATAAATACATTTTAGTTTATTGCCAATATAACACTTTGAGAGGGATACAGAAAAACTAGAAAATATCTAGAGAAAGTGACCAGATAGTGAAGATTTTCTTGTTATTCCAAATGGTGTCATTTCTCCCCATCCCACACCTACAGTGTTTGTTTTAAAATAATATTTAGGAAATACTGAATTCTATATATTAATCTTGTGCCTTGCTATGTTATAGAAATCTATTAATTTTAATAATTTTTCAGTTTGGTTCTCCTGAATGTTCTAGATATATAATCAAATAGCACAAATAATTTTGTTTCTTCCTTTCCAACATGTATAATCCATATTTTATTTTCTTTGCATTGGCTAGAAGTTCTGGAAGAATGTGGAAGATGAGTTTAAGTAGGTACAGTTTTCTGGCTCCTTAACATGCACCGATTATCCTTAGTAATGAGAGCTTGTCATGAAAAATAAACTGTAACCTTATCTAGCAAGGAAGGAAAATTTCCTAATTTGCTGTATGATATCTTGGGTCCTTTGGTAGCATTCAACATGTGGCACTCCTACTGGACAGAGGTTTTCTTTTTAGAGTCAGCATCTTGCTCTGTCACCCAGGCTGAAGTGCAATGGCACGATCACGGCTCACTGCAGCTTCAAACTCCTGGGCTCAAGCAATCCTCCCACCTCAGCCTCCCAAGTTACTGGGACTACAGGTGTCAGCCTCCTCCCCTGGCATGGGTGGAGTTGTGCTTGGCTTATAAAAAAGATATGGTCCAGTCAGTAGTGACAAGGAGAAAATGGGATGATTTTACTCAAACAAAACACGAGTCAAGCCCCCCACCAGCTGTACTGAATTACAGTTGACATACCATAAACTGCACATAAAGTATACAACTTGGTAAGTTTTACCCCTGAAACAATCACCACAATCAAGGTAAGGAACATATCTATGATGCTCCAAAATTTCCTCATGCCCCTTCGTAATTTTTCTCTCTTTCCCCTCCCTACTCTACCCTGACCTCCATTCCTGGGGAACCACTGATCTGTTTTCTGTTCCTACAGATGAGTTTGCATTTTCTAGAGTTTTATAAATGGAATTATACCGGACTCTTTTTTGGGATGTAGTGGTGTCTGGCTTTCTCCACTGATGATAACTATTTTTATATTCATCTGTGTGTGTTTGTTTATTCGTTAATGCACTCATCAGTAGCTTGTTCTTTTTATTTCTGAGTATTATACTGTATGAATATACAATTTGCTTATCCATTCACATGTTGGTGGACATTTGGCTTGTTTCTAGTTTTTGGCTATTACAAATAAAGTTGCTATGTACATTCATACATGTCTTCATGTGAACATATGCCTTCATTTCTCTTGGGGATATACCTGGGAGTGGAATAGCTGGGGTAGATTTATGATTAACTTTTCAAGAAACTGCCAAATTATTTTCCAAAGTGGTAGAATCACCAGCTTTGTCTGAGGTTCCATTTGTTCCACATTCTCTTCATCACTTGGTATGCTGCTTTTTATTTACCTATTTCTTTATTCACCTATTCTTCTTCATATGTACCGGTATCTCACTGTGGTTTTGACATGTTTCCCTAATGTAGGTTTCTTACCTTTATCACTATTGACATTTTGGACCAAACAATTCTTTGTGGGGAGGGGACACTGCCAAATGTATCTCCAGACACTGCCAAATGTATCTGGCATGTAGAGGCAAAATTGTGCCCAGTTTAAAATACTGCTCTAATGACCACTGATAATGAACAACTTTTCATGTGCTTATTTGCCATCAATATGTTTTCTTTGGTAAAGTGTCTTTTTATTGCTAAGTAGTATTCTACTGTATGAATATACAATTTGCTTATCCATTCACATGTTGATGGACATTTGACTTGTTCCCAGTTTTTGGCTATTACAAATAAAGTTGCTATGTACAATCATATACGTCTTCATGTGAATTTGAAAAAATTTTGTTCATTTTTAAACAAAAGAATAAAATTTGTTGTTTGTCTTATTACTGTTGAGTTGTGAGAGTTCTTACATATTCTACATAAAAGTCATTTGTTGGATATATGTTTAAAACTAATTTCTCCCTTTTTGTGCCTTGCCTTTTCATTTTTATAACACTGTATTTTGAAAAGCAAACATTCTTAATGCTGATGAAGTCCAATGTATTGATTATTTTCTTTTCATACTTTTGTGTTTTTATATCCTATTTAAGAAAGCTTGACAAAGGTAACAAGTTTTCCCCTGTGTTTTCTTCTGGGAATCTGATGGTTTCAGCTATTATATTTAGGTCAATAATTTTTTTGCACAATTTTTTAGATAGGGGTCTTGCTATGTTGCCCAGGCTGGTCTCAAATTACAGGGCTCAAGCAATCCTCCCAGCTCAGCCTCCCAGGTAGCTGAGATTACAGGCACATGTCACTGCTCCAGCTCTCAGTTAATTTTCATATATGGCATGAGGTAAAATTGAGCTTTACTTTTTAAATAAGAATATCCATTTGTCCCAGCACTTATGTTGAAAACATTATCTTTCTCTATTGAATTGCGTTGGTAGCTCTGTTGAAAATCAATTGACCATATATATTTGTAAGTCTGATATCTGGACTCCCTGTTCTATTCCATTGATCTCTTTGATTGTCTTTATAGTAATATTACAGTATCTTGATTACTGTAGGTTATAATAAGTTTTGAATTTGGGCAGTGTATGTCCTCCAACTTTGACCTTTTTCAAAGTTTCTTTGAATATTCTAGAACATTTGAATTCCTTTTTTCTTTTTTTTGTTAGGATCTCGCTCGTCACCCAGGCTGGAGTGCAGTATAGCGATCACAGCTCACTGCAGCCTCAACCTCCCAGGTTCAAGCAATCTTCCTACCTCAGTTTCCAGAGTAGCTGGAACTACAGGTGCATGCTACCATGCCCAGCTAATTTTTAAAGTTTTTTGTGGAGACAGGGTCTCCCTATGTTGCCCAGGCTGGTCTCAAACTCCTGGACTTCAGCAGTCCTCCTGCCTCAGCCTCGTAAAGTGCTGGGATCACAAGTGTAAGCCACCACACCTAGCTGACCCTTTGAATTTCTATGTACATTTTAGCATCAGTTTGTCAATCTCTACAAATAAGCTTGCTGGGATTTTGATTGGGATTGTGTTTAATCTATAAATTGGAAAAGAAATGGCAAGCCTATAATCCCAGTACTTTGGGAGGCCGAGGTGGGCGGATCACAAGGTTAGGAGTTCGAGACTAGCCTGGCCAATATGGTGAAACCCCGTCTCTACTAAAAATACAAAAATTAGCCAGGCTTGGTGGCATGCGCCTGTAGTCCCAACTACTCAGGAGGTTGAGGCAGAAGAATCATTCGAACCTGGGAGGTGGAGGTTACAGTGAGCCGAGATTGTGCCACTGTGCTCCAGCCTGGTTGACACAGCAAGACTCCGTCTCAAAAAAAAAAAAGAAATGGCATTTTAAATAACATTTAGGCTTCTAATCGGGTAATATGATGAATCACTGCCATTTATTTAGGTTTTCTTTAATTTCTTTCAACTATAGTTTTTAGTGTACAGGTATTTTCGATACCATGTAAAATATGTTTTATAAATTTAAATTCGTGTTGTTTTTTGTCTATATAGAAAAGTACACTTGATTTTTAAATTGAATTCTGTATCTTGCAAACTTGATACTCTCACTTATTAGGTCTATTTGTTCTACAGACTTGTTTGTGGATTGTTGAGGATTTGCCACATAAACACATTATCTATGAATAAAGTTTTAGTTTCTCCTCATCTAGATGCTATTTATTTTTGCCTCATCACATGAAATAGAATCTCTAGTTCAATTTTGAAGAGACACTGGATTTTTATCAAATGTTTGTTCTATAGTATTGAGATGATAATATGATATTACCTTTTTGTTTTGTTAATATGGAAAATTACATTGATTTTTTAAGCTTCCATTCATGAGATAAACCCAGTGGATCATGATGTGTTATGCCTTTAAATATATTGCTGGATTCAACTTTGCTATAATTTGATTAAGAATTTTTACATCCGTGTGAGAGCTATTGGCCCTGACAGATTTTCTCATACTATCTTTGGTTTTGAGATCAGGGTAATGAATTCATAAATTCATTAAATTCATAAACTTCATAAATTAAGTTGGGAAGAGTTTCCTTTTCAATAATTTTCTGGAAGAATTTATACAGAAGTGGTATTATTTATTAAATGTTTGGTAGAATTTAATAAAACCTTCTGGGCTTAGAGTTTTCTTTGTGGTAGAGTTTTAAACTGCATATTCAATTTTTTAATAGACATGTGCATATTTCTATTATGTTATCTATTTCTTGTTGAGGTAGCTTTGATAGTCTGTGTCTTTGAAAGAATTTGTGTGTTACATCTAAATTGACAAATGTATTAGCTTAAAATTGTTCATATTTTCTTATTATCCTTTTAATAGGATCTGTAATGATATCTTCTCTCCCATTTTTTTGTATTAGTAATTTGTATATTCTCTATCTCCTATCCAATCTGGTTAGACACTTATCAATTTTATTGATCTTTTCAAAGAACCAGCCTCGAATTTTACTGATGTGACAAAGATCTTTTATATATAACACCAAAGCCATAACCCATAAAATAAAATTGTTAAGTTTGACTTTATAATAATTAAACAACTTTGCTCTGCCAAAGAGAATGAAAAGATGTGCAATGAACTTGGGGTAACATCTGCAAATCACATACCTGCTAGAGGACTTGTATCCAGAATACGTAAACAGCCTTCAAAACTCAACAATAAGAATATAAACAACCCCATAAAAAATGGGCAAATGATCTGAACAGACACCTTACTAAAGAAGAGACACATGTCAAATGGTGCGTGTAAAGATGCTCAACATCTTTAGTCATTACAGAAAGGCAAATTAAAAGCACAGTGACATACCACTGTACACCTATTAGAAAGACTAAACTCAAAACACTGCAAACAACAAGTATTGGTAAAGATGCAGAGGAACTGATACTGCCATGTATTGCTTGTGGGAATGAAAAATATTACAGCTACCTTGAAAACTGGCTGTTTGTTACAAACTTAAAACATATACTTATCATGTGCCCCAGCAGTCCCACTCTTAGATATTTGCTCGAGTGAATTGGAAACACTTGTTCACACAAAACCTGTATGCAGATGTTTACAGAAAGATTTTAACAACAACCAATAACTGGAAACAACCCATATATCCTTCAACCAGTGAATGGATAAAAAATATTGTTCTGTATATACAATGGAATACTGCTCAAGCAATAAAAAGGAATAAACTACTGTTTCATACAATATTAATAAACCTTAAACAGATATTGCTAAGTGAAAGAAGCCAGACCTGAGAGACTATATTTTATATGATTCCATTTATAGTGGACTCTTGAACAACACAGGTTTGAACTGTGTGGGTCCACTTACATGCAGATTTTCCTCCCCCTCTGCCACTCCTGAGGAAACATACCAACCCCTCCTCTTCCTCCTCTTCCTTAGCCTACACAACATGAAGATGATGAGGATAAAGACCATTATGATGATCCACTTCCACTTAATGAATAATAAATATATTTTCAGTTCCTTATGATTTTAACATTTTTCTTAGCTTACCGTATTATAAGAATACAATATATAATACATATACAAAATTTGTGTTAATCAATTGTTAGTGTTATCAGTAAGGCTTCCCATCAGCAGTAGCTATTAGCAGTTAAGTTTTCCAGAGGTCAAAAGTTGCATGTGGATTTGTAACTGTGTGGGGGTTGGTGTCCTTATCCCGGAGTTGCTCAAAGTTCAACTGTATTTCACTTTTAAACTGTTTATGTTTTTTTTTCCTGATCATATGAGAACTCTTGAAGGGATAAGACATGTCTATAGTTTCTATGGCATCTAGCATAGCACCTTGCATATAATAAGTAATCAAATAGTTACATTTTGGGGGAGCAAAAAGTTATACATAGATTTTTCAGCTGCAAGGGAGAAGGGAGCTGGCACCCCTCATTGCCACGTTGTTCAAGGATCAACTGTATATGACATTCTGGAAAAGGCAAACTATAGGAACAGGGTACCAATACACGGTTGCAGGATGGGGCAGGTTAACTATAAAGGAGCATAGCACAGGGAATTTTTGAGGTGATGGAACCACTTTTTAGGTTACTGTGCTGATGGATGTAAGACAGTGCATTTTCACAATCCATGGAACAATACACCAACCAGCATCACTGAATTGTATTGTATGCAAATAAAAAGTAGGAGATGAAATGCAGAACTTTGGCAAATGAATCTAATTGCTTTACAGATGAATCCAATTACATTACACATGAATGACTACATTGAAAGGTTAAGAAAGGAGCTGATCTAAGTAACTTTGGAAAACAGTGTTTTGATTGGATATTACAGAGCTAAAAAAAAATTATTCCAAAACACAGTACTCTAGTTGGCAAATTTGTTTCACACAGAGGTACTGGCGAATGACTCTGAAACTACTTGATGTGTATACTAGGTTTGAACAAATACTTATTCTGCACACAATGCAAGCCAGGTTTCTCACTGATAGAGAATAGTTACAAATAATCAAAGAGAGAATGTAAGAATAAACTCTATGATTCTGGACTGGAGTTGGAGGTATTAGCATGAAATCATGTTTTGTTTTATTTTTAATTATATATAGTTAGGAAGGTACAGAAATAAATATTGATATGTATGTATAAATAAGTTAGTATATACATACATTTTCTCCTCTGTCCACTGAATGGATCTAGAAGCAGTGATACCTCACTTAATAATGAGCACATCTAGTTCATTCCTAATAAAAAGAACCAAGGTTCTCTGGAGACACGATTGATTCCAGTGTTGTTGCAGGGCATCTTGTGATGTCAACCCTCCTTAAAAATATAAATAAATAGGCATGTAAAAAAGACACAGACATAAACAAAATGTGGTATATACATATAATGAATATTATCAGCCTTAAAAAAGAATGTAACTCTGACACATGCTGCAACATGGATGAGCCTTGAAGACATGTTGAGTGAAATAAGCCAGACACAAAAGGACAAATATTGTGTGATTCCACTTACACGAGGTACCTAAGGTAATCTTGAGACAAAGTAGAATGGTGGTTGCCAAGGGCTTGGGGGAAGAGGCAATAGGAAGTTGCTGTTTAATGAACACAGAGATTCAGTCTGGGAAGATGAAGAGGTTCTAGAGATGGAAAGTGGCGATTTTTGTGCAACACTGTGAATATACTTAGTGCTATTGAGCTATACCTTAAAAATTGCTAACGTGGGCCGGGCGCAGTGGCTCACGCCTGTAATCCCAGCACTTTGGGGGGCTGAGGCGGGTGGATCAAGAGGTCAGGAGATCGAGACCATTCTGGCTAACGCAGTGAAACACCGTCTCTACTAAAAATACAAAAATTAGCTGGGCATGGTGGCGGGCGCCTGTAGTCCCAGCTACTGGGGAGGCTGAGGCAGGAGAATGGCGTGAACCTGGAAGGCGGAGCTTGCAGTGAGCCGAGATCGCGCCACGGCACTCCACTCTGGGCGACAGAGTGAGACTCCGTCTCAAAAGGAAAAAAAAATGCTAACATGATAAATTTTATGTTATGTGTATTTTACCAAAATTTTAAAAACAGTTTTACAATGCAAGTCATATGAAGACTAATTTGCAAAGATATTTTGATGAAATCCATGGCAAAATTATCCTTTTTGTAAGTTTAAAATTCTGCTGAAATTAATAAATTAGACTCAAATTCCATCCTGAGAGAACAAAAAGGAGAGTAACCAACCTGAGTCACCATGGCAAAAGCTGGAATAATTTAAGCAAGAAAATAAAAGTATTAGATTTTAAGTCAAAGAATAAAATAAGTATTCATTACTTCATACAAATATCAAGTATTGAATAAGTAAAGAAAGAGAGAAAAGGGAAAAATTTTTCTGTGTAAGAGAATTTCAATTAACAAATATAAAAGGAATGAAGAAAATAGAAAATCTCAATTAGAATACCACAGTAATGATAGCTGCAGGCAAGAACAATCGATGAATGCTAAAATTAACAAATAAAAATTTAAGGAGAAATAACATATCTGCAGAACATCAAAAGTGTCTCCTCCTAAATATTGTTGATTATAAAGGGAAAGATAGTGACTTATCTTTGTCTGTTTGTGCTGCCTATAACAAAACACCTGAGACCAGGTAATTTATAAATAATAGAGATGTATTTCTCACAGTTTTGGAGGCTGGGAAGTCCAGGATTAAGGTACAAGCATTTGGTGTCTGGTGAGGACTGCTTTCTGCTTCCAAGATGGTGTTCTGTTGCTGTATTTTCTGGAGGGGGCAAGTGCTGCATCCTCACATGGCAGAAGGAAGGGAAGGGCAGAAAGGGATGAAAGGAGTGAACTTGCCCCCTGAGCCCTTTTATAAGGTGCTGATTCCATCCATGAGGGTGGAACCTTCATGGTCGAAGCACCTGCTGAAGGCCCCACCCCTAAAGACTGTTGTATTAGGGATTAAGTTTCAACATGAATTTTAGAAGGGACAAAAACATTCAAACAATGGCAGTGACTTTACAGCAAAGAAACTTAGTACACAGAACTTCAGTGAGGGGATTAAGATTCACATTGCAGGTAGTGGAATATATGATGAGTGTGCTCTTGATATGATCTGAGAAGGGCACATTATCTTTGTGACATTCTTCCCAAAAATATGTGGCCCTGATCTAACCATGAGAAAAAATCAGTTAACCTAAATTGAGGATCATTCTACAAGCTACCTGACCAGCATCCTTTAAAAGTATCAAGGTCATGAAAGACAAGAAAAGATTGAGGAGCTGTCACAGATGGAGGGAGACTAAAAGGACATAAATGGTATGTGGAATCCTGAATTAGATCCAGGAACAGAAAAAGGATATTGGTAGAAAGACTGGTGAAATCCAAATAGGGTTTGAATTAGGGTTTTGTTAGGGTATTGGTAGCAATGTTAATTTCTTAGATGTGATACTTGTACTATGGTAGAATGCTAACACTGGGGAAAGCTGGGTGAGAGATGTGTGGAAATTCTATGTTCTGTCCTTGCAACTTCTCTAATGAATGCTAAAATTAACGAATAAAATTTATTTTATTAATAAAATTAATAAGCATAAATTATTTTAAAATAATTTTTTAAAAAGAAAAAATACTGACAATATAAGGTGAGGGCAACTATGTGAAACAAGAGAACTGTCAACAAGAGTATAAATTCTTGCAAACACCTTGGAAATTGTTCGGTATTAACTAACAAAGGTGAAAACCTGCATATCCTATAGCTTAGCTATTACAGTTGTAGGTATATACAATAGAAATTCATACCTATGTGTACCAAAGACAAGCACAAGGATGTTCATAGCAGCATTATTTGTAAATGCCAATGAATGGAAATAATCCAAATATCCATCAATGAAAGAATAAAAGAAAATAAAGTGAAATGTTTGTATACTGAAAATGAAATAACTACATACAGCAATATAATTTTGAGCAAAAGAAATTGTAGTAGGCCATTCTTGCATTGCAATAAAGATACCTGAGGCTAAGCATGTGGCTCCTGCCTGTAATCCCACCACTCTTGGGAGACTGAGGTGGTAGTATCCCTCGAGCCCAGGAGGTCAAGACCAGCCTGGGCAACATAGTGAGACTTTGTCTCTGAAAAAAAAAAAAAAAAAAAAAAAAAAAAAAGGCTGGGCGCGATGGCTCATGCCTGTAATCCCAGCAGTTTGGGAGGCCGAGGCGGGTGGATTGCCTGGGGTCAGGAGTTCGAGACCATCCTGATTAACATGGTGAAACCCCATTTCTACCAAAAATACAAAAAATTCGCCAGGCGTGGTGGTGTGCGCCTGTAATCCCAGCTACTCGGGAGGCTGAGGCAGGAGAATCGCTTGAACCCAGGAGGCAGAGGTTGCAGTGAGCTGAGATCACGCCATGGCACTCCAGCTTGGGCAACAAGAGCGAAACTCCCTCTCAAAACAAAAAAAAATAAAAATAAAAAAAAATTACCCAGGCATGGTGGTGCACTTGTAGTCCCAGCTACCTAGGAGGCTGAGGTGTGTGGATCGCGTGAGCCTGGGAGGTCAAAGCAGCGGTGAGCCATGATTGCACCACTGCACTCCAGCCTGGGTGACAGAGCAAGACCTTGTCTCAAAAAATAATTTAAAAAATAATAAAAGAAAAGAAAAGGAATTCTGTAGACTGAGTGATTTATAAAGAAGAGGTTTAATTGGTTTACAGTTCTGAAGGCTGTATAGGGAGCATGGTGCCAGCATTTGCTCAGCTTCTGGTAAGACCTAAGAAGTTTACAGTCATGGTGGAAGGCAAAAGGGGAGCCCCAGTATCACATGGTGAGTGCAGGAACAAGGGGAGGGTGGAGGGTGGAGGTGCCATACATATTTAAACAACAGATCTTTTTTTTTTTCCAGGCTGGAGAGCAGTTGCACGCTGGGCTCACTGCAACTTCCACCTCCTGGGTTCAAACGATTCTCCTGCTTCAGCGTCCCAAGTAGCTGGGACTACAGGCATGCGCCACCATGCCCAGCTAATTTTTGTACTTTTAGTAGAGATGGTGTTTCACCATGTTGGCCAGGCTGGTCTTGAATTCCTGACCTCGTGATCCACCCACCTCAGCCTCCCAAAGTGCTGGGATTACAGGTGTGAGCCACCGTGCCTGGCCAACAACCAGATTTTGAGAGAACTCAGTATCACA
Organism: Homo sapiens; assembly: GCF_000001405.40. NCBI lineage: Eukaryota > Metazoa > Chordata > Mammalia > Primates > Hominidae > Homo > Homo sapiens. The sequence continues at coordinate 190,401,438 of NC_000002.12, forward strand.
AGGACAGCACCAAGTCATGAGGAATCCACCCCCATGACCCAAACACCTCCCAATAGCCCCACCTTCCACACTAGGGATTACATTTCGACATGAGATTTGGGTGGGGACATCTAAACTATACCAGAAATCAAACACAAGGCCAGGTGTGGCAGCTCACGCCTGTAATCCCAGTACTGTGGAAGGCCAAGGCAGGAGAATCATTTGAGCTCAGGAGTTCAAGACTAGTCTGGGCAACATAGCAAGACCCTGTCTCTAATTAAAAAAAAAAAAAAAGAAATCAAACACAAAAGATTTTATACTCTTTGATTCCACTTATATAAAGTTCAAAAACAGGCAAAACTACCCTGTGGGGTTAGAAATCAGAATGGTGGTTACCTTTGGGGAGAAAGAAAGAGGTAGTAATTTGTAAAGGTCACAAGGGGATCTTGTGGAGTGCTAGTAATGTTCAGTTTTTTGCAATTAGTGGTGATTACACAGTTTTTATTATATTTATTGTAACTCAGTTGTACTCTTATGATCTGTGTACTTTTTTGTATGTATGTTATACTCTAATAAAAAATTTTAAAAATTAAAATATAATTTGTTTTTTTTAAAACCACATAACTGAGATACATTTGAAGTGCCTTGCTTACTATTAGATAGGTGCAAGGCTGGAAACAGGGAAGCCACTATGGAGACAGCTGCATTAGGTCCTGAGTTGGAGTGGTGTGTATAGGGATAGGGTAGGTGAAACATAGCAATGCTGAGAGGATACAATGGGCAGAACTTAGTGTTTGATTGAAGATGATTAAAGATTTTGGACTATCTGCTTTAAGCCATAGGGACCAAATGGATTTTTCTTAGGGGAGGAGGAACACGGTAGAAGAGATATTTTTGAAAAGTTAATCTGCGTACCACTCATAGCATATGTTGCCTGCTATTATAATTATGTTAATTATAACTGATCTATTTGTAGACATGTCCCTGTTAGTAAATCACAAGCCTCTTGATGGAAGGGACCTGATTTTATACTTCTATATCCAGGGCCTAACTCTCTGCCTCACTAAAGTAGATTTATTGCCATTTAAGTACATAAATAGTAGACAATAAACACCACATAATGTGGAACTGGATTGGGAATGAACAAGAAAAAAAAATCTTAGAGAGTACATGAAGGAAATGATATTCAAATATGTATTATTAATTTTTAAAGATTGTATTAAACCATATATAGAAAGATTCTTGATTAACCTAGTGAAAAATAGCTATGTCAAAACAATAGCCAGCCTCATACTCAGTGGCAAAGCAATAGAGATATTTGTAGTAAAGAAAGTAGTAAGAAAAGGAACAATTGTTGATCATCACCAATATTTACTATTATTTTGTCAACATAGTAAGATTTTAAATATAGATATAAATATTGGAAAGGAGACTAAAGTATCATTGTTTGTAGTTTAATATGATCACCCACCTAGAAAACTCAAGAGAATTAAGCAAAAAAGATATCAGAATAAAAGATTTAAATAAATTAGCCTTCTTTCCTTCTGTTTACATAACTCATCTTTTTGGTCTAGTGAAAGTCCCTCTTCCTTCATAAGCCAATGCTGAGGAGGGAGGGTGGGAGAGGGAGCTAAAAAGAATTCACCTCATCACTACTGTCACCATTGGATTTATCCATTTATTATCATCCATTCAGTCAACAAATAATTTATAACTCTCCTTCCATGCCCCTTCCATTTCCTCCCCGCAAGGTAATTAATGTCAAGAGTGGGGTGTTTATCCTTCCTTGCCTTTCTCTATGCTCTACAAGCATATTCCAACAGTCAGGCTCTATGATACAGTTACAATGGTATATCAGGGCTGCTGGTTGCACCCAGTGTCTGTTCTCTTCTTTCACAGTCATAGAATTTTTATCTGTGTACATGGATACTGAGTTAAAGACTAGATTTCTCAGCTTTCCTTGCAGATAGATGTGGTCATATGAGCAAGTTCTGCTACTGGAATTTAAACGAGTAATATGTACATATGTACAACTTCTGGTCATGTTCTTTTTCTTCTTCTTTTTTTTTTTTTGAGAAGGAGTTTCGCTCTTGTTGCCAAGGCTAGAGTGCAGTGGTGCGATCTCAGCTCATTGCAACCTCCACCTGCTGCGTTCAAGTGATTCTCCTGCCTCAGCCTCCCAAGTAGCTGGGATTACAGGCAATTGCACCATGCTTGGCTAATTTTTTGTATTTTTAGTAGAGACGGGTTTTCACCACGTTGGCCAGGCTGGTCTTGAACCCCTGACCTCAGGTGATCCACCCGTCTCGGCCTCCCAAAGTGCTGGGATTACAAGCATGAGCCACTGCGCCCGGCCCATATTCTTAAAAGAAAGGAAAATGCCTTCCCCTTCCCCTTTTCCCTTTTGCAATGGCTGGAATGTGCACATGAGAGTAAGAGTTGGGGCAGCCATGTTGGGTTTTGATGACAGAGCAACAAGATCAAAAGAGCATAAATCTCGAGTCCCAACACCATGGGCTCACTTATTTACCTAAACTTTTTAATTTTATGATTTTTTAAGTTCCAGGGTACATGTGCAGGATGTGCAGGTTTGTTACATATGTTTACCTAAACTTTTATATGAGGGAAAATCATACTTTTTAAAAAAATTTAAACCACTGTATGTGGGCTGTTCCAATGGACTACTGTCCATGCTAAATAATACAAATGTTGAACAACATAGTGTTTCCCCCTGTCTTTAAGGAGCTTGCAATCTAGCATAGAAGTTAAACAAATGATTACAATAGTATATGATAGATGCCATGATAGAGAAGGCACATGGTAAACGAAGCCACCGAGGGGCGATAAAGCCAGTCTATGGAGGACATAATGCTTTGTCTAGGATATGGAGGAGAGAGAGAGTGCAAACCACTTACACCTGCTTGAAACAACTCTTCTATAGTCTTCAGTGACAACATCCTCCTGAATTGCCTTCTACTTCTGACTGATCCTTCCTGGTTTTCTCTCCTATACCAACTGGTAAATGTTGGCCCTTCTCTGGGCTCTCTGAGTCTATTCTCTTCCTGAGTAATCCCCTTCAGTCCAATGACTGTAAATAGTACCTCAATACTGATGACTGCCAAATCCAGCCCTTTCTTCTGGGCTGTGGACTCAAGTTTAATTGCCTACTTCACAGCTCCACCTGCAAGGCTCACAAGCATCTCAAACTCACTGAGTCAAATGTGAATTCTTCCTTTTTTCCTTCCAGCCTGCTCCTCCCACAGTCTCCTCCCTCTCAGTAAAGGTTATCACAATCTTCCCTAGTTGCTCAAGCCAGAAACCTGTGAGTCATTCTTAACACCTCCTTTCCCTTGCCTCCCACATGCAACATATCACCAAGTATGCTCATATACTTCCCCAAACTCTCAAATCTATCTGTTTCTCTCCATCCCAGCCACTACCACTGTGGTCCATGCCACTGTTAACCTTTCTCCTTGCTACTGGTTACAGTTACTTTTTTTTTTTTTTCTTTGAGACAGGGTCTCACTCTGTCACCCAGGTTGGGGTACAGAGGTGTAATCATGGCTCACTGCTAAGGTTGGGAGATTGACCTCTCGGGCTCTGTCAATCTTCCTACCTTAGCCTCCCTAGTAGCTGGGACTATAGGCATGCCACCACACCTGGCTAATCTTTGTACTTTTTGAGAGATGAGGTTTGCCATGTTGCCCAGGTTAGTCTCAAACTCCTGGGCTCAAGTGATTCGCCCACCTTGGCCTCCCAAAGTGTTGGGATTACACGCATGAGCCACTACGCCCAACACCAAAAGAATCTTTACAAACACCTTACCATGTAATTTCTTTGCTGTCTCATAGGATTGTGCAACACCATGAGGCACCCTTCACATTGTATTGTACCTCCTAGCTGTGCAACCAGCCAACATTGCTCCTCTCCTAAAACATAGTGAGACTCCACCTGTACAAAAAAAATTAAAAATTGGCTGGGTATGGTGGTATGCACCTGTAGTCCCAGCTACCTGGGAGGCTGAGGTGTGAGGATCCCTTGAGCCCAGGAGTTCGAGGTTACAGTAAGCTATGATCACACCACTGCACTCCAGCCTGAGTGACAGAGCAAGATCCTGTCGAAAAGAAAAGAAAAGAAAACAGATTACTTTGGTGGCAAAGTGAAAAGTTGATTGGATGAGAGAACATTTTGAGGCAGAGAGACCAGAGAAATTTTGCAGGCAAAGGAGAGATAACAGAGATTAGGATAGCACAGGGATGGAGAGAAGAGGACAGGTGCTAGAGATATTTGAAAAGGTAGAATCAAGAGTTTGGCATCTGACTGGATGTCATAGACAGAGTCATGGCCCGCTGTAGATGTCCATGTCTCAATCCCAGGAGCCTGTGAATATGCTTCATGGTAAAAGGGACTTTGATGATGGGATTAAGATTCTTGAAAGGAGGAGATTACGCTAGATGATGAAGGTGAACCCAATGTAATGAGGGTCAGAGTCAGAAAAGGCAATGTGAGGATTGTGGCTGAGGTTAGAGTGGTGTGCTTTGAAGATGGAGGAAGGGTCCATGAGCCAAAGTATGTGAGCAGCCCCTAGAAGTGGAAAAGGTAAAAGAAATGGGTTATTCTCTACAGCCTACAGAAAGAATACAGCCTTGTAGTCACCTTGGTTTTAGTTCACTAAAACCCATTTTGGACTCTTGACCTCCAGAATCGTAAGATAATAAATGTGTGTTTTAATCCACAAAGTTTACGATAACTTGTTACAGCAGCAATAGGTAACTAATACACTGGGCATGGGTATAAGGGTGAAAGGAGCATTGAGAAGAAGGGCCTTGTACAACTGGGTGGATGGCTGTTTGGGACCCCAGAGTCTGGGAACCCAGAAGCAAGAGTGAATGAGGGGCCGGGTGCAGTGGCTCACACCTGTAATCCCAGTACTTTGGGAGGCTGAAGTGGGGGGATCATTTGAGGTCAGGAGTTTGAGACCAGCTTGGCCAACACGGTGAGACCCCATCTCTACTAAAAATACAAAAATTAGCCAGACATGGTGGCACATGCCTGTAATCCCAGCTATTCAGGAGGCTGAGGTAGGAGAATCACTTGAACCCGGGAGGCAGAGGTTGCAGTGAGCTGAGATCACGCCACTGCAATCCGGCCTGGGCGACAGAGTGAGACTCCATCTTAAAAAAAAAAAACGAGTAGGGGAAGAACAGAAGGTAAAGAAACATTGACGTGGCACTTAGTGAGGTTGGGGTGCCTGTGACACATCCCACTGGACAACTGGCCATAAGGATCTGGCCCTCAGGAGAAAAGCTGACCCCGAGAGAGGGCTTTTGGAGCACCCTCAAATATTCTGTGATTGAAGCCAAGGAGTGAGAGAATTCGCAGAAACAAACAGAATCAGAAGAAAGGAAAGCCTAGAACAAAACCCAAGGAAAACTAAAACTCAAGTGGAGCAAAGGGGAGTGGCCAGAGAGGAAGAGGAAAACCCAAGACTTGTGGGTCACAGAAGGCAGAGGAGGGGAGAGTTTCAAGGAGGAAAATCCAACACTTACGGAGCACCAAAAGAAGAGAAGGGAAGAGTTTCAAGGAGGGGACCAGTGTCTCGTGTTCCTGACAGGAGAAAGAAATGCCTGGAGAAAGAAATGATTGAATATCTACGTCAATATTGAAAGTGGATTTAGCATGAGGCTACTATAGTTTAAGCTTCAGAGACCCTTCATAAGCTCAGGAAGGGGCCCTAGAAACTTCGTATTTGTAATTGTTTTATTCTTCCTAAAGAGGGACTCAAAATTCAGAAACTTCAGGGCCTATCAAATTCTTACCAGTATGATTTCACGGTTAAGAGCTTAAAGCCTGGAGACAAAAGAAGCCTGCTTTCCCTTTCGCTGTTTAGTAACTTTGGATGGGTCACATTAACTTTCAGCCTCGGCTTTCCTCAGTTGTAAAATGGGAATAACGTTTCCTACACCTATAGGGTTATAAGGCTCAAAGAGTACCTACACAGTGCCCCGTACATAATCGATGTTTATAAGCGTTAGCTACCATTGTCACTCTTGTCGTTGTTGCCGTTAGCTACCATTGTCACTCTTGTCGTTGTTGCCAGAACAAGACAATAAACTCCTTAAGAACAGGATGTGGCATCCCCCAAAGCCCATCACAGGCACACAGACATACTTGCCAAGTGAATACTCCACTCTCCCCCAACTCTCTGCGTGTTTAACTAGAAATACAACTTTAATTATATTCTTAGTGCGACACACACGGTTGGCTTTTCAGCAAGATGCCAGTAGCAGCTTCCTGAAAAAGGGTGCCTTCGTCTCAGTGTTCCCCCTTCTTGGTGAGCCCCGAAACTCACAGATCGTTTGTCTCCCGCACCCCGCCGGCTCCTCCCTCCCGGGTCAACCTGGGACAGACGCGGAGATAACGCACTGACAGCATTAGCATTGTGTGTGCCACTTAAAAGGCGCTCAAGGAATAAGGGATGTTAGTACATTTTCCCCCACATTTCCTGGCCCGCACTCATTGCCTGGGGGCTCAGCGGAAGTCGCTTGGGGGTGCGGGGGGGTGGAGGGTGCGGTAGGGATGGAGCCTCGCCCAGTGCTTTCGCCTCCTCAGCGTGCTCCCCGGGCCCGGCTGGGTTCAGGTGTCCCTCCGGGCCGCCGGGGCGGGCTGGAGGCCGGGAGCGGGCAGTCGACGCATCCGCCGCCGCCGCAGGAGGCGGAGCGCTGCACCTGGCGGCCGGTCCTCAGCGCCCGGCCCTGAAACGGGTCCAGCCGGTAGTGACCGGCGGCGGCGACTGTGAGGCCGGGGCCGGGGAGGAGGAGGAGCCGCAGCGGGAGAGAAGGTCGCGCCGGCGGGAGCGCTGGGCCCTCCGCCTCCGTCCTCCGTGGCCCCACCCGGTCCGCATCCCTCGCCTCGCCTCGCCGCGCCCCGCCCAGCCCGTCGCAGCCCCGGAGGAGCGCGCGAGCAGCCCGGGATGGTGCGCGCTGCCCCGACAGCCGCCGCCCCGGCGCCCCGAGCCGCCGCCCCGTGCTCCGGGGACAGGGCTCCCCGCGCCCCGCGCAGCTGAGCGCTGCCGCCGCCGCAGCAGGTGAGTCGGGCCCGGCTTGCGGAGAAGGGGCTCGCAGACCCGCCCTGGCCTCCCCCGCCCCGCACGGGCCCAGCCGGAGGGCGGGTAGGCACCTCAGCCGCGCACACCTGCTGCCGGGAAAGGGGCTTCGGGGCCGGGGCTCGGAGCCCAGCGTGCGCCGCTGTCTCCGCTCGGGCCTCGCTCGCCCGCCGCTCCCTCCCTCCCTCCCTCCCCCGGCTTCCGTGTCGGGTGTCATCTTTGTGGGGTGCTGGGGGAGGCTGCCGCCTGCGCCCCCAGCGCGCCCCGTGCTGGCAGCACTTCCGCAAACGTAACTGGAGTCGGGAAAACAAAGGCGCTGCCCAGGGAGCCCTCGCCGGGCGCCCACAGCTGCTGCCGCGGGTGGGGACGGAGGGTGAGCGCCGATGCCCGGGTCCTCCTCCGCCCGGGCCGACCCGCGCCCTCGCCATAAACATCCCTGGGAAAAAGGAGGAGGTGAGAACCTCCACACAGCCCCAGTGACAAGGACGCGGCCACTTGTGTGGCAGGAGGAGGAAATTGACAACGTCTGCCCTCCCAGGTTAATAAATACGGAAAAAAAAATACCTCTGCTCTGCCAGCCACCATCCTAGCAGACATCCCCCACCTCGTGCTTTACTTCCACTTGGTCTAACATGTCTCTGGAGCCCTTTTGAGATACTACTGGGGGTTGCTAGTCTTTCTGGGTCATATTTATTGCCCATAGAGCAATTTTCCTGCAAATTTAGGTAAGATGGTGGAAAAATACAAACGCAACTTTCCCCCTCGTTAATCCCATCCCCACATGGACAGACAGGTGGGTTAATTACCTTTATGCATTCGCAACCACGGACGTTTCTTTTCATCCCAAAAAGATTGAATAAGCACCTCACAGAACTACTGGAACATATAATACCTTGCTTATTAGTGTGCAAAAGACTTAAAGAGTTGGGGTTCTAATCCCAACTGGTATTTAAATAGATGTGTGTGCTTGGGCATGTCACATCTTCCTGAGCCCCAGTTTTCTCACATGGAAAAGAGGATGGTTGGATATTATAGTGGCCAAAATTTCCCCTAATCCTTCTAGAAGTCCATGATTTTCTAGAAATCTAACCTCTTAAGTATAGATGAATGTGAAGGGTGGGTGGACATACAGTTGACTAAAATATGTAATAAAAGGAGATGTGTACTTGGTAGGTCCTTTCCCCAAGATGTGGGCACTAGCCAGCTAAAAGTGTATGCATCTGTTTTAGCCTTGTTAAGTAAAAGGATAGGATCCTCCTCTTTGGGAAGCTTGGCTTTTGACACGTCAAGCTGCTAGCAGAGGTGCAGGATATGGTCAGCTGTTTAGTGATAGTCAGATGGCTTGTATTTATCACGAGGTGTAAGTAAAATTTAGGATTGCTTAGGGGAAGGATGGGACATTGTTAATGAGCCCAGTGCAGGATGCTCTGGGGAAACAGGAGGAGAGAACATCACTTCAATAATGCATTAAAGCTACTAAGTAGTTGTGTGTCCTTCATGTTTACAGCAGTTTATTTCTAAGGCACTTTCCATCTCTATACAAATAAATATAAAAGCGTGAAGGCAAATAAAACACAAAGACAAAAAGCAGAGTTCACAGGTATTTGGTGGTGTGAGTATTGGATCACCAATTCCATCATATATAGTGTCTGGACTATTAACAGTATTAAGGCATTTTTTTGGGTACTTATTATGTTCAAGACACCATTGTAAACATTTAGTATCTCAATCTCTGTAAGATAAATCTTTCCCCTAGTTCTGTGCATGACAAAAAGGAAGCTCAGAAGGGTTAAGCAACTTACACAAACCACATAATCAGTAAGAGGTAGAGTTAAATTTGACCTCATGTTTCTGGCTCCAAAGCCCAGGAAATTTCCACATGGTGTCCCTCCCTAATCAGAACCTATTAAGTCTCTCCACCTACGCAGATGTCTTCCTTAGCTTCGTGCCTTTGAAAATTAACTTGATTTCAATGTACATGTATTACTTATGTTAACATTTAGCCATGTAGGATAATTTATATATTTATTACGTATGTATATTAATGTGTGTATGTTTACCCTTTTGTCCTCACCAGTTGTAGATTGAAGGCAGTATGAAGCTGACAGGTTTCTTTGTTTTACTTCCTTTGACAGCAAATCTTAATTTGGCAATCTCATTATAGGGAAAGGAAGAAATGCAAAAAATGTGTGTCTGCTAGCTATTTTGCACATTGGCTGAAAAATCAAGATGCTGTATATTAAATGAAAAAAATGGCTGGGCAAGGTGGCTCATGCCTGTAATCCCAGCACTTTGGGAGGCCGAGGCAGGTGGATCACGAAGTCAGGAGTTCAAGACCAGCCTGGCCAAGATGGTGAAATCCCACCTGTAATAAAAATACAAAAATTAGCTGAGCGTGGTGGCGGGCGCCTGGAATCCCAGCTACTCAGGGGGCTGAGGTAGAGAATTGCTTGAATCCGGGAGGTGGAGGTTGCAGTGAGCCGAGATCGCGCCACTGCACTCCAGCCTGGGCAACAGAGCGAGACTCTATCTCAAAAAAAAGAAAAAAAAAAACTAGCTTCAGAAGAAATTTATATACATTTGTTTAAACCTGCATACAGGCACACATACGCCTTTTTGTCCCCAAACTGTTGACAGTAGTTTTTTTTTTTTTTTTTCAGACAGAGTCTCGCTCTGTCACCAGGCTGGAGTGCAGTGGCTCGATCTCGGCCTACTGCAACCTCTGCCTCCTGGGTTCAAACTATTCTCCTGCCTCAGCCTCCCGAGTAGCTGGGATTACAGGCACATGCCACCAGGCTCAGCTAATTTTTATTTTTTTAGTAGAGACGGGGTTTCATCATGTTGGCCAGGATGGTCTCCATCTCCTGACCTCATGATTCCCCTGCCTAGGCCTCCCAAAGTGCTGGGATTACAGGCATGAGCCACTGCGCCCAGCCGACAGTGGCTATCTTCAGGAAGTGAGACAAGATGGAGAAAAGAGGATGTTTTTGCTTTTTACCTTATAAAGTTATGTTTGGGCTTAAAATTTTGTTTTTGGAACAAGCATGTGTTCTCTTATTATATAAACTAAAAAGGAAAACAAAAGAAGACTAGAATTAATTGATTTTATAACAATCCAAAGTAAGATAAAATTGAATGTGCCTAAACTCTAATGTTAGGGAAGTGAAATGAGACTCAGGAGATCAAAGTGAAAGGTGGCATACTGAGAATTGGGGGGCAAAGGGTAAAGAGTCTCAGGTGACTGGCTTTTACTTTTTCTAATAGTAACTGTAGCATATTCTACAACTCCTCAGTTTTCCTCCTCAATAAGAATGCTTTGGAGCATACACAATTTATCTGCTTGATTAGGGGTGATAAGAATTTCTTTCTTCCTGGTCTTGCTAGTGGTGGCTGTCTTTGGAAGCATGATTGTTCTGTACAGAACAATCTGGTAGAAGGTAGGAGTTGGAGAAACCAATTTACCTGCTGTGTCATCTCATGAAATTATGGCATTCTGGATGACTTTAGGTATAATTATTTTTAGTAACAATTTAGGAGAAGCAAGTTATCATAAAGTTAAACTAATCTGATGCATATGTACTTGTTAAATACAGTCCCATAGTTCTATCCAATTCTATGTAAAATTAACTAAAACCACTGCTTAGAATCCTTAAAAATTAATACATTTCCAGACTTAGAAATCCAGAGCCATAATACATTCAGACTTTTCAGAATCAAGAAAACACATGCTTAAACTTGGTTAATTATCATTGTGGTAGTAGGTAATCTTGAGAAAGAGGGAATTGTAAAAGTATTTTACAGAAGAGATATTCTCACAATTTTAGGTATTATCCAACATTTCATTTTGGGTTCTAATTATGTTTTAGGCAGAAGGAAATCTCCATCTTTTAATTTAGGAAACTTTGTTCAATAGGTTATCTTTAAAGGCAGAAATCAAGTGCAAAGTCCTACCCTACTACAAGGCCAGTTTGGGTAAAATTTCTTCCTCAAACTCAACTAACATGGCATTTCCTTGGGCATAGCATTTTTGATTCCTGGGAAAAGCAAACAAACACATCTGATGTCAATTCTGTGTGGGGCAATGAAAACACCTTAATGCCTCCACCAAGAACATTTCCTTTGAGTTTATAATTCCTCCATGTTTAATTATCCAACATTAGCTGTCTGTTCCCATTTACTCTACTGGCATTTTGGGGGTGAGAGGGGCTTGTGTCAGCCTGATTTGTTTTCCTAAATTCTGAATGATACGTTATCCAGTACTTAGCCCCACTGCTGGATTCAGTAACATTTGCTTTGTAGCTGTTTTTGATTGCCCACATTTGGATGATATTTATTTACTGTTTTTGCAAAATGGCATTGTCTCAAGTTGGCTGGGCAACTTTTGGAATCTACCAGTCATTTGTTCAGACAAGTGATGTTTGGTGCAGGGGCCAAAACAGAAAAGCCAACCAAATAATAAATAATTACAAACGTGGAACACCTAAACCTTGAGCCTATATGTTAATATGTGTCTGCTATAGTTACTGGTTGCTATGTTATGGCTTTAAAAAGAGCACACCCTCCCAAACCCCCACCTCTACCTCAGCACCAACAAAAACTACATCCCAATGTTGTATGTATTCAAAGTAGCCTCTCCCTGCCTTGATCCATTATGATGTAAATCTAGCTGAGCCACGTGTTGATGATTATGTTGAAGAGATGTGAGTGAGAGTTCTGTATTACCTTGTGACCTGGTGGTCCTGCTGCATTTTAGGATGGGAGGGGCGGGGTAGAATGGGGGAGAATAGGGCAAAGATGGGAAGAAATTCAGACCCTTAAAAAACCATGTTCAAGAGATGTGGAAAAAAATTGAATTAAGGGGGGCAGAGATGTCTTTCTTTGACATTTGTTGTGGGGCATGTTTTAGAATGGGAGACCAATTCAGGAAACATTTGGCAAGTACAAAACAGGAAAGGCCAGCTCTGAATGACTCTGAGGAAATGTTTGGAAGCATTTTGATCTGAGACCAAGAGTGGGATGGGGGAAAGACAGGGAAAGACAGGGACACTATGAATCAGCAGTGGGCAGAGTGAGCTCTGGTGTGTGGCTTTGAGGAGGATAAAAAGGAGGAACTGGTGCTGCCTGAACAAGCCCGATGTGTGGGTTAACCGTGCCAAAGGAAAGTGAGTGGCGAGCCTGGACTGGTAGTTAGCAGTCTGTGTTGGTTATGTAGAGAGACCTTGTTCCACAGGCAGGTGCACTCCACTCTGCACGGGGCCTGCTCTCTCTGAGCTCCAATAAACCAATGTACCATGAGCCCTGCTATACTGTGGGGTGAAGAGGAGACATGGCAGTCAGGGCCCAGGATTCCAGGAGAAACTGAGCACTGGAGCAGTGGCAGGAGTGGGTCCCTGTGAGTCACGCTGGGAATTCTTAACTGTTCAGGGCACTTTTAGGGACAAAGTTAAGGTAGAACATACTTGGCCTCAAGGTACTTGGCTCAAGGTAGAGCAAAGGAGGAAGGCACCACACCAAACACATAAAGCAGAATCATACAAAGTGACATGCATGCTGCCTATGACTTTTAAGAAGTACTGTGTTCCTGGGGCCTGTCTGGGGGGTTGGGTGGCAGGGGGAGGGAGAGCATCAGGATAAATAACTAATGCATGTGGGGCTTAATACCTAGATGATGGGTTGGTAGGTGCTGCAAACCACCATGGCACACGTTTGCCTATGTAACAAACCCACATGTCCTGCACATGTGTCCTGGAACATAAAATAAAGAAGCGCTGTGTTCTTGATTAACGTGCTCCAATCCAGCAAAGGCAAGCTTCTTTAGCTATTATGGAGTGCCTTTCTTAATTCTATTTCAAAATCATGCCTGTGCAATTGTGTTTAACTAATGAACAAATATGCCCCAATTCACATTTATAAGGGAGTTTAAATAAAAGACTTTATTATGATTCTTTTGAATGAGTAAACATGACACATTTCAATTTTATTTTCTGTGTAATGAGGCTCCCTGTAAAAGGTGTGCATATCTTTTAAGAGTGTCTCAAAGTCCTTGTGACAGTCCCTTTCAATTCCGTATACTGGGAAGCACAAGGCATTAGATGAATGATCAGACCTCAATTTAATAACTCTATAATTTTTCAGGAACTCCGGGAACAAGGACATCCTAATTGTCACTCAAATGTTTTATATTTAAAATAATTCCTTTTTAAATATGTATTTTTAAAGTGATAAATAATGATTTTTTAAAAATCCAGCCAAGTATAAGAAAAAAATTAAATAAGTCCTAATTTTACTACTCAGAGATAATCCCTGATAACACTTTGGTGTCATTTTTATCGAGTCTTTTTCTAAAATACATTTTATTTGAGCTACATAGATTTACAAATATAAACTGTACTATATCGAGAGGTTTGTGTCCTGCTCTTTCATTTAACATGATGCATTTTACCATGTAGTTAAGTTCTATTTTCCCATGATATGGATATAAGATTTTATTTTTCTCTATAGCTTATTTACCTATTTTCACCATAACTTATTTAACTGTCCTTATTATTGATCACTTACTTTGTTTCAGTTGTGATTGTTGTGAAAAGTGTTGCAATAAAAATCTTTACATTTAAGTCTTTGCTTTTCAGAAAGTTTATGTTTTTACTCTCAGTGAATGACAATGCCTGTCAATTCTCATACTCACCAGCATTGAATATTTCCATTTTAAAAATTATTGGTATGGTATGTATGTTAAAGTATCTATCTTTTTTATTTTTATTTATTTACAGACAGGATCTCTCTCAGTTACCCAGGCCGGAGTGCAGTGGCGTGATCCTAGCTCACTGCAGCCTTGAACCCCTGGGCTCAAGTGATTCTCCTGCCTTGGCCTCCTGAATAGCTAGAACTACAGGTATGAACCACCATGCCTGACTCATTAAAAAAAAATTGTAGACATGGGATCTTGCTTTGTTGCCCATGCTGGTCTTAAACTCCTGGCTTCAAGTGATCCTCCCGCCTCTGTCTCCCAAAGTGCTGGGATTACGGATGTGAGCCACTGTGCTCAGCCACTTTTTTATTTTATGGGCTAAGTAATAAACCTTTTTCTGAAACTAATTATATCATTAGAATTGATAGCTTATGGTAATTCTCAAGTTATCAGAACCCTAACAGCAAAATAAAACAATTTTAGATTACATATATGGGAAGGTACTAAGGATATAAATTATTCTTTTAGACTATAGCACATTTAGGGGATGTAAGTAAAAATAACTGATGATAGTCCAGGGCTATAGGAAAATGTATTATAAACCTTGAGATCTATATTCTGGTCTCAATTGTAAACTCATAAAAGGTCTGAGAAAGAAGCACCCATACATTTCTGTTTAAACTGCCTTGTCTCGTGTATAGATTGTGCTTTATTTAACCCTCTTAACTTCCTCAGTGTCTAATAGTGTTAGAATAGCTCTGTAATGTGAACTGTTACTTTTTCCTCCCGCTGGGCTTGTTCTAAGACAGGAAGCTTATTTGAAAGGTAGAAGGAAATGAAGTTCTGGGGCCTGCTTCAAATTTATATTATAAATTATGCTATATTGGCACAATATTTAATCAGGAGTCTAAAACTAATAAGTAGGAATCTGCTTCATGATGGCTGATAAGGTCTGAGGAACCTAAATTATAAATTTTTAATTGACATTTGATTATTTTCTTCCACAAAGTGAAAGTGAAAATCTAGTTGGTCTTTATTACTAAAGTCATCTTTATGGTTATAAGCTATTTCCTCCAACCCTTAAGAGATCAAAATAATTTGTTCCTTTTTCACCCTGTTAGCAAGTTGAAAGGAAATGTTAGAGAGGATTTCAGGTCCTTTCTTTCAGATTTATGATGTTACAAATATAAGTAAAATGTTTCTACAGAATATTTTATTTTAAGTGAATAGTTATTTCTTTCCTGGAGATAATGAATTATCATTCCAGTCCATATTACAATAGTGTGTTCTCCAGTGAACCAGTGCCTCACAGGCCCCCATCAGGCTGTAGACATGAAAACAGACATGAACATAAATTCATGAGCACAGATGGATGAAATACTAGCCTAGTTCAAGGGTGGTGCCAAATAATTCTGGGAAAAGTGCTTTTGGCATAATTGCAAAATAAGACCCAGAGTTTTAATGAAATATCTGGAATAAAACTACAACTACCAGCAACACCAAATGTTCATATGTTGCTTTTAGATTAACAGAATGCTTTCTCATACTTTATTTCATTTAAGCTCTAGAATCCTTCTGGGAGTTAATTGACTTAAGTTTGTATGGAAAAGGAGGCTTAAAGAGGCACTGATTTATCAAAGCCAGGGGGATGCAACTGGGACTTCTTTTGACTCTACTTCCTAAAATGAATTTTTGATCACATTAAACTTTAATAAAAATTTATATGTTTATTGTCATCAGGTGCTTGTCAAAATAAACAGTATTGAGAGCTTACAGGGGTAAAGGGCAATATGTTATGTTCTAGATTCCTCCCTCGAGGGGTATACAGTCTTGTTGGGCAAACGAGATATCTGTAAAAAGATAGCAATAAAATTACCTATAAATCCTACAGTAGATGTGAGAACAATCTCTAGAAGTAGAGGAAGGAGTGAGGAAAATGTTTCAAGTGTATTCTATTTCCAGATGTTATGAAAGGTCCCATTAGATATAGTGAATTCATAAAGTACTGTTTGTTCTGAAATGATACCATCACAGGACTTCAGTACTGGATCATTAGCGGTAAGATCAGCACACCAAAATAAAAGTTCAAATGTTGGGAAATCCTTAGCAAGGTCACAGTAGCAAAACCCTGCCAATCTATTCATCCTTTAAGATTGGCTCGAGGCCCCACACCACAGACCCTCTGTGTACATCACCTGTGCTTGCTCCTGTTTGAACATTTAGCATAAGGTGTTGTGATTGTGTGTGCCCCCGTCTTCTTCTCGCCTCTGGGTGTCATGACAGGGACTGTGTGGCCTCCAGCATGTGTCCTACCTACTAGTGGGTGCTCGATCTATAGCTGTAGGGTTTTTTTGGTTGTTCAAATGAATGTCTTTTTTTCAGTATAATTCCATTGTATTTTGTGTTCTGTCGTCCCTCAGCCTGGTATTCAAGGCCCTGTGCCATCTGTTGCTGTCTGGGTGGCCTCATGTGCCCTTTAGTCTTGGGATAAATCTTTTACGGATCCTCTGCTGCCTTTTCTTTCCTCTACCCTGGAATAGTTTTCCCACTCATCTTTGCCTGTGAATCCTGCCCATCTTTCAGAGTTCAATTTAAGCCCCTCGTTTTCTTGACAACCCCTGTCTGAAGTATGGACACCCTACTTGGAACTCCAGAAGCATGCCTATTGTCCCTAATATCTTTTAGTTAATAAATTATATAGGGCTATGTGGCTTTTCTTCCATTATTATTCTGACTTTTCATTTAACCCTTTAGTGGTGTGTGTGTGTGTGTGTGTGTGTGTGTGTGTGTGTATGTGAGAGAGAGAGAGATGTGGTTTATCATTGCTTGTCAATGATAAAGCAAGTCTTTGAGGCCTAAGACCTAACTTTTGGGATCCCTGTCTCATAGCTGCACAGTGCATTGAGAGTCAGTACCTGCTAAGAGCAGCACTGCTACTCATTCCCTATGTGACTTTGGGCTGGTTATTTGCCTTCTCTGTGCCACAGTTTCCTCATTGGTAAAACTGGGAAAGGAATCATTTCCACCCCAGAGAACTGTTGTGAGTATTAAATGAGTTAATACATGCTAGGTTCATAGCAAGTGTTACTTAAGTGTTATTGTATTGTAGTTGGTAATAATATGATAGTATAATCCACTGATTCCCTGTTGAAGTGCAAATATGTTGTCAAGATGGGGCAACCAAGGTTGTGAATCAGCTTGCTTATGATCTAGCAGTCAGGTTTTACTAGGAGCCTTGGAAAGGCCCACCAAGAATGACAAGGTGGTTGGGCACAGTGGCCCACACCTGTAATTCCAGTACTTTAGGAGGCTGAGGCAAATGGATCACTTGAGCCCAGGAGTTCAAGACCAGCCTGGGCAACATAGTGAGACCCTGTCTCTGCAAACAACTGAAAAGAATAGCTGAAAGTGGTGGTGTGTGCCTGTAGTCCCAGCTACTTGGGAGGTTGAGGTGGGAGGATCACTTGAGCCCAGGAGGTCAAGGCTGCAGTGAGCTGTGATTGTGCCACTGCGCTCCAGCCTGGGTGGCAGAAGGAGCCCCTATCTAAAAAAACAAAACAAAACAAAAGAATGACAAGGGTGCCAGGTTCTAGTTTCTGGGAGGAGTTTCAATCCCAGTGGAATGCTGCTAGTAGCAGCTCTGGGGAGCTAGTAGCAGCTCTGGGGAGCCCGTGGGCAGTGCTGAGTGCCTGGAGGGCTCAGGCTGGAAACTGGGCTGACAGGACTGAGACCAGTTTTGTTTCTTTCATCATTTGGCTTTGCCATAAAGGAACCATGTCACAATACCCTGAAAGGAAGAGGAAGATTCCAAAATAGTCATTCATCTTTGCACAGATCAGTGCCCTTGTAGCCTGTGTGACTGTTATAAAACTAACCTTATATATTTTTTTCATGACATTGGCTAAATGTCTAGCAGATGCTAAAGCAATCCTGATGGAAAAAAAAAATCTATGGGAATTGACCTCGCACACTGTGTCTCTGGAAAAAGCTCTATCCTGGAAGAAGCTGGGGGTTGAACTGAATGTTTGAGTGCGGTGTGTGAATACCTAGATTCTAACGCTCTTTTACAGTAGTTTCCCTGTGTCTATACTGGTCATAATTGCAGCAGTATGTTAGAGTCCAGCTCTGGGACTCACATTTCCCAAAGCCATTGAGAATGTTGGCCAATAACAGTTGACAAGACAGAGCTGGCTGCAAGGGTTTGAAAAGTTGATTTCCCTGCTTCGCAGCTTCAGCCCTCATCACTAGGCAACACTGAGTTATGATGGCCATGGCACAAGGAAGAGTGTCCCTTCTGTGGTATCCAGGGACTATTTCCTCTCCATCACTGATAATTATGTCACTGCTATGTTATAGCACACATTCTTATCATGTTTGTAAATCTAACCTTTGGCAATTATTCCAAATAATGTATTCGATCTCAGGGTTTCTTTCTTCAAAAGTTGAATCCATTTTCATACTCTCATATATTTGCGGATAACTCAATATATGTTTGAACAGTTTTAATTCAAATACATAATGAAGAAAGCTATCAGTTTTAATAAGAATGATTTCATTGCCTCTCATCAATAATTCAGAAATACCTGCTATTTGAATGACTCAGTGTAGGTACTGGTAGCATAGCTTTCCAGGTTTTAGAAGTCTGTGTTATATTTTCACAATAGTTGTATTGATTACTATCATTAGACTGTGCCAGGTGAGAAGACTTCTGCTTTCCTAAAAAGTAAACAAAGCCTTCCTTATCTGATTAGGATGAACTGCAAACCTGCACTAGAGAATATTTCCCAGAAAAGATCATAAAGTTAATTCTGTATATAATTTGAAATGTCTTCTTAACTCTATATTTTCAAGTTTCTTTTTTTAAAAAAGCATTAAGACTCAGACATTAAAAACAAAATATTAACTGAATTGATTCATGTTCATTGCCCACTGTCTTAGTTTGCTCAGGCTGCTATAACAAAATATATAGCAACCATATATAGCATATATATATAGCAACCATATATAGACAGGGTTGCTTGAACCACAGTTTATTTCTCACAGTTCTGGAGACTGAGAAATCCAACATCAAGGTGCAAGTAAACTCTGTTCCTGTTGAGGGCCCTCTTCCTGGCTACTAGATAGCCACCTTCTTGCTATGTGGATAGAGAGAGAGTTGCCTCCTCTTATAAGGGCATTAATCCCATCAAAAAGGTCCTATCTCATGACCTCTTCTCAATCTAATTACCTCCAAACGGGGCTACCTCCAAATACCATCATATTGGGGTTTAGGGCTTCAACTTATTAATTTTGGAGGGGCTGTAGACATTTAGCCCATATCAACCTCTCAATAAACAAAATCTCCTTTCACTTTATAAACAGATTGTCTCATCCAGCATATAAATATTTTTACTACTCTTTGTACTTGTTTTGTCATTCCTTAAGACAAATTAAATATAATCCACTTCAGCCAAAGATGCCCTACATTGGGATATACTTGTTTTTGGTTTCTTTTTGTCCCTGATCCTGTGATTACACTTTATTTATTATGCTTTATTTCATAACTGTGTTTATAATGTGATTTCTCCATGTTTTGGTTCCTTTTTACCAAAATCTAAATATGACCTGAAAATATTGAGTAAAAAAAAATAATGACCTGAGTTTAACAGTTTTGTTTGTCTTTTAAGATTTGAAATTCATATAAAAGTTACTGTCTATGACATTTATATATGGGATACTGAATGTCATATTACAGAAACATTTCCATAACGACTTTGTATTTGTTGATACTGTGAGAACTACTTAACATCTGGACTTATGTAACCAGAGAAACCTTGTGTAACCTTATGATACTCAAAAGTCATTTGCATATGGTGGAGAGGAAATAATATTTTGGGAGAAAGTCACTCATCAAGGTTTACATCAATATCTTAATGTAAGATATTTCCATTTTTGAATTAGCATATGGGCATCAGTTCTTCATAATCACTTGGACAATTCAGGAAATTATGCCCATTAAAGAGGACTTTGTGTCCTTCTCTGATCTACCTGGGGAAGATTCAGCAGATGATTTATGTAGAATAATTAATTAAAGTTCACTCTAAGGCCCCTGATTAGAATTGATGTGGAAGGACATTCTGTACAACTCTGAAAAATGTTTAGTCAGTGATAGAAGGGTGTTAGTAGTTGGCTTTAATGTCGTTTGTAAAGACAAAATCCACATGACTCCATATTTCTTTCTCAGTTTTTATTTTTAAAGTGAGAGTTATGGATGTATGAAGTTAAAAAAATGAACATGTTTACAAGGTTACAAACCAAAACAAAAAAACAGACTTCTGTGCTCTTTTTATTTCTCTTCCCAGAGGCAACTACTTTTTCTGCAATTATTTTGATATTCACCTATTTATTTATTTGAGACAGTTCTCACCCTGTCACCCAGGCTGAGTGCAGTGGTATGATCATAGCTCACTGTCCTGGGCACCTCAGCATCCCAAGTAGCTGGGACTGTAAGCATGTACCACCATACCTGGCTAACTTAAAAAAAAAATTTTTTTTAAAGATGGGATCTCACTATGTTGCCCAGAACTCCTGACTTTAATTGATCCTCTTGCCTTGGCCTCCCAAAATAGTAGGATTATCACCTGTATGTCTTTAAATAAAATTCTTGTATCTGTATTTCTTGACTTTAATTTTATTTAAAGACACTAGATAATATCTAGTGTCTTCCCACTATAGAAGAAACCAAGTTAACTCTCTCTTCTGCTCCTGACTGTCTAATGAGAAAGCCTAACTTTCTCATTTCTCTGACTTCCCAATGTAGCTATAAGGCAATTTTGGTTAGTTCAGTATTCATGTTTGTATTTGTATGACTGTGTAATCATAACAGAGACATGTAGTAAACTGCATTTTTTCTTTTTCTGTGCAACTCTTTGTTTTCTTGTAGTGTTCTGTTTATTTAACTTTCTCTGTATTTATCAGTTATTCATCCTTGAATGTTTCACCAGCCATCTAAATTTCCTCTTAGGACATTCAGGTGTATTGGTATTCTACCAGTGTCATTTTTCTGACGGTCTCTCCTGAAACCTTCAGTCCTATTCCCACTAGACTGGTTGCCCTTCAAAGTTGTCATTCCTGGGATCTCCAGTTCTGTCATCCCTGTATTCCTGTTGCTTCTCTCCCATGTTAGATCTCTTATTTCCTGTATCCCTTGTCTGTCTTTCGCTTGATTTATCCTTTTGTTCTGGTGGAACACAACCTGAGAAAGGGTACATAAGAGATAAATTTTGTGAGAAATTGCATGTGTAAAATGTCTTTATTTCACCCATAAACTCAAGTAATAATTTGGCTACATATAGATTGTGATGATGTTGTTGAGATATCTGAAGCCATTCTCATTCCTGATGCTTATTATGTGAAATATTTTATACTCTGAAAGTTTGTAAGGTAATTCGTTTGTCCCAGTGTTCTGAAACGATGATGTGCTTTGGCTTGTGTCCATTTTTATTCATTGTGTTAGGTACTAGGTGGGTCATTTCACTCAGACAACTCTTATCTTTCAGTTTTGAGGCATTTTCTTGAAATTTTAAAGTTTTCTTCCCTTAATTTTTTTCTTTTCTTCCTTCTTGGAGTTATTATTTTCTAGATGTTTGACTTCCTGGGAGATGCTATATCTGTCTCATTTTTTCTCTCCTACTTTCATCTTTTTTTTTCTTCATATTAAGTTCTTTTGTTGTAGAATACTGTAGTTCAGTGAGTTTTTACAAAGTCAACACTTCATGAAATAAAGCCCTAGATAAGAAAATACATTATCAGCACCCCAAAATTCCTTCTAGTCACTATCTCCCTTAAGGGTAACCCCTATCCTAACTTCTTTTAAACTTTATTTTGAGATCATTGTGGATTCACATGTAGTTGTTAGAAATAATAGAGCAATGTCCCATGTATCCTGTACCCCCTGACTTTTCCCCAGTGATAACATCTTGCAAAACTATAGCATAATAGCACCATTGACATTGAGGCAGTCAAGATACAGAACATTTCTCTCTGTCGCCACCAAGGTCCCTCATGTTGCCCTTGTATAGCCACCTCTACTTCCCTCCTGTCCCCACTCTCTAGTGAATTCCTGGCAATCACCTGTCTATCTCTATTTCAATGATGTTGTCATTTCAAGAATGTTATATGAATAGAATCATACAGTATGTAATGTTTTGAGATAGGATTTTTTCATTCTATAATTATCTGGAAATTTATCCAGTTTATTGCATGTATCAATCGTTTGCTCCTTTTTATTGCTGCATAATATCCCATAGTAAAGCTGTAGTACAATTTGTTTAATTAGTCCTTCCATCCTTTGAAGGGCTTTTGGGTTGTCTCCACTTTTTGGCTATTATGAAGAAAGCTGCTATAAACATTTATGCATGGGTTTCTGTGTGAAAATAAGTTTTCATTTATCTGGAATAAATTCCCAGAAGTGTAATTACTGGGTTTTATGGTAATCATGTATTTAGTTTTATTAGAAACTGCTAAACTGCTTTCTAGAGTGGTGTACCATTTTAAATCCCCACCCACAGTATATGAGTAATTTGGTAGTTGTGCCTCCTTATCAGAATTCAGTGTTATCCCTATTTTTATTTTAACCATTCTTATAGACGTGTAGTGATATAGCATCATGGTTTTAATTTACATTTCCCTAATCATTAATGATGTTGAACATCTTTTCATTTGTATCTATGCATTTATATATCCTGTCTATCCTCTTCAGTGAAATGTCCCTTCACGTTTTTTGTCCATTTTCTAATTGGATTGTTTGTTGAGTTTGGAGAATTCTTTACATATTCTAGAAACTAATCCTTCGCTGGATTTGTGGTTTCCAAGTATTTTCTCACAGTCTGTAGCTTGTGTTTTCATCCTCTTTGCAGAGTCTTTTAAAGAGCAAAAGTTTTAAATTTTAATGAAGTCTAACATTAGTTTTTCCTTTTATGGATCATGGTATCGGTGTCAAGTCTAAAAACTCTGCCTAGCACTAGAGGCTAAAGATTTTCTTCTTCTTTTTTTTTTTTTCTAAATGTTTTATAGTTTCAAATTGTATAGTTAATGATCCATTTTGAGTTAATATTTGTATAAGGTATAAGACTTAGTTTGAGGTTATTTATTTATTTTTTTTTCAGACAGAGTTTCACTCTTATTGCCCAGGCTGGAGTGCAATGGCTCTGTCTCGGCTCACTGCAACCTCCGCCTCCCAGGTTCAAGTGATTCTCCTGCCTCAGCCTCCCGAGTAGCTGGGATTACAGGCACATGACACCATGCCCAGCTAATTTTGTATTTTTAGTAGAGATGGGGTTTCTCCATGTTGGTCAGGATGGTCTCGAACTCCTGACCTCAGGTGATCCGTCCACCTCGGCCACCAAAGTGCTGGGATTACAGGCGTGAGCCACTGCGCCTGGCCGAGTTTCATTATTTTTGCCCATGGATGTCTAATTACCTCAGCACCATTTGTTGAAAGGTTACCTTTCCACCATTGAATTTTTTTTGCATCTTTGTTAAAAAACAGTTGGGCATATTTGGGTGGATTTGTTCTGGGTTCTGTATTCTGTTACATTGATCTATGTGTCTGTCCTTCTGCTAATACCACACGGTCTTAATGCACAGCTATATGATCTTTTTCAAAACTGCTTTAGCTATTCGTTTCTTTCCTTTTCTGTATAAATTTTAAAATCTTGTCTATATCTACAAAAATATGTTGCTGAGATTTTGATAGGAGTTGTGTTAAACCTGTATATCAATTTGAGGAGAATTGAAATTCATAAACATGGATCCATTTATTTAGCTCTTTGATTTCTTTCATCAGCATTTTATGGTTTTCAGCATAAGGCCTTGTACACATTTTTTAAATTTATACCCAAGTGTTTCTTTTTTAAGCAGCTGTAAATGGTATTATAATTTTGGTGTCCATGTGTTCATTGCTAGTATACAGAAATACAATTAATTATTGTATGCTTATCTTGTATCCTGTGAACTTGCTGAACTCACTTATTAGTTCTAGAAGTTTATTTATAGGTTTCTTGGGATTTTCTACCTAGTCATGTTAACTGCAAATAGGGACAGTTTCTTTGTTTTTGATCTGTATGTCTTTTGTTTTCTTTTATTTCCTATTGCACTGGTGAGAACTTCCAGCATTGTGTTGCATAAGAATGATGAGAACAGACAGTCTTGCCTTGTTCCCTATCTTAGAGAAAAAGCATTCAGTCTTTCACCATTAAGTGCAGTGTTACCCATGGGTTTCCGTAGGTGATCTTTATCAAATTGAGAACATTCCCCTCTGTTCTTAGTTTTCTGAGACTTTTACCTCAGAACCTATTTTCTGAGACTTTTTCAAATGTTTATTTTATCAAGTGTTTTTCTGCATTGATTGGTAAGCTGAAGTAATTTTTCTTTTTTAGCTTATTAACATGGTAGATTGAATTGACTGACTTTGAAATATTGCATCAGCCTTGTATTTTTGGAATCAACCACACTTTGTCATGTTGTATAATTCTTTTTATATGTTGCTAAATTCTCTTTTCTAATATTTTCTTAAGGGTTCTTGTATCTAGATTTACCAGGGATATTAGTAGTTTTCTGTTTTTTTGGACAGTCTTTTTTTCTGGATATAGCATTCTGCATTGACAATTCTTTTCTTTTAGCACTTAAAAAAAATTGTGCCACTTCCAGTGTCCATGGTTTCTCAGAAATCTGCTATCATTTCAATTGTTTTTCTCCCATTGGTAAGTTGTTTCTCTCTGCTTTCAAAATTTTTTTCCTTGCCTTTAGTTTTTAGAAGTTTGACTGATGAGTTTTGGTGTGGGCATTTTGTTTTAGTTTTATCCTGTTGGGATTGCTCAGCTTCTGGAATCTGTAGGTTTATGTCTTTTGCCAATTTGAGAAGTTTTTAGCCTTTACTTCTTTGACAACTTTTTCACTCCCTTTTTTTCTCCTCACCTTCCAGGACTATGATGACATGAACATTAGATCTTTAGTTACAGTCCCATAGGTCCTTAAGGCTCTTTCACTTTATTTTCTCTCTGTTCAGATTGTGTAATTCCTATTGTTCTGTATCCCAATTCACTCATTAATCCCTCTGTCCCCTTTATTCTGCTTTATTAAGTGTATCCATTAAGATTTATTTTTGTGGTTGTATTTTCCAGTTATAAGTTTTCCATTTTTTCTTCCATTTCTTTGCTGAGACTTTCTGTTTTTTTTGTTTTGTTTCAAGCATGTTTATAATTGCCTATCTAAGCATTTTTAGGATGGCTTTTTAAAAATATTTTAAATTCAGGGGGTACAATGCATGTTTGTTACATGGGTATATTGTGTAGTTGTGGGGATTGGGCTTCTGCTGTACCCATCACCCAAATATTGAACATTGTACACAACAGGTAACTTTTCAGCCCTCATCCCCCTCCCATTCTCCCCACTTTTGGAGTCCCCAGTGTCTATTATTTCCAAATGATGGTTGTTTTCAAAATGGTTGTCATTCCTGTCATCTCAATGTTGGCATCCATTGATTGCCTTTCTCCATTCAGTTTGAGATCTTCCTGGTTCTTGGTGTGACGAATGATTTTTTATTGAAAGCAAGATGTTTTGGGTATTATTTTATGAGACTGTGGATCTTATTTAGACCTTCTGCTTTAGCTGACTTTTTCTGAAACTGCTCTGGCAAGAGAAGGGAGGATGCTGCTTTATTACTGCCAGCTGGAGGTAGAAGTCCAAGTTCCTCACTCAGCCTCTTTGGATACCTGAAGGTGAAAGACTTTTCATTACTGTGAAGTGGAGATGGGCATTTCAGCTCCCCAGTAGGCCTCCTCACATGGCCTTCAGTGACACCCATTGAGAGTGAGGGGTGGACCTCCTTACTGCTGGCCAGTGGTGAAAGTCCTGATTCTCTACTGTAACTCCTGACATCACCCCAGTGGGGAAAGGTAAGGGTGCCTTGTTACCAACAGGTGGGTTGGCAGTCCAGGCTTCCCATGTAATCTCCACTGATACTGTGGCCTCATTACTGCCTAGCAGGGATGAAAGTCCTTGCTCCTTTATCTTCTCTGATCCCACCTTAGTTGAGGGGTTGGGGGTTCCCCATTATAGCTTGGTGAGGGCAGAATTGTAGGCTCCCTGCTCAGCCTTTGATGGTGTGGGCAGGAGTGGGAATAGGGTTATGATCATTTTTTCTGTGGTATTTGGCTGCAGTCGAAGTTATTATCTAAAGTTCTGTGTCTTTCTAGACTGCCCCTTTCCTGGTTCATTAGATAGCAAGCAGGCACTTGTTAGGGCTTTTTGTTTGCACCTATCTTCACCCATCAGTATTTCTTGGTTCTTCAGCTCCACTCATACTTGTGTTGTTCCTTGGGTACCAAGGTCCATAGCTGGTCTGCCTTTTTTTGTCTATCTTTCAGAGTCTTCTATGTTTACTTTATATATTATTGTCTAGGGTTTTTAGTTGTACTTAGCAGAAGTGATAGAGAAAATTGTGTCTACTCCATCTTCTTGGAAAAGAAGTCTACCACTTTTTTTTTTTCTTTTTTTTTGAGACAGAGTTTCACTCTTGTCACCCAGGCTAGAGTGCAATGGCACAATCTTGGCTCACTGCAATCCCCACCTCCTGGGTTCAAGCGATTCTCCTGTCTCAGCCTCCTGAGTAGCTGGGCTTACAGGTGCCTGCCACCATGCCCAGCTAATTTTTGTATTTTTAGTAGAGATGGGGTTTCACCACGTTGATCAGACTGGTCTCGAACTCCTGACCTCAGGTGATCCACTTGCCTCAGCCTCCCAAAGTGCTGGGATTACAGGCGTGAGCCACTGTGCCCTGCCATGTCTACCACTTTTAATACCATAACTTAGTTTTGCCTGTTTATTATTTTTCCATAAGTGGAATCATGTGTTCAGTGATCTTTTGTTTCCTGCTTCTCTTAGTCCATATTATGTTTGTGAGATTCATCCTTGTCACTGCATGTAGTTGTAGTTTGTTCATTTTTACTGTTGCACAGTATTTCTTTGGATGGAAATACTACAATTTATGTATCTGCTGTAGACAGGTTGCTCCCAGTTTTGAGCCATTAAAATTATTCTGCAGTGAACATGTTTATAGATGTCTTTCGGTGAATATACATATCTTTTGGTTGTCATAGGGTCTTACACTCAGGATTAGTAGCTATTCCCAGTTTTTAAAGTAGTGTATCAATTTACAGTCCCACCAGCAATCTATGAGAGTTCTAGTTGCTCCACATCCTCATCAACATTTGATATTACAGGTTGAGCATCCCTTATTTAAAATGCTTGGGACCAGGAGTATTTTGGATTTAGAATTTTTTCAAATTTTAGAATATTTGTTTTATACTTACCTGTTCAGCCTTCTAAATCCAAAAATCAAAAATGCTACAATGTGCATCTCCTTTGAGTATCATGTTGGCACTCAAACATTTAGAGATGCTTGCTTATTTATTTATTTATTTATTTATTTATTTATTTATTGAGACAGAGTTGCACTCTTTCACCCATGCTGGAGGGCAGTGGTGCTATCTCAGCTCACTGCAACCCTGCTTCCTGGGTTCAAGTGATTCTCCTGCCTCAGCCCCCCGAGTAGCTGGGATTACAGGCATCTGCCACCATGCCTGGCTAATTTTTTTAGTTTTAATAGAGATGGGGTTTTGCCACATTGGCCAGGCTGGTCTTAAACTCCTGGCTTCAAGTGATCCACCTCCCTCGGCCTCTCAAAGTGCTGGGATTACAGGTGTGAGCCACCATGCCCAGCCTCAATCTTTTTTATTTCAGCCATTTTTAGAGTATGTTACATTATTGTATTCTGGTTTTAATGCTTTCACTGGCGATTAATCAAGTTGATCATCTTTTTACATATTTATTGGCCATTTGTATAGGCTCTTTTGTGAGGTGCCTATTCAAGCTTTTTGCTTATTTTTCCTATTGGGTTACCTGATATTTTCCTACTGATTTTTTTCTATTGATTTTAAAGAATAAATTTTTATATATCTGTATAATTCTTTTGTTACGTGTGTGTGTGTGTGTGTGTGTATACATATATCACCAAAATATCTTCTCTCACTCTTTGACTTGCCATTTCAATCTTTAATGGTAGCTTATGAACAGAAATTCTTTTTTTTTTTTTGAGATGGAGTCTCACTCTGTCGCCCAGCCTGGAGTACAGTGGTGCAATCTCGGCTCACTGCAACCTCCGTCTCCTGGGTTCAAGCGATTCTCCTGCCTCAGCCTCCCAAGCAGCTGGGATTACAGGCACCCACCACCATGCCCAGCTAATTTTTGTATTTTTTTAGTAAAGACGGGGTTTCATCATGTTGGCCAGCCTGGTTTCGAACTCTTGATCTCAGGTGATCCTCCCAAAGTGCTAGGATTACAGGTATGAGCTACTGCACCTAGCCAGAAATTCTTAATTTTAATGTAGTTCAATTATTTTTTCTTCTTTAATGTTTAATATACTCTGTGTCTTATTTAGTAAATATTTTCCTATCTATAAATCTTTAAGATATTTTTCTATGTTTTCTTCTAAAAGCTATGTTATTTAATCTTTGACTTTTAAACCTATAATCTACCTGGAATTCATTTTTGTATATGATGTCAGATACATATATCTGTGTATTGTTGCTCTTGTTCTTTTTTTTTCTTTATTATACTTTAAGTTCTAGGGTACATGTGTACAATGTGCAGATTTGATACATATGTATACATGTGCCATGTTGGTGTGCTGCACCCATTAACTCGTCATTTACATTAGGTATATCTCCTAATGCTATCCCTCCCCCAGCTCCCCACCCCCCAACAGGCCCCAGTGTGTGATGTTCCCTGCCCTATGTCCAAGTGTTCTCATTGTTCAATTTCCACCTATAAGTGAGAACATGTGGTGTTTGGTTTTCTGTCCTTGTGTCAGTTTGCTGAGAATGATGGTTTCCAGCTTCATCCATGTCCCTGCAAAGGACATGAACGCATCCTTTTTATGGCTGCATAGTCCTCATTCTTTTTTTTTTTTTTTTAATTGATCATTCTTGGGTGTTTCTCGCAGAGGGGGATTTGGCAGGGTCATAGGATAGTAGTGGAGGGAAGGTCAGCAGATAAACAAGTGAACAAAGATCTCTGGTTTTCCTAGGCAGAGGACCCTGCGGCCTTCCGCAGTGTTTGTGTCCCTGGGTACTTGAGATTAGGGAGTGGTGATGACTCTTAAGGAGCATGCTGCCTTCAAGCATCTGTTTAACAAAGCACATCTTGCACCGCCCTTAATCCATTTAACCCTGAGTGGACACAGCACATGTTTCAGAGAGCACAGGGTTGGGGGTAAGGTCACAGATCAACAGGATCCCAAGGCAGAAGAATTTTTCTTAGTACAGAACAAAATGAAAAGTCTCCCATGTCTGCTTCTTTCTACACAGACACAGCAACCATCCGATTTCTCAATCTTTTCCCCACCTTTCCCCCTTTTCTATTCCACAAAACCGCCATTGTCATCATGGCCCGTTCTCAATGAGCTGTTGGGTACACTTCCCAGACGGGGTGGTGGCCAGGCAGAGGGGCTCCTCACTTCCCAGAAGGGGCGGCCGGGCGGGCAGAGGCGCCCCCCCCACCTCCCTCCCGGACGGGGCGGCCGGCCGGGCGGGGGCTGACCCCCCACCTCCCTCCCGGACGGGGCGGCTGCCGGGCGGAGACGCTCCTCACTTCCCAGATGGGGTGGCTGCCGGGCGGAGGGGCTCCTCACTTCTCAGACGGGGCGGCTGCTGGGTGAAGGGGCTCCTCACTTCTCAGATGGGGCAGCTGGGCAGAGACGCTCCTCACCTCCCAGACGGGGTCGCGGCCGGGCAGAGGCGCTCCTCACCTCCCAGACGGGGTCGCAGCCGGGCAGAGGCGCTCCTCACATCCCAGACAGGGCGGCGGGGCAGAGGCGCTCCCCACATCTCAGACGATGGGCAGCCAGGCAGAGACGCTCCTCACTTCCCAGATGGGATGGTGGCCGGGAAGAGGCGCTCCTCACTTCCCAGACTGGGCAGCCAGGCAGAGGGGCTCCTCACCTCCCAGAGGATGGGCGGCCAGGCAGAGACGCTCCTCACTTCCCAGACGGGGTGGCGGCCGGGCAGAGGCTGCAATCTCGGCACTTTGGGAGGCCAAGGCAGGCAGCTGGGAGGTGGAGGTTGTAGCGAGCCGAGATCACCCCACTGCACTCCAGCCTGGGCACCATTGATCACTGAGTGAACGAGACTCCGTCTGCAATCCCGGCACCTCTGGAGGCCGAGGCTGGCGGATCACTCGCGATTAGGAGCTGGAGACTAGCCCGGCCAACACAGCGAAACCCCGTCTCCACCAAAAAAATACGAAAACCAGTCAGGTGTGGCGGCGCGCGCCTGCAATCGCAGGCACTTGGCAGGCTGAGGCAGGGGAATCAGGCAGGGAGGTTGCAGTGAGCCGAGATGGCAGCAGTACAGTCCAGCTTCGGCTCAGCATCAGGGAGACCGTGGAAAGAGAGGGAGAGGGAGACTGTGGGGAGAGGGAGGGAGAGGGAGAGGGAGAGGGAGCATGAGCATCTTGTTCTTTATTTTCCTAAGAAATTGCCTTAAATTTTTCTTTCATATCATCTCAATTTTTCATTTATGCTATAATACTTATAAATTCCAGAGCTTTTTATTCAAGTATTCCTTTTATCTGTCCATCCTTTTTCTTTAAAAATATACATTATTCTGGTATTGTTTCATAGTTGCATAATCTTCTCTTATTTCTGAAGATAATCATATATTCAAAAGTATTTTCCTTTTTACTTGGCTTCTGATTTCTCTGGACTGATAGTGTTTCCTGTTTTGGTTCTGTTTTTCATGTAACAGACTTTCCTCAAATGTCTTATAATCCTTGGTAATTACTCATATTTAGTGGAAGGTCTTGATAACTCTGAGTTCCTGTGTAGGGTCATTGGGTTGTGTTGTTTAGTTGGAGAGGTTTCAATATAAGCATCTAGAAGTCATTCCTCTTAGGCTAACCAGATTTTCTAGAGAAGAGGCTTTAACTTTCCTGCCTAGAGGATGGAAGTCTTGCCAGCCTCTGGGAACCTCCTGAAGAAAGTGGGATGGGGAAAGGGGCCAAGGCTCAGAATCCAGGATGTGTATGTTCACTTGATGCCCTGCTTTCAGCATGGCACCGTTTACAACTCTGCTTGGTGCTCTATGGCCAGAAAACCTCTGTGTTTCTTGTTTGTTTTTGTTTTTTGAGACAGAGTCTTGCTCCGTCACCCAGGCTGGAGAATGCAGTGGCGTGATCTCGGCTCTCTGCAACCTCCGGCTCCTGGGTTCAAGTGATTCTCTTGCCTCAGCCTCTAAAGTAGCTGAGATTACAGGCACCTGCCACCATGCCTGGCTAATTTTTGTATTTTTAGTAGAGACAGGGTTTTGCCAAGTTGGCCAGGCTGCTCTTGAACTCCTGACCTCAAATGATCCACCCACCTCAACCTCCTAAAGTGCTTGAATTACAGGCGTGAGCCACCGCACCTGGCCAAAATCTCTGTGTTTTACTTTCCAGAGGAAAATAACCTGCATTTGTTTGGGGTTTAGACTTTCAGTCAGCTCTATTTGAGCACCTCCCCAACCCCTGCCACCCCCGCCCCCCAACACACACACACTCTCTCTCTCTCTCTCTTTCACTCACTTACTCACACATACACTCTTTCTCTTACTTGCATATAAATCTAATATAGCTAACTCATGAGCCTTTCAGGGATTCCGAGTAGTAAATTTTATTAGTTCTTGGCTTTCCCTATAATCAACCAAGGTTTTAGTTTTCTCAGATCTACCAAGTCTTTTACCAATTGTTTACTTTCTGCTTTCCGTAATTTTATTTTATTGCTATTATGTGCCCTTTAATCTTTCTAGCTTGAATTATGACTTTTACAGTGTGTGTGTATGTTTGGGTGTGTGTGTGTTTATTGTCATTTTAGTGGGTTCAGGGAAGGATTCAAACTACATGTGTTTAATCTGCTCTCTTTACCCAGAAGTATCACATAATTTTATACATTTGAAACACAAGAAATGTTTCTTTGAATTTTGAGCTCAGGAATTAAATTAATTTAGAAAATAGATTTGAGGGCAAATTATTTTTTCTTTTCAGATGATGAAATGGAATTGGAGCCGCTGAGCTGGATAGGTGAAGGCACTAATGATGAAGGAAAAATAGGTATAGAACATTAAAGAAAGTCATGTATAGCTAAGCAGCAAAAGATTGGATTTTGCTTAACCTTCACATTTTCTAGGAGGAAAAAAATGTTTTTCTTTCACTATTAAGAAAAACCTGATTTGGAAACTAAATAGAGGTGGTGGCCATATACATTGTGAATATAGTAAATTACCGCTGAATTGTTCACTTTCAAAATGGTTAATTTTGTGTTATGTGAATTTCACTTCAGTTAAATTTTTTTTAACCTAAAAAACCGACATGAACATTTTCAAAGCTTACAGCTACATTGACATCTGGCTTTTGGGGATAACAGATAAATTGACTCCTTACACAGGTCTCCTTAAGTTGTGTTCCATTGTCTACCTAGGAGCTTTGTAGAGATTAAAAAATGCTTACAAGTATAATTTTAGAAGGTTTTTCAGAATGTTATTCATTTTGGGAAAACAAAGAGCAAGATCTATTCCAAGGGGTAGCAAGTGAAACTGATATTTTTCTCTAGTAAAGAAAGTGAAAGGAGGCAGGGTGCAGTGGTTCACGCCTGTAATCCCAGCACTTTGGGAGGCTGAGGCAAGAGGATCACTTGAGCCCAGGAGTTGGAGAACGGCCTGGGCAACATGGCAAAAACCCCATCTCTACAAAAATTAGTTGGGCATGGTGGCACACGTCTGTAGTCCTAGCTACTTAGGAGACTGAGGTGGAAGGATTGCTTGAGACTGGGAGGTTGAGGCTGCAGTGCCATAATTACACCACTGCACTCCAGCCTGGGTGACAGAGTAAGACCCTGTCTCTCAAAAAAAAAAAAAGAAAAAAAAGAAAAGAAGGTGAAAGGAATTAACACATATTTAATGTATATACTTCCTACCATCAGAATCTGTTCATTGGAACAACATAATTCTTGATGCACACAAGACCTTTTGACACTTTAATCATTCAATCTTTAATAGAAGAAAGGGAAATTCTGATGGGATGCTG
The DNA here is from genome assembly GCF_000001405.40 of Homo sapiens. Classification (NCBI taxonomy): domain Eukaryota; kingdom Metazoa; phylum Chordata; class Mammalia; order Primates; family Hominidae; genus Homo; species Homo sapiens. Next base: position 190,434,365 of record NC_000002.12, read on the forward strand.
GCACAGTTCCTATAAATTTATATAAATGTATATTGCTAATATCGTATATGAAAAACATTTATTTATTTTATTTTATTTATTTATTTTTTTGAGACGGAGTCTCGCTCTGTTGCCAGGCTGGAGTGCAGTGGCGCAATCTCAGCTCACTGCAACCTCCGCCTCCTGGGTTCGAGCAATTTGCCTGCCTCAGCTTCCCAAGTAGCTGGGACTACATGCGTGCCACCAGGCCCAGCTAATTCTTGTACTTTTAGTAGAAACGGGGTTTCACCATGTTGGCCAGGATGGTCTCAATCTCCTGAACTCATGATCCGCCCCCCTCAGCCTCCCAAAGTGCTGGGATTACAGGTGTGAGCCACCGCGCCCGGCCAAAACACTGTTTTTCAAAAAAGTTTACTGGCATCTTATCTAAAATGTGTTATTTTTCAGTTTAGTGTGTCTTAGAGCAGGGTTCCCCAACCCCTGGACCATGGACCGCTACCACTCTGTGGCCTGTTAGGAATTGGGCTGCACAGCAAGAGCGGGCCAGCAAGCATTATCACATGAGCTCTTCCTCCTGTCAGATCAGCAGAGGTATTAGATTTGCATAGGAGCATGAACGCTATTGTGAACTGTGCATGCGAGGGATGTAGGTTGTGTGCTCCTTATGAGAACCTAAGAATTACCCTGATGATCTGAAGTGGAGCAGTTCATCCCAAAACCAACCCCCCTCTCCATCTGAGGAAAAATTATCTTCCATGAAACCAGTCCCTGGTGCCAAAATGGTTGGGGACTACCATCGTAGAGAGCATGTGTCCTGAAGCCATAATGTCAGGGTTCAAATCCTGGCACTGCCTCTTATTAGTTAAACCTGCCATGCCTCATTCTTCTCATCTGTAAAATGGACAAGATAATAGGGCTATTGTGATGAATATGAATGAATACATGTAAAGATCTTTTAATCTTATCTGATACAGAGTGCTAAATAAGTATTATCTGCTCTTTTTTCTTGCCATTTTCTTAAACTGCTATCTATAAAGCACATCTGGAGGACTGTACATAATATATGCAATGTGAAGACTCCTTCATTACCAGGGTATCTTTGTCATGGCTCCAGTGAGCACTATAGTTGCAACAATGCCATCGGCTTCCTCTTTCTCATTACATTTGTGGTTGTGGTTAAGTGCAACCTATTTTTCCTTAGAAACAGAATGGTTTTGCTACCTTTATTTTCTAAAGAATCCTAGACTTCATAATGTAGTGGATTTGTTTGAACAGTAAAATCAAGAAACTATAAACAGTGTTTATTTTCAACTCTCTGTGTTTGGTTTAGACATAATCCCTATTATTTGTACATTTTCCCTGGGAATCAATGAAAAGACTGGGAATGAATCTGAGCTGTAAACCTGCCATTGGAAGATGTAATTAGTCAGTCAGTGGCCATAAAGAGTATTCGATTTTTTTAAAAGCTATTTTTCCTTACCGGTATTGTGTGGCTGCAAGTGATAAATGATGAGAATTCTCTCTTGCAATTATTATTTTAGTTTGTAACTGCTTAATTTCCTGCAAGATGAAGTTCTGTGTTTACATGTTATGATTTTCATTACTAAGCCATCTTTTAAATTTTACTTTACAGATCAACAGTACAAATTCTGAAGTTTGTAAACTTGCTGATGGTGGTGGTAAGCCATGGCAGATGATAAAGTTGCTATCTTAACGGATGATGAAGAGGAACAGAAGAGAAAGTATGTGCTTGCAGATCCCTTTAATGGTATTTCCAGGGAACCAGAACCACCTTCGAATGAAACACCTTCCTCCACAGAAACATCTGCTATTCCTGAGGAGGAAATAGACTGGATAGAGAAACATTGTGTTAAGATAAACAACGATCTTCTAATTTCCAAGGTCTTTTATTTTTTCTTTTACTCTGCCTATGGCTCTCTCTATCCCCTTTTGCCTGTGTATTACAAACAGCTGGGAATGTCTCCAAGCCAGAGTGGACTACTAGTAGGTATTCGTTACTTCATTGAATTCTGCAGTGCCCCCTTTTGGGGTGTAGTTGCAGACCGCTTTAAAAAAGGCAAAATTGTCCTCCTCTTTTCTCTTTTGTGTTGGGTTTTATTCAACCTGGGCATTGGATTTGTCAAACCTGCTACCTTGAGATGTGTACCAAAGATTCGCCCAACAACTCACCCCACCAATGCAAGTCACCAGTTAACTATCCTGCCAACAAATTCTTCCTTTACCTCTTTCCTCACCATATCACCAAAAATGCGTGAGAAAAGAAACCTTTTGGAAACAAGGCTCAATGTCTCAGACACCGTTACTTTGCCAACAGCTCCAAACATGAACAGTGAACCCACTCTGCAGCCCCAGACAGGTGAAATTACTAACCGTATGATGGACTTGACTTTGAACTCAAGCACAGCAACCCCTGTCTCCCCAGGAAGCGTAACCAAGGAGACAACCACTGTTATTGTTACCACCACCAAATCTTTACCTTCTGACCAAGTCATGCTTGTTTATGATCAACAAGAAGTTGAAGCTATATTCTTGGTGATCTTGGTAGTTGTCATAATAGGAGAATTTTTCAGTGCCTCTTCTGTCACAATCGTAGACACGGTCACACTCCAGTATCTGGGAAAACACAGAGATCGCTATGGGTTGCAGCGCATGTGGGGCTCCCTGGGCTGGGGCCTGGCGATGCTGTCTGTGGGCATCGGGATCGACTACACCCACATCGAAGTGCTCATCGATGGAAAGGGGTGTAAGCCCCCCGAGTACAGGAATTACCAGATCGTCTTCATCGTCTTCGGCGTTCTCATGACCATGGCCTTGATCGTTGCCACTCAGTTCCGGTTCCGCTACAACCATTTCAAAAACGATGATTCTAAAGGGAAAGAGGTGGAGATCCCGCAGGTGGAAAGGAACAACTCTACAGAGTCCTCTGAGGAGACACCAACCACCACAAGCCACTCGCAGGCCTTCAACTTTTGGGACTTAATCAAGCTGCTCTGCAGCGTGCAGTATGGCTCAGTGCTGTTTGTGGCTTGGTTCATGGGTTTTGGATATGGCTTCGTGTTCACCTTTCTCTACTGGCATTTGGAAGACCTCAATGGAACTACAACCCTCTTTGGGGTCTGTTCAGTCCTGAGTCATGTGTCTGAGCTGACAGCATATTTTTTTAGTCACAAGCTTATTGAATTGATCGGCCACATCAGGTAAGAACATGCTTACGATTGCTGCCCCTCAGCAATTGAACTTTATCTTTTTATGGTTTATAGCTCCTTCTACTACAATTTTAAGGTATTATAATTTGTGTTGAGGATAGGGTTGGAGTGGAAATGGGGATTTCTGTTTCTTTTCCTCCTTAAAATAGAAACAAAGGAAAGGAAGTCATGAACCTGGTTGGATTATCTCAAATAAACAAAGAATGGCTTCCTCTGCTCTCCCACCCCACAGAAAAGACCTATAGGCTACCTAGCTGTGTGCTAAGAGACTCTCACAGTACATGTTTTCAGGTATAGGAACACCAGCTTAGTGAACATATTATTCCATGGAGGGTCCACCTGTCCTAGGCATTTATGAACCAGAGCTTAAGTAGATAAAGTGGACTTTTTTAAGCCTTTATTCTCAGCCACTTGCTGACATAGATAGAGCCTGAATATATGGCATCTAAAGATGTCCATTATATCTAATAAGACTGTGATGTAACCCACCGTAATCCCTAATTCCATGATATTACATGGATGAGGTTCTTAAGTATTTTTTTTGGGTTATTACATGACTCCCTGCATTTCTGTCCACCATGAAGACATAGGATATTTGAAAATCTTTCTTCCACCTAAAATTTCCCATGTAATTCTTTTAGTTATAAAAAAAAAAATCTATAGGCTGGGCACAGTGGCTCACACCTGCTAATCCCAGCACTTTGAGAGGCCGAGGCAGGTGGATCACTTGAGGTCAGGAGTTCGAGACCAGCCTGGCCAACATGGTGAAACCCCATCTCTACTAAAAATACAAAAGTTAGCCGGGCATGGTGGCACGCACCCGTAGTCCCAGCTACTCGGGAGGCTGACGCACAAGAATCACTTGAACCCAGGAGGCAGAGGTTGCAGTGAGTCAAGATCACACCACTGCACACCAGCCTGGGCAACAGAGTGAGACTCCATCTAAAAAAAGAGAACACCCTGTAAGTGCCTAGTGTTTCTTGTTGTGTACTATTTCTTCTCACCATTAATGTGCACCTTGCTCTTTAGAGATCTTTCTGCTCTGTTGGCTCTAAATGTGGAGCCAACTCCACTTAAGCATTCTTGCCTTACAGAAAAGTACGACATGTCTGTTCCTAAAATGTGAAGTTGCTGTAACTAAAAGCAACCGTATGTGTTTGTGTGTATTTAAATCTGCTATTTCTATAAGAAATTAAAGAGGAGAAATAGACAATGACAAGATTTGACAATCCTTTATTTCCTTTCTATTAACTGAAGAAAATATTTTCTAATTTAAAGTTTCAACCTAGTATCAACCATTTCTTTAAGCAATTGTGAGTATTTTTTCTTGTTGGTTTGGTTTTGCTTCGGGAGGTGGTGTTCTGTTCCTTCCCTTTCTCAGATCTTCGATCCCTTTGTTGTCACCACCAAAGTCAGGGACTGTGTGGATATTTCCTGGACCCACAGAACCCCTGAGGCACATTTTGTAAGACCATTCTGAAAGAGAGCCCACATAATATTAAGGACTCGGAATGCCCTTTAATTTTGTCCACACCATGTTTAGATTATCTGAGCTGTTTAAATTGACCGAGATGAATCAGATGCCTCCCTTCAGCTTGGGCAGATGAGCAAATCTCACTGCAGTTAATAATGTCTTTAAAATCACTGTTATTCATTCCCAGAAAGGTACCCAGTTAGGTCTTACCAATGCGTGGAGTTCTTAGACATCATTATTTAATAAGTCAATAGCATGAGTTGAACACTGACTCAGTACAGAGTATGTGTTTAGGTTCTATTTTCTTTTTTTTCACGTTTTATTTGTTTATTTTTTTATTATACTTTAAGTTTTAGGGTACACGTGCACAACGTGCAGATTTGTTGCATGTGTATAGATAGGTTCTATTTTCAAAGGAATTGTTAGGTTATTTCCACATGCTAAGAAAAGATGGTTCTCTTCTACCTTTGCCTTTTGTCTGAGACATATGCAGCATTTTCATGATAAAATCCTAGTGGGTTTACTACTCCTTTGGTAAGCTTAGACTTGTGTGTTTCTTTCCTGTGTAGTATTAGTTACTCATCATTTCAAAATTCACTTAACCTTAATTTTCTGGTTTTTACGGACAAAAAGCATCTTCCATTTCTTGTTTAATAATGTGATGGAAGAAGATGGCTGTTATGGTCATATTGCTCCCAAGAGTCTGTGGGAATTCCATCAGTATGTGGTCATTTACCTGTTTTGAATTTTCATTCTGTCCATTAAAATGTATTAATTATTTCAAGTGCTTTTAAAAGAGTCTGATAGCTAAAATGAGAATATGTCCACATACTTAGGTAGAATGGATCTGTTCCTTTTAGTGATAATTTTGGGAGCTCAGTCAGGTGGTATTGGTTGTGATTTGGGGATTTAAACTTTCCACTGGAAGAATACCATTCATTAAGTAGTTGGTGAAGAGAAATGATCTCTGAATTATGAGCCTTGATGTGTTGCTTGTAGGATCACAGAAGTAGATCTGCCCATGGCCTTTATGCATGCATGTATATTATTTCAGTACTTTGTGGTTGTCCTGTTGGAAGTTTGTTTTTAGGAGTTGGCACTACCATATATTTGTGGAGATTCACAAATTCTTCATCTAGAGTAATAATAAGAAAGATTCATACCAGAAAATAGTTTTTTAAAAATAGCATGTCCAGTTTTGAACTCAGTATTTTAACAGTTTCACAATATACAACCAGTTTCTCAGGGACTGACCTGTCAGTCTAAACACACACACATAGAGTATCTGATTTCTGATTTTGACCTTGGATTTTGTCCTTCTCTGGAAGGTGACTTTCTCAGGCAAATAGGATAATAATGCTAAATATTTCCACTTTTAAAAATAAATTTCTTTTGATCCAAAATCATAAGACTTTGGAATTTACAGCAAGTATATTTTTAGGCTATAAATGATTAACAGGATATAAATGTATCTTAAGGTATCTTCACATTGCTTAACATTTTAGCAGCTATGAGTAGGATTATAATCAAAATACATTGCAGTAAATCATTTGTAAATTTGTAAATCATTACTTTCCAATGTTAGGCCATCCCCTATGTTATTTGATTTAAATTTATTTACATTTTAAGGGACACAGAAAAATCTATTCAATCAATCTGTGACTTTGCCCTGAAATTCTTACACTCAAGGTCTGTTTTGCCATGCAAATATTATCCGGGGGGGTTACATTACCTATTATTAGCCATCAATTACTACTTAATATTAGCAAAATATACAAATGAACTAGCCAGTCAGTTTGGGAAAGAAGAAAATACCTGATGCAGCTAGTAAGAGGAGGAACACCAGGGTTTCCTGATGGGATGCTGCAGGATGAACCAGAACAGATAGCAAGATGCTGGGCTTCAGCACAGCCAAGGACACATGGGAGGTGGCACATGATAGTCTGGTCACTGGAGGAATAGCAGTAAGTATTATAAGAGGGAAGAAACTCTGCAGCCGGGTGTTCAATGTGAGCTGGCCACTGAAGGGTTTAAGGAAGATCATGCCTACTTTTTTTTCTCCTTCTTCTCATCATCTTATTTCTACCCATCTCTTTGTGCCATCTTTGCTGATCTTAGGCCCACAGGCTCTCAGATCCTCTCCTTGCCCCGTATGAAAGGGTGCTGATTTCTGTAGGCTATGTTTTCCAGGGTCTGTTCTCGTGTCTTCTACTTGGGTTCGGCTAATGTATTGGTTCTCAACTCACCAAGAGAGCTTTTAAAGCTCCTAATGCCCAGGTTGCACCCAGACCAATTACATCAGTCTTTCTAGGGGTGTACCGAGGCATTCAACGTTTTTACAGCTTCCTAGTTGATTCTAGTTTGTGCAGCCAAGGTTGAGAACCACCAGGCTAATGGGAGGCATAGGTAAGGGGAGGATTACAGGAAAGGAGGAGGGGCGGGGGTTGGGGGGAAAGCAGGGCATTTATATTTCTCTTTCCAGCTCATGCAGCATGTTTGTGTAAGATTTGGAGATGGTTCCCTCTAGTCCTCTCTCTGGCCTCTTGTAGTTTACTTATGTACATGTGCTGGTCAGTACTCAGCTGAAGACTCTAGGGAAGCTACAGATCTCTACAGTCCTCTCTCTCTGTAGCTTTCTCCACGTGGGTACTCTGTCCCGCTTCCCAGACTCTCAGCCTTGTCTCCTCAGCTCTAGAGACCTCTGTGAGCTGCTGCGTCTCACCTATGCCCCACCCACTGTGGGTGGCCCTGAGCTCCAACAACATTCTCTCCTCTCTTTATTCTTCTGCCCAAGGCCGTGGAGAGGCTGCCTGTGGTTCTCACAGTGGTCTGGCTTCCCAGCTTTTCTGTCACCTACCTAACCAAGTCCCTGAATTAAGTCAGATTGGTGCCTGCCTCTGATGAGATCCTGATCCACCACTCTTCACTACTTACAAAGACTCCTGATGGCAATTGATACTGTGAAGAAACAGAATACAAATAGAATAACTCAATTATTGATTAAAAAGCAAAAAGATGGTAGACCTTAAATAACTTTTTCCCCATTCTGATTCCTTAAGGGAGGATTAATTCTTCTTTAAAAATGGTTTTTACCACAATAAAAATGTTTTAAAAGATGACTTAATTCTCATAGTAAATTTGGAATTATGAATTCTACATGCTCTAGAGGACCAAGTATTATTCTATATTACTTAAAAATCAAAATCCTAGACATTTGTTCAATTTAGTTGAACAGTTATTTAGGCCCAAAGAGCCTCAGATTAGTAAGATGCAGGGGCTGAATACTAAAGGGAAGCGTGTTGGAAAAAACAGGAGAGACTGAGGCCAGATGGATGCTGGGATCAGTAACCTGAATTTCATCTGGAGGCAGTAGGTAGCCATAGCAAGGTTCAAAGCAGGGAGGACCATAGATTTTCATATGTTCCTCCCTGCTTTGAATGTTGCTATGCAGGGTAACTTTGAAGCCAGGAGCCCACTGAGAAGGTTCTTAAAATAGTCCAAGTAAGAGACGGTACAGGCCTGAACTGCAGCAGTAGCAACAGAAATTGAGGGAAGGAATAGATCTGGGAGGTAAAATTGACAGAATTATTTGGATGTGGAAGTGAGGTAGAGACCCCTACATTTCCAGCTTGGTATGGTAATTCCAAAAATCTAATAGGAAATTCAGAAAGGAGATGTAGAATGGGGTGGGGGTGTGATTGTTTGGTTTGAAATTGAAACATCTAGATGGGGATGTCTAGCAGGCAGTTGACACAATATTGTAAGTCTGAAGCTTATAGGAGAGGTTAGGACGGGATGCAGATTTGCAGCAGTGAAAATCGGGAATGTGGATAAGATCAACAAGGAAATCTTGTCGTCTAAGAAGAGAAATGGGCTGAGGAAAATCAATTATAATTGTCTCCAAGATAGTATTTCAAGTTTCTGATTTATTGAAATGTTGGTCTGTGCTTTATTGCTTAAAGTAAGTATCCTTATGCTTGAGAATATTTTGTGTTATATGGAACTGTCATTATGGTATTACCGTAACCTGTTTCTATATATTGTTTTAGCAGCAATGGACTTTCTGAGCACCCCCCAATATCATCACCTGAGCCAGGAACCCTCTGTGGGTGTTCCTAGGTGGGCCTAAGACATAAGCAAGGGAGAAAAAAAATAAAAGGAACAGGACTTTAAGGATTGTATGGTGGTTACGAGCAGAGGCTGAGTCAGATTGCCTGGCTCTGCAACTTGGAACTATATGGCCTTGGACAAGTTACAGAACTTTTTGCATCTCTGTATTGTTATCTATAAATAGGGATATTATTAGTACCTGCTTCTTAGGGTTTTTTATGAAGACTAGATGAGATAAAACATGGCAATTGCTTCAACAATGACCAGCATAGATTAGGAGTTCAGCTTATTTTACTTTTTTTCTGTCAGTCTGATATATTATGCTGTTTATAACTACAAGACCCATTGAAGTTGATAAAAATACAAGTTGACAGTACAATATCAGAAGTGTACAGATGATTAAACCTGCAAAGTCAAGATGTTTATGATTTTCAAAATAACTAACATTCCCCCTTAAACATCTTAGTCAAATTGAAATTTTTCTCCCCAAATTTCTGATGACCATAGATTTTCAAATGAAATGGAGTTATATCAAATTGGAAGTGCACTCCTGATACAGCCTTTATATAATAGAATCTTTTGCTCTTATAAACAAAGGTTGTCTTCTTAAAGATTAGTCTAGTCTGGGTGTGGCTCACACCTATAATCCCAGCACTTTGGGAGGCTGAGGCAGGAGGATGTCTTGAGCCCAGGAGTTCGAGATCAGCCTGGGCAACATGGTGAGACCTTGTCTCTACAAAAAATAACATTAGCTGGGCATGGTGTCACACGCCTGTAGTCCCAGTTACTTGGGAGCCTGAGCTGGGAGGATCTGTTGAGCCCAAAAGGAAGTCAAGGCTGCAGTGAGCTGTGATCACACCACTGCACTCCAGCCTGGGTGACAGAGCAAGACCCTGTTTCAAAAAAGAAAAGGAGAAAAAATGAGTAGTCTAATTAAGTTAATCAGTACTAGAAAATGAAGTACTTTTATACTTTCAATTTTGTAGGATATGTGTAAAAAAACTGTTGATTTGATGTCATCTGACTAGTTAATGAAATAAAAGGTAATAACTTTTCTTAGCACTGGTGAAATGAGACCTGTTTGGCCTGTGTTTTCTCTGCCAGAGCAGTACAAGTAATTGACTGTGGCTTTAAGCCCAGTGTATGAGTATTCTTGGTCATGGCCCAGTTTTTCACAGAGGTACGAAGATTCCATGTGGAATCCTGCCAGCCAACTTATAGGCACTGTAGAATATAGTTTAGCCACAACATCAGTTCTACTGTAATATCAGTGTCAGTTTTTAAAATGTGAAATAAATGAGTGCTCTGTAGCAGTGAAACAGGAGTTTACTCACAAGGTCTGAGGAAGGTGGATTGCAGATGTAAAGTGGCTGTGTGTTCTTTTCTTTTTAGTGTAGGGGAGATTTTATGGTTCCATCGAAGTCATCATTCTCCACAACTCAGTTTTGTGTTTTTTGTTTGTGTTTTTCATTTATTATATAAAAACCATGGCAAAGCACTAAAGAAAACAAACATAAAGCCACACTGTAACTCCTGAAATTGGATAATCAGTCCAACATTTCTACAGGGGTTAGAATTTATATCATCTTGTGTAACTTTATTGTTACAGTTTTGAAACTGAGTATTAGGGTGCTAAAACCATCCTCCATTTCATTCAGAAACAAGTGTTTCATAAAGATAATGTTTTGTGCCCTATTTTAAATTCCAATTATTTTATACAAAATCATAGTAAAAAGTGACGTTAATCTTTTTCCTTGTTTTTGCACTATGTATCTTGGTAAATTAACTGTAGCATACTGGGTAACAAATTTAGAGCTAGTGTAGTCCAGGCCTCTTATTTTACAGCCCACCTGAGGATACAAGCCTGAAGTCTTGCACCCTTCAGAGTAGGCCTTGGTGTTAAGTGAGGCCCTTTGAGTTGAACTGGCCTGGCTTCCATCCTGCTTGTGCTCCTTATTTAACTGGACAATCTTGGGCCTGCTGTGTGAGCTGAGTCTCAGTTTTATTCATCTGTAAATCTGGGGATACTTATCTCATATTAAAGAGAATTACAGGAGAATTGATGCAAAGCACTCAGAATGGAGTCAGGCAGATAGCAAAGATGCAAGAAGCAGTCGGAGATGCTGTCATTGTTAACTATCAGTGGTGGGGGGATTTGGTGGCATTTGAGTGTTAGTTCCATTTAACTCATCAGAGTATTTAAGAAAATGTAGAATCTAGCTCCTTCACATGCTAAAAGTAGGACTTAAATATGTTCTGTCTCCTTTTCCAGAGTACCTCTCTTTTTAAAAAGCCCCAATCACAAAAAAAAAAACCCCGACTATACCCTGTTTAAAGAACACGAATTTTTTTTTTCTGACTCTGCCAGCCTTTCTCAGTGAGGGCTCCTCAGAAACACAAAACATACAGAATGACTTGAGTGACCATTTCTTCAGTTCTCCCAAGGATGGCATATAACTACTACCATTCGGATACATAAAAGACAGAATAATTTATTTCATATGATGGTGGCTTTAGAACATAAGGTCTTTTTCCTCTCCTGGTACCTTGGTTTAAAAATTTCATTTGCAGAGTCAGTTGGAATTTTTTTAAAAAGTTAAGTGCTTCTCTTTTCATTAGAATACTTACTTTGAAATCAGATTCATAACGTGGTAATATGGAAAGAATAATGCTTCCTGTAATTGACTAATGGACAAAAAGAAGGTCATTTTTTTTCCTTTATCTTTAAGCTCTAAGGATTACAGAGCTGAGATTTAAAAACAGTTTTGTTTTTTATCGGGATAGGTGATTTGCCAAAGGAGATATAGCCTGTATTAAACTCTGGTACGAGGGGAAAAAAATACATTATCCTGCCTCCTCCTTGATCAATCAAAGGGCATGAATTTTAATATTTAAAAAATGTCTTTGTGAATTAAGCTTAAAAAATCCTACCCAAACAATAGCACTCTCCAAAAGTGAATGATTTTGCCACCATCAAATGATCTTCAGGATTCTCCCCTGTCTTGTGGTGAGGTTTAGTTTCCTAAGACCAAAATGAGATTAAGCCTTGCTGAACTTTATCTGAGTTTTAATAATCATAGAATTATTACAAACTCTGAAAGAGTTTGAGATTATAAGAGTATGCTGTTTTCACAACATAAAAGCCAGGTGGATGGACGCAGGGTGTATCCAAGGCTGCACAGTTTGGGAAGTTCCCCCAGATCTCTTCACTGCCTGCCAGAGTGTTCTGTCCGACAGAAAGGCACAGGCACTTTACTCTGCTAAATCCTATAGTTCCAACTGCTACAGCTCCCTAGCTTTTTGAAAAACCCAACTGAAAAGTAGTTTAAACTGGGAGAGCTATGTGTTAGCAGTAAAATCTGCCTAATAACTCACTGGGATCTGAGTTGGAAAAAAATTATCTGGCAGTGTCATGAAGTTTTTAAAATTTGGGGGATCAGAGAGAGGGAGGAACTAGGAAGGCACATTCATTTATAAAGAAGCTAATGAAACATGGACTACGAACTAGAAATTCCAAGTTGGCCAGAGATAGGGAATCTACAGTAGCTAGACATTTATGGATGTTCGTTCTGGGTCTGCTCAACCCAAAACTACATACTGGTGGGAATACAAGAGATGAATACTCGGTTCTGGTCTCCTTGCATTTATACCCTGGCTTTAAAGCTGAGCTTAAATGTCAACCTCCTTCAGAGCCATCTAAGACTGTACTGATTCTATTTTAGAACAGGCCAAATTTCAGGGGTGAGGGACTTAGGGATTCTGAGGATCTCTCCCAGTGCACTGCTCTGAAAATATGGTAGGCCTGGGCCAGCTGCTGGGACAGGTCACAAGCCATCACCACAAACATTTATCCAGAGAGTTCATGTTTAGCACAATCCTAAATGTTTCAGAGAAAACTAAAAATATGCAGTCTCTCTCTGATTCATAGGCTCAGTAAAAAAAAAAACTTGAAAGGATGTCTTGACACACAAAATATAAAAATATTAGCGCACTCAAGGTGTCTGACATGGAATTATTTTAACACAATGAGTATTAGAGAATGGAGCTAATTAGAGCTTTTCTAATCAGAGAACACAAAGTTAGTGATTTCAATTTTGTTTTGTTTTGTTTTGCTTTTAGCCAAAAGGACAGCTGGCAATGTTCTGTTAGACATGAGTGATTGAGCGAAACTGTGAGGTTAGGTCAGTGTGAGTCCATCACCAGTGGATTTCATTTTTAATTTTGTGCCAACTAGAGAGCTTTGGATTTGTTAAAATATGGCATTTATGGATTATTCCTGTACTGCTAAGTCCTCTGCTAATATATGGAGGACACATAGGCCCTATCTTATACATATAGTCTGTGTCATAGCACATATGAAAAAATGACCTACCTAGTGATATAAAGAAGCCACATTAAAAAATAAATTGCTTATATACTTCTTAGTGCCACGTTTTAGGCATTATAAGCTACTATCTTCATAATAGCTGGCAATATGAAAATTATAATTGCAGCTATTATTTATATGTGGGTAGATTTCTATTTTCCTATTCCTTTCACATTTTACCTCCAAAGACATTGATACCCATTTCTGGAGGAAAAGCCCCTTGGAGCTATTTAAAATACAGGTTCTCATTATCACATTGTAAGCTATGGAGTCTCAAAAATTGAAGAATTTATGATCAGGAATTGAAAGATAATCATTTGGTTTTTATCATCCCTTGAAAAGAACATCTTTGCAAAGAAATATCTTACCATGTAATATAGCTACCAGGCTGACTTATTAATAACAGCATTACTTATAATCAAGCTATTCATAGTTAAGAAGAAAAGGCCATTGTTGCAAAGTGGTATAAATGGATCCAGGGCTTTTACTGGCATCACATGGTTTTCTTTCTCTTCCATCTTCAGTGGCTGGGTTGATTGAGGTACTTGCTGAGTTAAAGAGAGCAGGACAAACACCATGTGTACTGTACCTTTTGTGATTGCAGACTGCCCTTAGACTGCCACCCTCTAACAGGCTGAGGTGATGGTCAAAGTGTATGGTAGACAAGAGTAAAGATGGTTCCTGCAAATTCCATTACCTAGACAACCACTGTGGAGACCAATTTAGCACTCTATGCTCAGCCTCAAGCTAGATACTCCCTATGGCCTAAAAATTACATTTTTTAGATAAATACCTCCCTGGAGAAACTCATACACATGCAGAAAGATGTGTACAAGGATGCTTAGTTGCTTACTTGTGGCTTTCTTACAGTGAAAAAGAGAAACAGTCTAAATAGCCATCAATTGAGGAATGGATACATTCAATATGGTATAGTCATAAGGTGAAATGTTAATGCAGGGGTTAAAAGAAATAGACTAGATCAATATGCCAACATGGAAAGCTGTCAACACTATGATGTTGACTGGGGAAAAAAGCAGGTTTCAAAATAATACACAATTCAGTACAGTTATACAAATGTTAACGATAAATTTTAAAAGTTTAGCATATTTTTATGGATTTACATATATATAAAGACATTTAAATTTGTAGAGGAATAATACACTCTAAATTCACAGTTGCCCTAGCTTTCTGGACAGGACAAAAAGAGAAAGGGACTTGGATGGGGAACAAAGGGGACCTCTACATTATCTGTAATATTTTTTTCTTTAAGGAAATAATGGCAAAATATTCATAATTTTCCATTCTTGGTGCTAGACAGTCTCTACCTTTTTTTGGTATTTTCTACTGGGAAATAGTTTGAAACCCATGTGTCCTTACAGTGGATCAATATAACCGTCCTCCTGTAGAAGAGCCAAATGTGTGTATGTGTATATGCATATGCATGTGTGTGCATAGTTATAGCTGTATATGTTTTAAAGAAACATTTATCCAAATACCTCAGGTAAACATTGAGATTTTGTGTCCCTAATATGCATATTGTCTGTCTATATTTTGCCCTAAATGGCATAAATGATTACAAGTCTATTTTGTATAACAACCATGGCTTCAGGTCTTATTTTCTTCTCTTTAAAATGAGATCAGGTGCAAATGCATAGTATGTTGTTAAGAATTAGCTGGGCGCAGTGGCTCATGCCTGTAATCCCAGCACTTTGGCAGGCTGAGGCAGGTGGATCACCTGAGGTCAGGAGTTCAAGACCAGCCTGGTCAACATGGTGAAACCCCATCTCTACTAAAAATACAAAAATTAGCTGGGCATGGTGGCGGGCACTTGTAGTCCCAGCTACTTGGGAGGCTGAGGCAGGAGAATCACTTGAACTTGGGAGATGGAGGTTGCAGTGAGCCGAGATGGCACCACTGCACACCCGCCTAGGTGACAGAGCAAGACTTCGTCTCAAAAAAAAAAAATTAATATCAAACTGTGTCCAACAACTTTGATTTGAATAGTAATTCATGCTGCTATAAAGACACATGCACACATATGACACATATGTTTATTGCGGCACTATTCACAATAGCAAAAACTTGGAACCAACCCAAATGTCCAACAATGATAGACTGGATTAAGAAAATGTAGCACATATAACCATGAAATACTATGCAGCCATAAAAAATGATGAGTTCATGTCCTTTGTAGGGACATGGATGAAATTGGAAATCATCATTCTCAGTAAACTATCGCAAGAACAAAAAACCAAACACCGCATATTCTCACTCATAGGTGGGAACTGAACAATGAGAACACATGGACACAGGGAGGGGAACATCACACTCTGGGGACTGTTGTGGGGTGGGGGAAGGGGGGAGGAATAGCTTTAGGAGATATACCTAATGCTAAATGACGAGTTAATGGGTGCAGCACACCAGCATGGCACATGTATACATATGTAACTAACCTGCACATTGTGCACGTGTACCCTAAAACTTAAAGTATAATAATAATAAAATAAAATTAAAAAAAAGAAAAAGAAATCAAGATACCAAAAAGCCAAGTGATGTCCCAAAGCTCATAAAGTTTATTACTGGCAGTAAGTGCAGGTATGAGTGTTTGTACCAGCTGTTTCGTTATCTTGAGTAATAGAGTGTCAGTTTACTGCGTTTTTATTGTACAAGTCAAAAGTCTTAACTAATTGGGCTAATTATATTTCTACATATACATGGAAATATCTGGCAGACTGCAATTATATAATTTTGAAGGATAGTCTGGAAGAGTGGATAAGAAAATAAATTTTCTCAGAAGCTTACTTCATAGCATACCTCTCCAAAGCCTTTCCAACTTGAAGAAGTAACAATTCCATTCTTATTTCTGAAATACTGAGCAATTCTTACCTTTTTTTCTGCTGAAAACATCTTTAAATAGTAGTCTATAGACAAACAGTAACTTGCTAACTTTTTCTTTTTCTCTTTTTCCTTTTTTTTTTTTTTTTTTTTTGAGACAGGGGTCTCACTCTGTCTCCCAGGCTGGAATGCAGTGATGCAATCTCAGCTCACTGCAGCCTCAACACCTTGGGCTCAGATGATACCCCCACCCCAGCCTCCCAAGTAGCACAGACTACAGGCATGTGCCACCATGCCCAGCTAAGTTTTGTATTTTTTGTAGAGACGAGGTTTTGTCATGTTGGCCAGGCTAGTCTTAAACTCCTAAGCTCAAGTGATCTGCCCACCTCAGCCTCCGAAAGTGCTGGGTTTATAGGCAATGAGCCATTGTGCCCAGCCACTGAGTTTTTCTTTCCTTTAAAAAGTTAACATATAGATTGAAGCTCTGACATTATTGAAAAGAAGAATAAACTTTCGGTTACATTTGTCCAGGTGTACTATACCTTTGGACCATCTCCTGCGCATTGTGGTTGCTGAGTACAGTGAGGAATCCTCAGTGATGCAGTGTTGGCCAGTGGTCCTTGGTTATAACCATTGGCCAAGCATTTCATTCCATTGAGGAGAATGAGAAGAGAGCAAGTTGGTCTAGGCTTGACTCCAGTCATCATCCTAAGCCCTGGTAGGATCGTTGAGTAGTGTAGTAGTTACCCTGTTTTCTTTTTTCCTTCTTTTTGCCAATTTGCCTATAAAAAGTGTATGTGTGTGTATATGTACATGTGTGCATTTGATCTAGATTCAAATCCCACACTTAGTCCTGTCTAACATTGGATAAGTCAGTAATTTTAGCTTTGTTAAGCCTCAGGTTCCTCATTGGTAAAACGGGGCAATAATTATACCTAACTTCATAGCATTGTCCTTAAGATTAAATGAGATAATGCTAGCAAGCACATAATAAGTCCTCAACTATGAACAGTAGGTAGTATTGTTACTAATTCATTCCTCCAACAAGTATTTATTAAACACACTGGGTGACAGGCACTGTGCTATAATCTAGGGATATATGGAATCTGTAATAAGAAAGATAAAGGTCAGTCCTCGTGGGACTCACATTCTACTGGGGCAGACAGTGAACAGTAAGTAGATGATTTTACTTCTGATAATGATGGGTGATTTAGGGCAAAAGTAAGACAGAGTGAAGGGTCCTAAGAGTGACTGAGGAGAAGCAATTGTTTCAGCTCGGTTAGGCTGGGAGACTTTCCCTGAGGAAGTGGCATTTGAGCAGAGTCCTGAATGGAAGCCCCCAGTGAAGATCTTGGGGACAGAGAAAACCACACATGTGAATGGCCAGGGAGAGGGTAATAAAAGGACACCAGTGCACTGGACAAGGATCCTGGGAAGCTTGAGCATCATACTAAGAATTGGAATGTTTTTCTAAGAGAAGCTGAGTTTTAGCAGGAGGTGATATAACTGATTTCTGCTTTTATGTTTTTTGAAGGCAATTGCTTGGGCAGAGGATTTCTTATTATTATTTATCTCACCCTACTTTACAAAGGTCCATTTTTCTTCATTCTCTGAGTTTTAGAGAAATTACAAGCTGTGCTGTTTTTTTGAGTCATCAGCTGATGATTCATGTACTATCTTTGCTGATTTAGTGATTTCTACCAATCCAGATGAAAGTTTTTTGTTTTTTTTTTCAGCAACTTCAAAAATATCAGAATAGGTAAATAATCTAGATGAAAAGTAAAAAACAAAAATAAGTTTAAAAATCTCCAATCGCTTGAACCTGGGAAGTGGACGTTGCAGTGAGCCGAGATTGCGCCACTGCACTCCAGCCTGAGAGACAGAGCCAGACTCCATCTCAAAAACAACAACAATAACACAACAACAACAACAATAACAAAACTCTAATCTTAACAAAAATTATAATTATGGGATAATATTTTAAAAATAGTAATTATACTACCATTTGATTGCTTATTACATATAAAAGTTACAAAAGCATCGTGCTAAATGCTTTTCCTATAAGCCCTATTTAATCTTTTTAACAGTCTTGTGAGTTAGGCATTGTTATGTCCATTTTAGAGATGAGAATTGTAGAGTGATTAAGTTTCCCATGATGACACAGCCAGTAAATAATGAACATAGGATTTAAACCCCAAAGTCATGTTCTCAGCTGCTACCTTATAGCTTCATAGGCACAGGGTTAGATTAGCAACTGTTTTGTTCCTTTATGCAACCCAGTCTCACCTCTTAGTCTTCCTCATTTCTGCTTTGAATGACTAATGCCTGGTATCACTTTTTCAATGGTTTCAACCACCCTCCTATGTCTCTTCCTGGTGAGATCTCCATCCCTGTAAAGTGCCCCCACGTCCCCAAATTATTCCTTTTATCCTGAGTGAAACTCTTATTCCTTCAGGGTTAGCTCCTCTTAGCAGTGTTAGGATGAGAGTAATGTGATTAAACTAACTTGTACTGAATATAAGTGGCAAAAACTAATGTTTCTAATGATGACCACGTATCATTTAGGAAGAATTAATTCACAATTAAATATTGTGCTCATTCAATATTTCTTTAAAGGAGACTTTATTAAATGATCAGTGATTGTTCTAGGGTTGCAGTGTTGAATATGACAGACATATTCCTGTGTCATGGAGCTCATGTTCTGTTGGAGGTGGAAGACAGTAAAACAGAAAAGAAAAATGTCAGATGCTACAGAAATGTTAGGTTTGGTGCCTATGACATTGGGAGTGGATATAAAATGAATAAAAGCCAGAGTTCTTCTGAGCAGGACCTTGCATAGCTGGAATGAAGGAGAGGAGTTATATTACAGATTAGGTACCAGATGAGTACTGGTGCCACTCACCAAGGAGAAGAACCCAGGAAGAGAGGTGTGGGCTCTGGGTAGGGGAAGAGGATCCTGGAGTTTGGAACTTGTGGAATTTCTATGAGATGGGGAGGATGCCCATTGGAAAGTTGCATTGATAAGCCCAGATTTAGAGAAAGGATGAAGTTGGAGATGTCTTTCAGAAACATTGGCATGTAGAGAACAGCTCCATCTTCCTCCTCTCTATTCCCCTTTCTTATTTTCACCTGGTCAATCCATTTTGGGAACTCTTCATCAAAGAAGGAACATGCCGTTATCAGTGTTACTTCTGGAAGCAGTGCCATAGAGCAGGACTGTTGGGAAGAGACAAATTCAGTGCTTCTAACGTGGGCATAAAAATTACATCCTAATGTCAGAACCTGAAGTGTTGGATGAAGATATCACTGATATTCTTTTAATGTTACTCACTGAAAACTCAAGGGCTTTTATCCTAGACCCTCCATTTTCCCTTTGGGCATTTCTGTGGGACTGGAGAAGCACAGAACGGAAGAGAATATGTTGCCCCAAATAGCCTAATGACTTAGGTGTCACTGTCTGTGCCTTGGGCTTATCTGGTAAGTGCAATGTAAACTGAGAAAGAAAACAAGACTTGACCAGCAAACAAATCAATTATTATCATACATGTCAGAGAGTGGCATTGTTCTATATTGCCTTACCTCAGAAATGCTACTGGTAACTGGAATATATTTCACAGAGAAGATTCTTGTATCTTTTATAGGGAAAATGTTTATGTTCAATTTCCTAATTAGACTAAATCAGTCCTTGTTTTAGTTTCCTGACCACCAGTAAAATTATTGTAGGCCTCGCAATTTATAGTTTTAACAAATATTTTTATTGTTACAGTAATCTTAGAAAACAGTTGTTTTATTACATCCATTTTACAATGGCTTAATGAGAGCCTGATACCCTCCATTGGTGGAAATATCAAATTAACTCCTTGTGGTCCTGGGATAGAGTACCTGAGAGCCTGCAGCCACGGTTCATGGAGCCCCTGGGGAGGTTTCCAATTGTGTTAGAGAGTGAAGGTATTAAAGATAGAGATAAGAAGCATTTTTCTATGGACTGAATGGTGTCCCCCACCTCCTTTATATATTCAAGTCCTGACCCCCAATGTGATGCTATTTAGAGATGGGATCTTTGGGAGGTAATGAAGTTTAGAGGTCATGAGAGTGGGGCCCTCATAATGGGGTTAGTGCCCTTACAAGAATACATGCTAGAGAGCTTGCTTGTGTACGACTCTTTTTCTCTTTCTTTACCCTTCCCTCTTCCCCTCTGCCGCCCTCCCTCTACCATATGAGGACACTGTAAGAAGGTGGTCATCTACAAGCCAGGAAGAGACCCCTCACCAGAACCCAGACATGCTGGTATCCTATTCTCAGATTTCCAGCTCCAGAACTATAAGAAATAAATGTCTATTGCTTAACCCACCAGTTTATGGCATATTGTCATGGCAGCCCGAGCAAATTAATAATGTGTCTAAATAGAGTAAGGAGAGCCTGAGGCAGGTATAGAGGGATGGGATCCCCAAAGATTCTAAGAGTCAGAAGACACTAGAATAGGGACCTATGGCCTAACATAGTGGGATGATGGTAGGAGTGAGTCCGGCAACGGCAAACTTGTATTTTTCTGTATGTATATGTGTTCCTGGTTTCTGTATGTATATGTATATGTATATGTATATGTATATGTATATGTATATGTATATGTATATGTATATGTATAATGTATATGTATATGTATATGTGTGTTGGTAAGCAGATCCACCATGCAAGCCTGGAAAGGAACAGATTTGCTTTTTGCCCAAAGTCCCTTCTGAGTGGTGGAGTTGGAGACTTTAGCCCAGGTTGTCTAGTTTATAATCCCATGCTCTTTTGTATACATTAGACACTAATATTGGTATCATCAAAATAGAGACTAGTATCATTGCTATTTTATTGCTATTTATTAAGTTACTATTAATTACTATGACTTTCATTATTACTATTAAGTTATTCATAGCTCTATTAATTAAATTTTATTAGAAATCTAACGTTTTAAGTATAGGTATAATATTACAACATCTTTGTGAAACAAGATTTTAAGGTTAAGTGATCACTACTTTTTGTGTGTATGAAAGAAAGCACCTTCTAAATTTCCCTGAAAGGTTTCTGATCCAGCTGGGGGAGGCTCTGCTGGCCATGGGAAGGGCACAGGATTTGACAGCAGAAGACCTGGTTGAGTCTTGCTTCTGCAGTTTGTTGATCTGCACGACCCTGGCAACTTGGTGAACCTTTCAGGGCCTTGGTTTCATCAGCTGTAAAAGAGGATTAATAACAACGCTTATCCTTCCTGTTTCAGAAGATTATGGGCAGAAATACATGAGATATGAAGTGGAAAAAAATGCTTAAAAATTGGAGAACATTATAGAATTGTTAGTATGGAGGGTGGGCACGGTGCAGGGGCATCGTGCGGAGGTCTCAGAGATTGCTGGAACTGATGCCCTTCCTTTTTTTTTTGTGATTCCTGTCACAAAAGAAAGGACATGAGTGGTTGGAAAAAACTATATCAGTTACAGTTCCTCATTTAAAAACAGAATAGAGCAAAATTTCTAGCCATAAAAGTTCAAGTTGACAGGTTTGAGGTAGGAAGGAGTCTACTGTAATTGTATTTACTCTGCTTTTTTTTTTTTTTTTTTTTTTTTGAGACTGAGTCTCATTCTGTCACCCAGGCTGAAGTGCAGCGGCATGATCTCGGCTCACTGCAACCTCTGCCTCCTGGGTTCAAGCAGTTCTCCTGTGTCAGCCTCTCTTGTAGCTGGGATTACAGGCATGCATCACCATGCCCAGCTAATTTTTATATTTTTAGTAGAGATGGGGTTTCACCATGTTGGTCAGGCTGGTCTCAAACTCCTGACCTCAGGTGATCTACCCGCCTCAGCCTCCCAAAGTGCTAGGATTACAGGTGTGAGCCACCATGCCTGGCCTGCTCTACTTTTTTCCTTACTTGAAAAATCCATGACTTAAATTTCACTTCAGACAGAGAAGGTGTTTAGCATGGTGAGTGGGAACTGCATTGACTTCAGTCTGAGTGCTAGTGAATGTTCAGGAATGACAGAGAGGGAGATGACCCTAAAGCCAGTGATGCCTCTGGCCTGGCTCAGACTCTTCGTTGTGAGATCTGTGGAGCCGCATCAGGAATTGAGGAATGGAAAAGATCGGGGCTCCTTTCAACCCGCTGGTGATATGAGCCCCACTCCGGGAACTCCCTGGCTGCTCTAGGAACCTGCAGGGCTGATGGCATGGCCTAAGCCCAAGAGGGAGACTCTGGACAGCTCTGTCCCTGCCATTCTCTCTGTGGCCTGTTCACACCCCTCTCCTTTCACAATCCTGTGTATGGTGCCCCATCCCTGACAAGGCAAGCATCCACTTCTGATTATTTAAAGTCTGCCTGCTTGATACAGCTCATGTCCAGCTGCAGGTAAGAGGTGGAAACCTTGGCTCACCCCTCGTCCTGCCTCAGCATCGATACCTGCAGTTTCTGTGGCTACCTCAGCAGAAATGATCTTTCAGCGCATTTCTTCTCATAACACAGAATTTTGCTTCTGGGTAAGCTTTTCTCCTTTGATCTAGGATATTGGACAACTGTTGAGTGGCATTTGCTTTTCTACTTTCCTCTTACCCCAGTCTTCCCAATGACTCGTCAAAGTTTAAAATGTCAACCGTCTTCTGATGCCAACATAAACGTTCATCCAGCTTCCTTAATCCGCGCGCACAGCTGAGTTCAGAAGTCCAGAAGTCTATCTACACTAACACTGCTAGTCCGTTTCTTATGGTCCAATCCAGAGGTATTTCCTCAAGCCCTTGTCTAGGTTTGATTTCATGTAGGGAGCTTGGAGTGTGGAAAATAGCACATTGCTATTACCTACTGAAAGAGCATGGTCTGGCAGGGGGATGGGGACCTTGACTTCCACTGGCCAACCGACTTTGTGGCCCCGGTCCACCCCTGTGGCCCTCTCCTTCCTTGTCTCTGTGAAAAGAGCGAGCTGGATGCTATGGCTCCTTTCAGTTCTGACTCTAATGATCTAACTTTCTTCTTTGGCTGGTTTTAGTATGTGAAAAAAACCACCTAGCAGACCCCACTTCTTCCTGTTGGCCCCCTACCCCCAGGACTCAGACTTTGCGTGTTTTTTGCTGACAAGTCAAAAATGTGCACAAAGCCATTCAAACAGACCATCTAGCCAGTGATAGGGGATGTGTTTTATGATAGCAGTTGCTGGGATCTACATAGAGAATTTTATTTCCTTGAAGCCAATTGACCTGAATGGAAGTTAGGACCCCAAATCTCAGACACTTCTGCATGTACTGGCTCAGGCAGAATTTGTAAAAGATGTGGCTGTTATTGCTGAAATATTTGCATTTAATTTAATGGTAGCTTACATATTTGCACAGTGTTTTGCAGTTTTTCTTTACATGCTTGTTTAATCTTTTCAAAACTCTAGTATAACCAAAGCAGTTATGACCACTCCTGAGAAAGTCCACCTCAACTATGCATGTGCCCTGGATGCCACCACCTTGGCCAGCGTGCAGCATATGCCCCGCCATGCTGCCCATTTTAAAACCAGATTAATTAGCACTGTTTGTAAAAGGTTTTCATTTGACCTCAACCACTGGAAAAGCAAATAGCAATTCATGAAATAAAGTAAATGAGTAAATATGGTCAGATTAGGTTGTACAAAATGCGAAGAGTCCTCCTCTAAGGATACAGCCTCACTCTGACTGTTGAGGCCCGAGGAAGCTGCCAGCGGTGTCACACACTCTGTTGCTGGTCTAGGGAGGAAATGGCTCTGGAAAAAAATACTGGCATTCTTTACTCAAGTTTGCTTGATGTTGGAGTTGTAAGTGACCTCGAAGGGCATTTTAATGGGCTGAATTGTGGCCCCTGAAGATTCATACGTTGAGGTCCTAACCCACAGTACCTCAGAGTGTGACCATATTTAAAGTTAGGGTCTTTAAGGATGTCATGAAATTAAAATCAGGTCATTAGGGTCAGCCCTCATCTGTTATGAGCAGTGTCCTCGTGAGAAGAGATTGGGGCCACAGATAGGCACAAGGGAAGATAGGCGATGACACAGGGAGAGGATGACTTGTCTGCAAGCCAACGAGAGGGGCCCTGGAGAAACCAACATTGCCAACACCTTGATTTTGGACTTTTGGCTCCCAGAACTGTGAGAAAATAAATTTCTGTTGTTGAAGCCACCCAGTCTGTGGTATTTGTTACAGCAGCCTTAGCAAACTAATACAGTCCTGTAGGCCTAGCTTCACCCCAGTTTTAGATTCCCTTCCCCCCGAGTGCTTGACAGATGGTTATTAGCCTTTGCTTGACCGTTTCTAGAGATATGGAACTTGCTGTCTCCAAAGGCAGTGGAGGTCACTTGAGACTCTTTCAGTGAAAGTGGCAAAAATCCTTACCCAGAGAAGCTTAAGTAAAATGGGGACTGTATTGTCCAATTGAGAAGTCCAGCAAATGACCAGAGGTGTAGCTTTAACCAGGTCTCAGATGACGCGATCAGAACCTGCATCTCTCCCTCTATTAGCTCTGTCTCCTTTTGGGCAGGCTTACTCATAAGGCCTGCGCCAGAGGTCCCAGGCAGCTCTAGGATCAAGTTCAGCTGAGAACAGAGAATCATGCTTAGTTTCTGCTTAGCAGAAGGTAAAACAAGAACATCTGTTGTACTGACTGCTCCCAAGTCTGACGTAGAGAGTGGGTCCATCCCCTCTTCAGTAGAAAAGCCCTTCCCATCCTTGAGTCTCACCTGCAGCTTTGCTTCTCCAACTCCCTAGGGGTTTCTCCCAGAACATCCTATCCAAGACTCCTTTTTTCCTCCCTCCATATTGTGGCTCCTTTCTCTTTTGTTTTCGTCAGTGATCTCTTAAGATGTGATGCCCTTAACTGTACCCATTCCTGCTGTGTCTCACCACAGTCAGGAACAGCAGGATTAGTATCTGCTTTTGATTTGGTCATGACATTGCTTCAACCTGAGTTTCGATGAACTTGTTCAGCTTCGTCAAATTTAGCTTAGGGTCAAGTAAAACTCTTGAGGCCTTTTTAAAATTAACGGCTATGCCAAATGTCAGTGATTCTTCTCAGGAAATTATAGTGTTTGTGTCATATGTATACCTTAAGCCATATCCTAGGAAATTTTTAAACAAAATTGTAGGGGGTGTGTGTGTGAATATGTTCAGTCATTTGACTAAACAGAAAAATATAACAACAAAACAGCATATTGTGTCTTCTAAGTGGTTGGGTTCCATTAATCAAGGTTCTCTTTTGTTTTAAACATCTCTAGTTTTCTACCTGGAGATACACACAACTTAAGAAAAAAACAGATAAACTAAAATAACAATGGAGAGATATAAACATGGTCACAGCACAGTGACCAGCACAGTGATCCTGCTGATGGTGACCATAGTTACACTCTTAGCTTATCAGTCATTTTAGAGGGAAGAATCTGAACACAACAAAATGATTTCCAGCTAGTAGAGACTCAGACCCAAATTACTTTTACCTTTTCTCTTTCTAGCAGAAACAATAGAAGGAAGTATTAGTAGCTGCAGAAAATATACACAGCTAAATATTATTTCTAATTCACTCTCTGACATACAATGTGATTCTTATGCTCTGTTCTACAAGGATGGGTCAGTGGCCAGTCATACCTGCTGGCTGATAGAAGCTTGGTGGCTCCCAGGATCTCCTTGGTGGTCCCTTCAGCTATGCTGTGGGACTACCACTGACTCTGAGCTTTGTGGCTTATATCCTAGCTCTTACTCTTCTGGTGAGATAGGCTTGTGGTGAGCAGAACCCTGTTATCTGCTCAGAGCATGTGCTGAAGTTCCATTGCACAGTGCGTCAGGATGCTCCAAATAAACAAACTGTAATCAGCTACTCATTGAGCTATTTATTGTTTGTCCACATAAATAAAAATATTTATTTTCAACCATAGCCTATTAATGTTAGTCAAAAATGTTGCAGAATATAGACATCTATTTTTTAAATATATTTCTAGGCCTCTTTTTTAAGTCCATTCATTCTTTCACATACCCATCACTTATTCCTATACCATAATCAGATATCTTAATCATACATACACTCGCGTATGCACACATGTATAATATGTGCATAGTGTATATCCCTAGCACTTAGCATAGAGTATGTTCAATAAGTATTTGTTAATTGATATTCTATTTGAAGTATTCATATTTTCTCTTCCGTTCCGGACTATTTACTGAGTGCCTGGTATGTGTCAAGCATTGGGGATAAAAATGAGCCAGCATAATATGAAAGTCCTCACCCTGCATGCAGAATGCAGTCAGGTTGTAGGTGCACTGTTACAACCAAGATAAGTGTTGTGAGGAGAGGCACGTGATGCTGCAATCACATATTAAAGGGAATGGACCAGGCATGAGATGGAGCTGGGTGAGAGCTGAAGAATATCAAGACACAGAGACAGGTGGGGATGGTGGCCGAGTGAGTCCATTTGTCATCCCTGCGAGTGGGAGGACTGAGAGCTAGGCAGTGTTGTGCCAGACAAGGTGACAAGGAAAGATGTTTTATAATAGAATCTTCTTCATATCAGCAATTTTGATGCAGATGTTCCTACTGTGTTACGTAGACTTTCTGATGATCCATGCAGCTCTTGAAGCAAACAAGCACTCTTGTTAAGTCTGACACAGAACACCATTTCTTTGTCCAGGAAGAAAATGATTATGGCAACACTATTTCCTATGTCTTTCTTAACTCTTTGGACAACTAGATGGTTTACCCACACCCAATCTCCCAAGAGTTTCAAAAGAAAGGAATAATTTAAATATGAACTTAGCTAGAATGTTGTATGGTTTTGAAGCCAAAATAGAAACCCAGACAGTGATCCCTTCAGGTTGAGAACCATGGGTCAGACATCACACATCATTTAATGGGTCTGTTTCTACTGCATGAAACACAGTGACTTGATGTCTGTTCATTCTTTGAGAAAGTAGACATGCACTTGGAAAAACATTCAAAAGGTATTTAGTAAAGTCTCTCTCCCACCCCTTGGGCAGTCCCCCAATTCCTCTCCTTAGAGACTATCCATTATATGAGGTTCTAGTGTTGTATCCTTTTAGAGATATTCTGTTCATATGTAAGTATGTAGCTGTATGTGTCACTTCCTTTTTCTGACATAAATATTACAATACTATACTTAATATTCTGCAATGTCTTTTACCTTGCTTTAAATGCCAAACAGTTCTGGAGGCTGGGAAGTGCAAGATCAAAGTGTTGGCAGGTTCGGTGACTGGTAAAGGCCTCGTTCTCTGCCTCCCAGATAGCACCTTGAATGCTGTGTTCTCTCATGGCAGAAGGCAGAAGGGCAAAAGGGGGAAACAGCTCCCTCACACCTCTTTTACCCACTCATGAGGGCTCCACTCTCATGACTTAATCACCTCCTTCATACTATCATCACATTGGTGAATTAGTTTCAACATATGAATTTTGGAGGGTATACAGACATTTAAACTGTAGTATCTACAATCTATGATTTCTACCAGTTTTAATTTTTTTTTTAGTGTGGAACATGAACCTTAATATACTTTCAGAACAATCTGAGAGCAGAAGTCTTTTAATTTAAAAATTTAAAGGTTGCCTTTCCCATGCCTAATTTGACAGTACTTTTTTCCCTACCACTTAAATCTTTATTATTATGTGATTATTAGGAAGTACATAACTCACTATACGAACTCAAAATCTACAGAAATATACTCCTTAGGCGATGAAGGGCCCTATCATCGCAGATTTCCAGGATAATCATTGTTCGTGATTTGCTGTCTGTCTCCTTCTTGGTTTGTTTTTGTATTAATATAATGTGAATATGGATATGAATTGATTCCATATTGAGTACACATACAGACATTTTATGGAGAAATGGGAACAGAATAACCATTGTTTTAAGAGATTTACCTCATGGTTCTCAACAGGAGCCATTTAAAAATGTGCACAGGACAAATTTTAGTGTTTCAGACACTGGCATTTAGCACCCAAGCGTCAGGGATTTTAAACATCCCACAGTGAATGGTGGATCCCACACAATAAAGAATTGCACCATCCAAAATGACAGTAGCTTGTTGAGAAATACTGTTTTCATGAGAGTAATGCTTCCTTTTGCCCTCATATTTTATCAGTTTACATAAGATTATATTAAATGATGTTATGGATTCATGGAGTGCCTGAGCAAGGCAGGCTCTTTTTGAGTACAAAGAGGAAGAAGACATGGCCGTTGTCTCCCAGGGTCTCAGTCTTCAGTGTGCAACAGACTGTGATGAGTCCTCTAATGGAAACAAAGAGTGTAGCAGAGGAACAGCGGGGGACAGGAGGACTAATTATACCTGGAGACATCTTGGGAGGCTTCTTGGAAGGGATGATTCCTTTCAACAGTGGGACTCTCAAAATCAGAGGTACCAGTGCCCCAAGTCATATCTTGGAAAAAGGGAGAGAGATACTGTCAGCCCTGCTACTTCTAGATAAGCACTTGGTCTGAACATGAGCTGTAGCAGCTCCTGCCTGTTGCTCAGGTCACTGATTCTGTGGCCTTGTCTCCTCTCCTCTCTGGCCACTCTTACCACCATTCTAGCACTAGAGGAGGGTACCATGATGTAACTCAGGCCACCTTCTTGGGATGGGAATCCCAAGGAATGCCAGCTGTGGTTCTTTCAAACCAGCCAGTCCTGGAGTGGGACACAGGATGCAGGAGATGCCATGGAGAGGACAAAAAAAGGGGAGAGAAGACAAGAGATTCCAGACAGTTACAGCAAAACCCTATTCTGCTAGTGAGGGACACAGAAATCCTGGCAAGATATCCACAGTAGCATATCATGGAAGATAGCTGGGAGGAGGGGGACAGTTATGAGAAAACAAATTTTCTAGACTAAGATTTAATTCTTTCAAGGCCTATCCTTTATATTTTAGTTATTTTCTAAAGAGTTTGGATATATATTTTCTTACTCTCTTAAACTGACAATAGAGAACATCATCTTATTCAGGTCAATAGTGTGAATCAGTGATTATGTAGAAATAAGCTTCATTCCTGGGGAGGAGGGCACATCAAGTGCTTGTGCTGAGCACAGGAGTCTCCACTCTAATCAGCAGCTGATGTCTGCCACTCTGCCTACTCTAGGAAGACATCTATAACAATTCTGAAAAAAAAATTTTTTTTAGGGACAAGTTTATATAGACCATAAAAGGATAATCTGGGGCCAGGTGGATGGCTCATGCCTATAATCCCAGCAACTTTGGGAGGCTGAGATAGGAGGATTGCTTGAGCCCAGGAGTTCATGACCAGCCTGGGCAACATAGTGAGACTTTGTGTCTACTAAAAATCAAAAGTTAGCTTGGCGTGATGGTGCACACCTGTAGTCCCAGCTACTTGGGGGGCTGAGGTGGGAGGATCACCTGGGCTCTGGTGGTCAAGGCTGCATTGAGCTGTGATGACGCTACTGCACTCCAGCCTGGGTAACAGAGCAAGACCCTGTCTCAAAAATAAATAAATAAATAAAATAAAAATAAAAAGCTGAGAATGATGGAGCCCAATCTAAGGG
Source organism: Homo sapiens (assembly GCF_000001405.40). Taxonomy (NCBI): domain Eukaryota; kingdom Metazoa; phylum Chordata; class Mammalia; order Primates; family Hominidae; genus Homo; species Homo sapiens. The sequence continues at coordinate 190,463,883 of NC_000002.12, forward strand.
CGCACCATATACTGTCTACCATACAGAAAACGTAATCCAGTTTATATATGAGGCAGACTGTAGACTGTGCTCCAGGGATCTGGTGTCAACAACCAGCTCTTTTCATTAGGAAATCTAGTAAAAACTCCAGCCAGGTATAGCTGAGGAAATTGCCCAAGTGGTCTGTGACCTGTCTGAAACATTGCTTTTTGAATCTTGGTTTGTTGCTGGTCTGTCTTCATCTCCCACCCTGGCCTCGAGCAACCTTGTATGCATTGGTGTGCGTGCATCTTTGCGTGAGGGCTTGCAACACAAACTGTAGACAAGTGTCAGTCTAACGGCAAATACTGAACTTCCAAGTGATAAAAAACAATCTTCATCTGGGGTCTTTCATTTGTATCCAGTGTATTATTATAATTATTTTGGGAAGTTTTGTTTCTCTGCCAGGGGCTTTGCAAAATGCTTGTTGCCATCAGTCATTAGGTGAATAGGGGTTCTCTGGTGGTGCTGCTCTTTTGCGTCTCAGATCTGGGCATTGTAGAATAACTCCACTTAGGTCTTTCTTTGCTGCTCACACCCTGTGTTGTTTCTGGAATAATATCCAGACTGTATCTGGACTGGAAAAGTTCACTTCTTTCTTCAAAAATCCTTAGACTGTAATCCTTCTTGTGTCTTTCAGTCACCCTGTCTGGCCACAGATGCTTGAGATTCTATGGTGAACCCTTGTTCGCTTTGTTTCCTCTGCCTGTGATGCTCTTTCTGCCCTCTTTGGCCAACCACTTCTAACTCAGGTGGCCTCAACCCCCAGGGTTGGCTAAGGGTCTCTCCTGTGTGGTCCCATTGCACTCTTTGGATATCTCTTAGTATATTATATTTAACTTATTTGTTTATGTGTTTGTCTTCCCAACTAGGCTGTAAGTCCCTTGAAGACCAAGTAGATTTCCTCTTCATTTTTACTCCCCTCACAGTATATGGTAGATAGTGGCATCTTAATAAATGTTTATTGAGCAAAATTTATGTTCACTGTGGTTTTTAGTGGCTTTTGGTGGGGGTGGGGGAGGGTGGATTTAGCCATATTATAGTTGGTTAAATTTAGAAAAGTAGGGTCTCACAACTAACTACACTGTTAGGAATTACAGAATGACTCATAATTCATTGTATCTATATCTTGAACACTCTTGAAAAAAATACCAGTTTTATTATAAGATAACCACAAATCAGCTTAAACTGCTAATACTGTGAATTGTGCTTATATAAGAAATTAGAATCTGTAACAATTTTTTTCTCCTACTCTTGTAGTTTGCTCAAATACAGGATAAAAAACGAGTGGCAGGTGATTTGGGTTTTCCACAGGGTAGTGTTTTCTGCTGCATCATTTGCTTCTTATCAATTGTGTTCCTCTTTATAGATAACTTCAGTTTACCAACCACCTGTTCTAAAATTGCCTTTGTTTCTTGTCTATTTTTATTACTACTGACTTCCTGTTCTGAAATAGGACAGTCATGCTGTTTTTGAGTTTTATCATTATAGGTGTTCAGTAGGTATCTATATCTCGTGGAGAGACTTTTTTTTTCAGTGTCTTGTATTTCCAGACATCAGTGCCCATAAGATTACTGATTATACATCAGTAATCTTATGTATAATCTTATGTAAAAAAATTCTAGGACCCTGAACATATGCTCATATTCAGCATAAAAAAGAATTTGATTGTCTAGAAAATGATCCAGTAAAATATGCTTTAAATTCCTTTATATTAGCAAATCCCTAACTGTATTAGAGTGAATGTGTTCATTTGCTTGGGTTACCACAAAGTACCACGGTCTGGGTGGCTTAAAAAACAGAAGTTTATGGCCGGGCGTGGTGGCTCACGCCTATAATCCCAGCACTTTGGGAGGCCGAGGCAGGTGGATCACTTTAGGTTTGGAGTTCAAGACCAGCCTGGCCAACATAGTGAAACCCCATCTCTACTAAAAATACAAAAATTAGCCGGGCCTGGTAGCATGCACCTGTAATCTCAGCTACTTGGGAGGCTGAGGCAGAAGAATCGCTTGAATCCGGGAGGCGGTGGTTACAGCAAACCAAGATCATGCCATTGCAAAAAACAAACAAAAAAACTCGGAAGTTTATTTCTTCACAGTTCTGGAGGCAAAAAGTCCGAGATCAATTGTCCGTAGGGTTGGTTACTTCCAAGGGCCTCTCTCTTTGGCTTAGGTTTTCTTCCAGAGTTTTTATTTCTTCCCTTGTGCCTGCTTGTGTCCTAATCTCTTGGAAAAACACCAGTTATATTGGATTAGGACCTATCCATATGACATCATTTTACCTAATTACCTCTTCTAAGGCTATATTTCCAAATACAATCACATTTTGAGGTACTGGGGGTCAGAACTTAAGACTTCAGCACATGAACTGGGGGAACACATGGTTCAGTCATAACAGTGCATACTATGGCAGTTTAAATATCCTATTCTGATACTGAAGTACTTTTCAGTGACTATTCAGTAAATATACGTGTACTTCTTTGCCTTTTCATAGATCCAAATGCTGTCTTTCTTTCTGCTCACAATTTTACCCTTGCTGATTTCTTGAAGCCACTGGCTTCCTCAAAATGGTTGGTGAGGAAGGAATGCGAATGCTCTTGTCTTTTGGAATTCTGGGATAAAAGTTTTGTCAGAAACCAAAGAGTATTTACTTGGATACTTTTCCTTAAGATGATGATGATGATGATGAATCATTTATTGAGTGCTTATTTTGGGCAAGTCATTGTGTCGTCATTTTCACAACAAACCTACAGAATACATGTTTTTATCCCCACTTGATATATGAGGAAACTGAGGCTCAGAGAGATGAAATAACCTTGACCTGGATACTTCTTATTTTGTGTTTTCTTTTTTAGGGTACCTGTTTGCTCCTAAAGGACTATCAATTGTGAAAGTAGAAATGTGGGAAAGAAGGGAAGGCTATATCAAATTCATAGCCACTCAGCTTGTTGATGGCAATCTGAGACCTAAGGGTCCCAGAAGTTGTGAACCGGTCACTCCAGTGACTGAATTCCATCTGGGAAGAGGTTTGAAGGCAAAGCACAATCTACCTCCTAAACTGGATCAATTGACACTGGGTTATTTTAAGCCAGGAGTTTTGGACTATGGCCTGGATTGAATTACAGTTGTCATGGCAACCCTGATTCAGAGGTGGGCTCAAAAGACAGCTTCAGGATAGACAATTTGTGAACACTAGGAAAGTGGATTACCAACATTGTTTTATGATGGGATTATATTACAGTATTACTGGGGACAGCTTGGAATGAGTTAGACCACTGGTTCTCCACCCTGGCTCAGTAAGAGAACAACCTGGGGAACTTTCAAAATGCCTGGGTTTCAACCATAGAGATCTTTATTGAGATAGGTGTGGGCCTCGGCATCTGTAGTTGTAAACAGTTACCATGGTAAATCTGATGTCCAGCCAAGGTTAAGAATTAAGGAGCTGGCTCATGCCTGTAATTCCAGCATTTTGGGAGGCCGAGGTGGGCGGACTACCTGAGGTCAGGAGTTTGAGACCAGCCTGGCCAACATGGCAAAACCTCGTCTCTACTAAAAATACAAAAATTAGCCAGGCATGGTGGCACATTCCTGTAATCCCAGCTAGTCAGGAGGCTGAGGCGGGAGAATTGCTTGAACCTGGGAGGCGGAGGTTTCAGTGAGCCGAGATCGTGCCACTGCTCTCTAGCCTCGGCAACAGAGCGAGACTCTGTCTCAAAAAAAGAAAAAGAATTAAGGAGCGAGGCCAGGTCAGTGGCAAGCTGTGGCTCACTGACCAAATCTGGCCTGCTGCCTGTTTTTATATGGCCCGTGAACTAAGAATAATAGTTTCTACATGTTTAAATGGTTGAAAAAAAACACAAGAAGAATAAGATTTTGTGACACATGAAAATTATTTTATGAAGTTTGCATTTCAGTGTTCATAATTCAGCTCTTGTTGGAACATGGCCATGCTCATTCATTTACATATTGCCTGTGGCTGCTTTCATGCTACAGCAGCAGAGCTGAGGAGCTGCAACAGAGACCATGTAGCTCGTGAAGCCTAAACTGTTTAATGTGTGGTCCTTTATAGAAAAGTGTTTGCTGACCCCTGAGTTAGGGTAAAGAGAGGCCACCCACAGGGCTGGCTTAGAATTTGTAAAAGGAGGCACAGGTTTGTTTAACTTGTGTGTTCATGTAGTATATTTTGCATTTTAATTTCCTGTGGCTTTTTTTTTCCCTAGCAGAGGGAAACTGATGAATCTGTAGCAAGTTTGTTCAATAAAAGTTTCATTAAGGCAGATTGAAACGTACTTTTCTCCTCCAAACACACAAGTACAAAGAACATAATGTCCATAGAACAAGATGACCCAGACTTTTTGTAATACTTCACTGAGAATCTGCTAAATCCCTCTAATATCTGTTGCCTATTTCATCCACACCCTTCAACTTTTTCTTTTTTGTCTTTTCTTCATCTTTCTTTTCCATATGTGAGATTAGTGATAGCTGGGTGTCTGAGAGCATTTCCCTTTGTTGATTCAGTGTTGGGAAAAAGGGAACAGTGTTTATAGGAATGAATTTTTTTTTTTTTTTTTGAGACAGGGTCTTGCTCTGTTTGCCAGGCTGGAGTGCAGTGGTGGGATTATGGCTCAGGGCAGCCTAGACCTCCCAGGCTCAAGCAGTCCTCCTACCTCAGCCTCCCAAGTAGCTGGGACTATAGGTGTGTGCCACCAAGCCTGGCTAATTTTTTTTTTTTTTTTTTTGGTAGAGACAGGTTCTCACTATGTTGCCCAGGCTGGTCTTGAACTCTTGGGCGCAAGTGATCCTCCTGCCTCAGCCTCCCAGGGTGCTCAGATTACAGGCATGAGTCAATACACTCAGTCAGGAATGATTTTAACATAAAAAGCAAGATTAGGAAAATACCACTGATTATCGTGTTGGTTTATTTCTTTTACCTTTTACTTTTCATCAAATTGGATTCAGAAAACAGAGCATTAAGGTTAGGAAAATTAACAGAAAATAGAAAACAAGGGAGAAAGATAAATCCCTACCATTAGGGTGTATTTTGTGCAGAGAAGTAGCCACTCTTTGCTTCCAAACCAGCCCATCCAGTTCAGAACGAGAGACTGAAACCTTATGCTTGGGTGCACCACTTCAGGCCTTTGCTTATTTTCTTTCTACTTATACTTTTGGCAGCGGTAATGGTGGGGGTGAGAGAATGCAAGAGGTTGGTGTATATTTATTAGTTTTGTAAACATATGATACCATGAATTTTTTAAAAGATGAACATGTATCCATTGAACTGATAGGAGAAACTATTTGATTTCCAAATAGTTTATAGTAGTTAGTGAATGATAGTTTTCAATGACCTTCAGAGTCTCCTTGTGAAACTGCTTGGTATCTTGGGTATTATGAGCAAGGCCACATTCGTGTTTACATATTCTCATTTTTATCCTTCCTTCCCCCATTGTAGTGAAGTGGTTACAATCCCAGGCATAGTTCTCCTACAGCCACCTGGAAGGAAGCCAGTAATGTCATTACTGATGGCAGTGCGCCCAGACTATCTTAAAAAAGCATCATCTCTGCTACAAATTAAGTTTCAGGAAGGGTGATGTTCACTTTTATATTAACAAGCATTTTGAAAAGGCTGAGGGCAGATATGTTAGAAGCCATCTTCTTATTCCTAAATTCATGCTTAAATGTAATTGTCCTTCAGTTTTCCCACTCCTGAGTTTGGAGTCTGCTGGATGATGGGTGGTTTGGGGAAGGAAAAGGTAGGTAATATTTGCATGTTTTGTACACATATTAGATTGTATATTAGGGACTCAGTTTATTTTCCTTTGCTTTTTTTTATTTTATTTTTATTTTTTATTTTTTTTTAGGGTTCTGTACATTGGCCTGGCCTGCAATACGGCTCGCTATATTTATATTTCCTACCTGGAGAATGCCTGGACTGTTCTCCCCATGGAAGTTCTTCAAGGTAAGTTAACAGCTGGGATTGAAATTATTTCTCTGCCTTCCCTGAGCTGTGGCTAAAAGCCCAGTGGCCTTCAGCATCTGATTCTATAAAGGAAGGGCAGGCCTACTGTTTCATGTGATTTTGAAGTGGTTGTTAAGGAAGAGATGACATCAGGAGGGATGGTTCCTTGGTTACCTGAGTGCTGCTTTGTGTTGAGCCAAACAAAGCTGGACTTGATCCACACCCTTGTGATTAAACAAAGGAAGAGGAACTCTAGAATAAACTCCTGTGCACAACTATTAGACATGGACATCCAAGGGTGGTTTTAAGATATAAAAATATTTATCTTTTAAAGTTTTTGGTGTTTTTAGTTTTGTAGGTTAACTATAGTTACTGAAAAAAAGATTGTTGTCATAATTATTTTATCTCTTCAGTTATTTTTATCACATCTGGTGACTTATAACTAAAGTTTTATAGCCACACCGTTGTTTTTCCATGAACTTTAAAAAATCTCTGCTCAAATGTCCTGCCCTGAGTTCTCTTTGCTTCAGTGTACTGTCTCCCATCAAGACACAACTGAAAAAGTTTCTAGAAGGCTCTTGTCATGTAGCTGAAGAGTGCTGAAAAAATGGATTACTATTCAAAGCTCATTGCCATGTTAGCTCATATAGTACTGACCACATCCTGAAAAGTCCTGATTGGCATCATGATTAAAATAAAGGTTCAGGACAAGATCGCTGGAGTTGAGTGACGGTCCAGGCTACTAAATCATTAATTGCACTAAACAGTCTGTGATTTGATTATATACGATTTCATTAGCTTTATAGATTGCCATTATCATTTTCCCTTACCCTAAGGAGACAAATGCGGTGTAATCAATGTGATTAATTGTCATGATGAAAGATTGAGAATTTCAGTCTTTTAAAATGAAAGATTCATAATTATACATCTAAACAGAATGTACAAAATGCCAGCTCATTCATCAAATTCATCATAGCAATGAAAAAAGAACTTATCCTAATTGAAAGGAGATATAATTTATATTCACATTATAATTATAAAATTCAAGTATATATATATATACTTTAAGATGCTTTTCTCAGATTTGATGCAATGGTGTAGCTAGTAAAAGGAGATTCTGTTTACAAATATATAGAAAATGGAAACTTGGTCTTTAATAATAAGAAATTATTGTTTCTAATAATTAGAACTCTGGAAGGGTCTTGAGGGGAGGCACACATCTCAGTTTTGTGTCATTTAAGAATAACAGGAGGGTGGAGCCAAGATGGCCGAATAGGAACAGCTCCAGTCTACAGGTCTCAGCGTAAGTGACACAGAAGACTACTGATTTCTGCATTTCCAACTGAGGTACCGGGTTCATCTCACTGGGGATTGTCAGGCAGTGGGTGCAGGATAGTGGGTGCAGCGCGGTGAGCGTGAGCTGAAGCAGGGCGAGGCATCACCTCACCCAGGAAGCACAAGGGGTCAGGGAATTCCCTTTCCTAGCCGAGGAAAGGGGTGAGAGATGGCACCTGGAAAATTGGGTCACTCCCACCCTAATACTGTGCTTTTCCAACAGTCTTAGCAAACGGCACACTAGGAGATTATATCCCGCACCTGGCTTGGAGGGTCCTACGCCCACGGAGCCTCCCTCATTGCTAGCACAGCAGTCTGAGATCAAACTGCAAGGCGGCAGTGAGGCTGGGGGAGGGGCACCCGCCATTGCTGAGGCTTGAGTAGGTAAACAAAGCAGCGGCTGGGAAGCTTGAACTGGGTGGAGCCCACCACAGCTCAAGGAGGCCTGCCTGCCTCAGTAAACTCCACCTCTGGGGGCAGAGCATAGCCAAACAAAAGGCAGCAGAAACCTCTGCAGACTTAAATGTCCCTGTCTGACAGCTTTGAAGACAGTAGTTCTCCCAGGACGCAGCTTGAGATCTGAGAACAGACAGACTGCCTCCTCAAGTGGGTCCCTGACCCGCAAGTAGCCTAACTGGGAGGCACCCCCCAGTAGGGGCAGACTGATAACTCATACGGCCGGGTACCCCTCTGAGACAAAACTTCCAGAGGAACGATCAGGCAGCAATATTTGCTGTTCACCAATATCCGCTGTTCTGCAGCTTTCACTGCTGATACCCAGGCAAACAGGGTCTGGAGTGGACCTCCAGCAAACTCCAACAGACCTGCAGCTGAGGCTCCTGACTGTTAGAAGGAAAACTAACAAACAGAAAGGATATCCACACCAAAACCCCATCTGTACGTCACCATCATCAAAGACCAAAGGTAGTTAAAACCACAAAGATGGGGAAAAAACAGAGCAGAAAAACTGAAAATTCTAAAAATCAGAGCACCTCTCCTCCTCCAAAGAAACGCAGCTCCTCACTAGCAATGGAACAAAGCTGGACAGAGAATGACTTTGATGAGTTGAGAGAAGGCTTCAGACGATCAAACTACTCCGAGCTAAAGGAAGAAGTTCAAACCCATGGCAAAGAAGTTAAAAACCTTGAAAAAAGATTAGATGAATGGCTAACTACAATAACCAATGCAGAGAAGTCCTTAAAGGACCTGATGGAGCTGAAAACCACGGCACGAGAAATAGGTGACAAATGCACAAGCCTTAGTAGCTGATTTGATCATCTGGAAGAAAGGGTATCAGTGATGGAAGATCAAATGAATGAAATGAAGTGAGAAAAGAAGTTTAGAGAAAAAAGAATAAAAAGAAACGAACAAAGCCTCCAAGAAATATGGGAGTATGTGAAAAGACCAAATCTACATCTGATTGGTGTACCTGAAAGTGACAGGGAGAATGGAACCAAGTTGGAAAACACTCTGCAGGATATTATCCAGGAGAACTTCCCCAATCTAGCAAGGCAGGCCAACATTCAAATTCAGGAAATATAGAGAAGCCACAAAGATACTCCTCGAGAAGAGCAACTCCAAGACACATAATTGTCAGATTCACCAAAGTTGAAATGAAGGAAAAAATGTTAAGGGCAGCCAGAGAGAAAGGTCGGGTTACCCACAAAGGGAAGCCCATCAGATTAACAGGTGATCTCTGGGCAGAAACTCTACAAGCCAGAAGAGAGTGGGGGCCAATATTCAACATTCTTAAAGGAAAGAATTTTCAACCCAGAATTTCATATCCAGCCAAACTAAGCTTTATAAGTGAAGGAGAAATAAAATACTTTACAGACAAGCAAATGCTGAGAGATTTTGTCACCACCAGACCTGCCCTAAAAGAGCTCCTGAAGGAAGCACTAAACATGGAAAGGAACAACCGGTACCAGCTACTGCAAAAACATGCCAAATTGTAAAGACCATCGAGGCTAGGAAGAAACTGCATCAACCAACAAGCAAAATCACCAGCTAACATCATAATGACAGGATCAAATTCACACATAACAATATTAACCTTAAATATAAATGGGCTAAATGCTCCAATTAAAAGACACAGACTGGCAAATTGGATAAAGAGTCAAAACCCATCAGTGTGCTGTATTCAGGAAACCCATCTCACGTGCAGAAACACACATAGGCTCAAAATAAAGGGATGGAGGAAGATCTACCAAGCAAATGGAAAACAAAAAAAGGCAGGGGTTGCAATCCTGGTCTCTGATAAAACAAACATCAGAAGAGACAAAGAAGGCCATTACATAATGGTAAAGGGATCAATTCAACAAGAAGAGCTAACTATCCTAAATATATATGCACCCAATACAGGAGCACCCAGATTCATAAAGCAAGTCCTTAGAGACCTACAAAGAGACTTAGACTCCCACACAATAATAATTGGAGACTTTAACACCCCACTGTCAACATTAGACAGATCAACGAGACAGAAAGTCAGTAAGGATATCCAGGAATTGAACTCAGCTTTCCTGAGTGGACCTAATAGACATCTACAGAACTCTCCACCCCAAATCAACAGAATATACATTCTTTTCAGCACCACACCTATTCCAAAATTGACCACATAGTTGGAAGTAAAGCACTCCTCAGCAAATGTAAAAGAACAGAAATTATAACAAACTGTCTCTCAGACCACAGTGCAATCAAACTAGAACTCAGGATTAAGAAACTCACTCAAAACTGCTCAAGTACATGGAAACTGAACAACCTACTCCTGAATGACTACTGGGTACATAAGGAAATGAAGGCAGAAATAAAGATGCTCTTTGAAACCAACGAGAACAAAGACACAATGTACCAGAATCTCTGGGACACAGTCAAAGCAGTGTGTAGAGGGAAATTTATAGCACTAAATGCCCACAAGAGAAAGCAGGAAAGATCCAAAATTGACGCCCTAACATCACAATTAAAAGAACTAGAGAAGCAAGAGCAAACACATTCAAAAGCTAGCAGAAGGCAAGAAATAACTAAGATCAGAGCAGAACTGAAGGAAATAGAGACACAAAAAACCCTTCAAAAAATCAATGAATCCAGGAGCTGGTTTTTTGAAAAGATCAACAAAATTGATAGACCGCTAGCAAGACTAATAAAGAAGAAAAGATTAAAGAATCAAATAGACGCAATAAAAAATGATAAAGGGGATATCACCACCGATCCCACAGAAATACAAACTACCATCAGAGAATACTATAAACACCTCTATGCAAATAAACTAGAAAATCTAGAAGAAATGGATAAATTCCTTGACACAAACAACCTCCCAAGACTAAACCAGGAAGAAGTTGAATCTCTGAATAGACCAATAAAAGGCTCTGAAATTGAGGCAATAATTAATAGCTTACCAACCAAAAAAAGTCCAGGACCAGATGGATTCACAGCTGAATTCGACCAGAGGTACAAGGAGGAGCTGGTACCATTCCTTCTGAAACTATTCCAATCAAGAGAAAAAGAGGGAATCCTCCCTAACTCATTTTATGAGGCCAGCATCATCCTGATACCAAAGCCTGGCACAGACACAACCAAAAAAGAGAATTTTAGACCAATATTCCTGATGAAGATAGATGCAAAAATCCTCAATAAAATACTGGCAAACCGAATCCAGCAGCACATCAAAAAGCTTATCCACCATGATCAAGTGGGCTTCATCCCTGGGATGCAAGGCTGGTTCAACATATGCAAATCAATAAATGTAATCCAGCATATAAACAGAACCAAAGACAAAAATCACATGATTATCTCAATAGATGCAGAAAAGCCTTTGCAAAATTCAACAACCCTTCATGCTAAAAACTCTCAATAAATTAGGTATTGATGGGACATATCTCAAAATAATAAGAGCTATCTATGACAAACCCACAGCCAATATCATACTGAATGGGCAAAAACTGGAAGCATTCCCTTTGAAAACTGACACAAGACAGGGATGCCCTCTCTCACCACTCCTATTCAACATAGTGTTGGAAGTTCTGGCCAGGGCAATCAGGCAGGAGAAGGAAATAAAGGGTATTCAATTAGGAAAAGAGGAAGTCAAATTATCCCTGTTTGCAGATGACATGATTGTATATCTAGAAAACCCCATCGTCTCAGCCCAAAATCTCCTTAAGCTGATAGGCAACTTCAGCAAAGTCTCAGGATACAAAATCAATGTGCAAAAATCACAAGCATTCTTATATACCAGTAACAGCCAAACACCCAAATCATGAGTGAACTCCCATTCACAATTGCTTCAAAGAGAATAAAATACCTAGGAATCCAACTTATAAGGGATATGAAGGACCTCTTCAAGGAGAACTACAAACCACTGCTCAATGAAATAAAAGAGGATACAAACAAATGGAAGAACATTCCATGCTCATGGATAGGAAGAATCAATATCGTGAAAATGGCCATACTGCCCAAGGTAATTTATAGATTCAATGCCATCCCCATGAAGCTACCAATGACTTTCTTCACAGAATTGGAAAAAACTACTTTAAAGTTCATACGGAACCAAAAAAGAGCCCGCATTGCCAAGTGAATCCTAAGCCAAAAGAACAAAGCTGGAGGCATCACACTACCTGACTTCAAACTATACTACAAGCCTACAGTAACCAAAACAGCATGGTACTGGTACCAAAACAGAGATATAGACCAATGGAACAGAACAGAGCCCTCAGAAATAATGCCACATATCTACAACTATCTGATCTTTGACAAACCTGACAAAAACAAGAAATAGGGAAAGGATTCCCTATTTAATAAATGGTGCTGAGAAAACTGGCTAGCCATATATAGAAAGCTGAAACTGGATCCCTTCCTTACACCTTATACAGAAATTAATTCAAGATGGATTAAAGACTTAAATGTTAGACCTAAAACCATAAAAACCCTAGAAGAAAACCTAGGCAATACCATTCAGGACATAGGCATGGGCAAGGACTTCATGTCTAAAACACCAAAAGCAATGGCAACAAAAGCCAAAATTGACAAATGGGATCTAATTAAAGAGCTTCTGCACAGCAAAAGAAACTACCATCAGAGTGAACAGGCAACCTACAGAATGGGAGAAAATTTTTGCAATCTACTCATCTGACAAAGGGCTAATATCCAGAATCTACAAAGAACTCAAACAAATTTATAAGAAAAAAACAACCCCATCAACAAGTGGGCAAAGGATATGAACAGACTCTTCTCAAAAGAAGACATTTATGCAGCCAACAGACACATGAAAAAATGCTCATCATCACTGGCCATCAGAGAAATGCAAATCAAAACCACAATGAGATACCATCTCATACCAATTAGAATGGCAATCATTAAAAAGTCAGGGAACAACAGGTGCTGGAGAGGATGTGGAGAAATAGGAACACTTTTACACTGTTGGTGGGACTGTAAACTAATTCAACCATTGTGGAAGTCAGTGTGGCGATTCCTCAGGGATCTAGAACTAGAAATACCATTTGATCCAGCAATCTCATTACTGGGTATATACCCAAAGGATTATAAATCATGCTGCTATAAAGACACATGCACACATATGTTTATTGCAGCACTATTCACAATAGCAAAGACTTGGAACCAACCCATATGTCCAACAGTGATAGACTGGATTAAGAAAATGTGGCACATATACACCATGGAGTACTATGCAGCCATAAAAAATGATGAGTTCATGTCCTTTGTAGGGACATGGATGAAGCTGGAAACCATCATTCTCAGCAAACTATTGTAAGGACAAAAAACCAAACACCGCATGTTCTCACTCATAGGTGGGAATTGAACAATGTGAACACATGGACACAGGAAGGGGAACATCACACACTGGGGACTCTTGTGGGGTGGGGGGAGGGGGGAGGGATAGCATTAGGAGATATACCTAATGTTAAATGACGAGTTAATGGGTGCAGCACACCAATATGGCACATGTATACATATGTAACAAACCTGCACGTTGTGCACATGTACCCTAAAACTTAAAGTATAATAATAATAATAACAATGCATTAAACAGGAACTGCAGGTAAGAATGATTCAATAACAAGGTAATATGCAACACAGTTCTTAGGATTTCCCACCTCTGGTTCCTGTTCTATCCTGACCTGGCTTAATTGCTTTATTTATTGGTATGCTACAGTGTGCAGACTCTATAAATAAAGATTTGTATACCTACAGAAAAGAAATGACTATATATTATAATAATACATGCATATAACTTTTTTATCCTTTTAGTTTAAAATGAGTTAGGTGGAAAAGGACGGTTTCCATAAGTGACCCAAGAAAAGAGAACATCCATGAAACGGTTAAAGAACAACAGAATAATTTTATAAGAGGAAAAAACAAATGCTGTGTGAATTTAAAAATGCATTTTCCTGTTAATTTATTAAAGATATATTAAATGGTGACTAAGAGCCAGGCAGCATGCTGGGTGCTGAGAATGTAATAAAATATATACATATATTAACTCAGGCCACAAGGTCTCACCAACTGTTCTGGAAGCCAGATGTGTAAACACATAATAACTATACAGCATGTTAGATGGAATCATAGAAAAATGTGCTAGGTAGCAGATAAGGAGCTTACCCTAAGGAGAATAATTAACTTTGTGAAGCAGGGAGTGGGAGGATGAAGACTGTATTGAAAAATTCCCTACAAAAATCACATAAGCTAGATTCTGAAGGGCGAATAGGAATCTACCAGGTGGTCTAAAGAGAGTAGGCATTCCAGCATGGGGGAAGAGCTGTGTGCGAAGGCACAGAAGAGAACAGAATGGCCTCTTCAGGGAGCATAAGTGGTGTGCCGGGGCTAGGGCTTGAAGCATTTATCATCTCAAGCTGCCAACCCAGGACATGTTTTTATAATACTTGTATGCACCTCAGGGATATTATCCCAGGATTTAGGGAGCTGGCCATGTTCTGAATCTAAACAGGAATTCTGCTTCCTAGGGCAGGCTACGATACATACTTCTGTGTTTCATTTTATTCTCCCTTATGCCAGTAGAAACCTAGCTACTGGTCTGAAGCCAGGGAAGAGGATCTGTAAATACAGCCTCCTAGTGCAACAGAGGGCTCTGTGGCCAGTTTCCACAGAGCTCTTTGTTTCTAATGCTGGAGGAGATGGTTTCATTCCCTGGCAGAAGTGAGTGCTGAGTATTTTGACTGCACAACAAAATCAAAATCCCTTGCCTTTGTTTGACCCATGCCCACCCCATGGAAAACAGTAGATTATTCATGTGGAATAAAATCCTGCATCACAGAAATACATTTCTGACTGAAGAGGTTTGTTTTGCTAGTTTGGATTCGTCTGCCTTTACAAGGCTCGTCCAAATGGCTTTAAAGTCCGTGTGCTTAAAGGAGACTCTATTTAGGATGCAGTAAGGCAGGACATGATTAAAACAAATCACTGAATGATTTCATTGGAGGACAAGCCCACTCTCACAATATATAGCCCTTAATTCCTTGACTGGAAATGTTACTTGTTGATTGCCAAAGACCTAGTCTGGGGAAGGGGAAGGCTGGGGAATGGGATGTTGTCTTTCATCATTGGGCATCTTGACTCTGAAAAATCAGCACTTCCGTTTTTTGGTTCCTAGCCAGAACCATACAAGAGGGTCTTCCTTAAAAAAAAAATAAGCAAAGTCTGTCTCTTTATCCTACCACCCTTGCTTTATCCCCAAAACACCACGAGAACTAGTACTGTCTAGTACTATCTAGAGGGTAGCTGAAAGGGAGGAGACAAAAGATGTGCCTCATTCTATAGCCCCCGCTACCCAGCCCTTCCTCTTTGGGGTTGCATGTAACTGCTGGTGGAGGATTCCTTGTTATCTTCAGTCTTGCAGTTTCTTGATTGTCCTCTCAGGCCATGTTCATAATAATTAGCAGATGGGTTTGTGAAGAAACAAATTTCCTCTTCCCCAGGCCTATAGGAAGGAGGCTATTCAAGCCTTTATTGGGGGATCAAGGTAAGACTACTGGATGCTGTTTGGAATTGTGAGGTTATTTCTTTCCCATGATCTTTCTCATGTTCAGTAAGTATTCTCTTGCAGCTATATCTTTTTAGCAATTCAGCTACCATTTGCAGCAAACATGTTATTCAGTAGGCAACTGGTAATACCATATAAAGAAGCAGAAAACATATTTCCTACCTATAAGAAATCTGCAGTGTATTTAAAAAAGAGACAGGGAGTCTACGTGCCTAAAAGCATTGCTGGATGGTGGTGGTGGTGAATAGTTTATATTTATTTCTCAAGACCTCATTTTAAAAACCCATAGGAATTTTCTCCTTTTGTTTTGTACAAAGAACAATTAAACATTCATGATTTTGATCAAGAATATAAATATTTGATTAAAATAAAGCCCAAACTTGTTATTCTCCTTCCTCTGTGGGTGTTGGTTGCAAATCCTTGCAAAACTCAGAGATGAGTGTTAGTGTTAGTTCTGAGCAAGAATCAGAATTATCCTTGCTATTAAAATGTATCTGATGAGAGTAAAACTCACCTAGGGGCTGCTATAACTAAAGAGGTACTTTTGAGTTACTTGAATTAATGACTCCAGCACTGAGGAGTGAAAACGAGGTCTGGGTCAGCTCTCTCTCTGTAGGATGCTCTATCAGTGGGAGCCGGGTTAAGATTTTGATGAAAGATGTTTTTTTTAATGTCATCAGTTAGGGGGACTTGAGCTGACATTTATAAAGCGTTATTCTGTTTGTCTTATTTAGCATGCTTATTCAGCCAAGTAAGAAACATGTTTTCAGCCTGGGCAACCTAGGGAGACCCTGTCTCTACAAAATATTTAAAAATCAGCTAGGCATGGTGGCATGCGCCTGTGGTCCCAGCTACTGGGGAGGCTCAGGTGGAAGGATTGCTTGACCCCAAAAGGTTGAAGCTGCAGTGACCTGTGATTGCAGCACTGCATTCCAGCCTGGGTGACACAGTGAGACCCTGTCTCAAAACAACAACAAACAAACAAAGCACATTTTCCTCCTCTTATGCTCTGCAAGAGCATGGGGAAGAAATACTAGTTTTATTGTCTAACTTAGTTTAAACCCTTGAACATAAAGGCCATGCTTATACTTTTTCAGTTCTCCAAAGAGATGTACATATAGGAAGATACACTATTAATGCTTGTTGTTTAATTCATTTTTCAGCCCCCTGTATCATGTACTATAGTTAGTAGTTTATAATTTTTATATCTTTTGAATGATATAAGAAATTCTATCTCAAAAACTTATTAAGTATCTGAAGAAAATTTGAAAATTAAATTTAAAGCTGAACCTTCATTATGAAAGCTCTTCCTAGGATGACATCTTGCCATCCATAACACATCTGTAAAATCACCCATGTATTTTAATTAGTACTTATACCCTCACCTCACTCTATAAGTTAGCTGAGGCAGATTACCAAAATATGCAATAATCCGGAAACCATAAAGTGCTAAGGCTTGAATTAGACTATCTGGGTTTGAATTCTAACTCCCCTACCTATAAGCTCTGTGTCTTTGGACAAAATGCTTAATCTCTCTAAGCCACAGACTCTTGAGTTATAGGAGAGGTTGACATGAGTATTAAATACACTAATCCATGCAAAGTATTTAGCACAGTACCTGACCCACAGTTAGCTTCTAATAAATGTTAGAAAACATACAATACAAAAAAGTAAAATAAATTATAAATAAATATAAATCAGGATCAGAGAAAATATAATTTAAAAGATCCTATTCTAAGGAGTTAAACTTCAATTATGCATTAAAGCCTGGCTATGAATTAAGCTGAAGCCTAATGACCAAAGCGTAAGGGAAATGTGGCTAGTCAGTGCACACTATTAATAAAGTTATCTTTGAGGAAGATAAGTGAAATCTTTATTGGCTGATAGAAAAGCAGTTCTCATGTGTGGCTTCAGGTGGGAAAACACTGGGCGTGTAGTATAATGTTGCCAAGTCTTAACATTAAACTCCCTGGGTTTTGGGTGGTAGTCTCCTAAAACCTGCTTAAAGGTATGCCAAAGGCATAATGCCAGCATGTAAAAATTCACGAGGGCCCCCTAGAACATTGTTACATCAGTTATAGACTTTTTTTAAGCAACTCATATATTTTTTTAAGTTTGCAAGCTAGAGCTTATAGAAGAGATCTACTATTTTATTTCCTCTGTCCACTTTTACTTATATATGGGATTTGGAAGTTTTCTCCAACCTTACCCAGGGTACCTTTTATCCATAAATGCTTTCTTCGTCATATCCCAACATGTAGACCACTGCCTACCCTGTTTCAGTTCAATGTCCTTTTGTTCAGCTGCTGTTACATGTCAGCCCTCTGCTGGGTGCTGGATATGTCTGTTCTCAAGGAGCTCAGTCTGCGTCCCCTTTAGATAAATCCTGCCCCCTTTCACCTGCCAGACTGTAAGCTCCTTGGTGGCTGGGGACATTATTTTGCATATTGTCATATTTTCAAAGCCTAGCAGGCTATCTGGCACATAATATAGATGCTGAGTAAATACTGTTGAATGCATGAAGGGGATTCTTGCAGTCCTATACATCAATAGGTGTGGGAATGTTGGCTTTTAACACAAATTGTTGCATGTCTTATATAAACTTTCTTTCGTGCAGCACACAGAAGATCCATGCTGCTGCTGCTGCTAAGTCCATTGCTCTTTGTAGGATCCTCCGCCATTTGTGGAAGGTGTATTGCTGTTAGTAGCCCCAACTCTGACAGAGAGACTGGCTTGCTACTCACCATCTCTGTTTCCTTTTCTTCGTGGACATGCAGCTAGATTCTATTTCCCAGCCTCCCTTGCAGTTAGGTATGACCATGTGGTTAATTCTGGCCAGCGGAATAAAAGCAGAAATGATAGGAGGAAAGGATAGCACGTGGGAAATTGTATGGGTCAGGTGCAGAGGTGTGTCACTCCCTTCTCTGTCAGCTGGATATTGATACCTAGGGTAACCAGGCATTGCAGATGGCAGATTCTCTGTAACCTGGATCCCTGAATGACTATGGAGCAGAGCTGCTACTACTCCTGTCTCCTGTTCATTGGACTTTGTGTGAGCAAGAAAAGAAAACATTTAATGTGTGAAACCACTAAGATTTCCAATATAGACTTTTTCTTTTATTGCCTGCCCAATGGAGGCCTTTCCTTAGGAAGAATAGTCTCTTACTGATTTTCACCAAGTTGACCTTTCGGAAGCTTTCCTTTTTTTTTTTTTTTAATCCCAGAACTAATTGAAATGTATGCTTTGGTCTATTCATGGGAAAGGTTTGTCACAGCTGATTCTGTGTGCCAATGCTAAAGGGATAGTTATGTTTTGTTCAGTAAGCTTAAGTCAGTGGCAGAAGGAAGAAAAACAAAACAATCCTAGTTCCCTAGTACTGTGTCAGTTCTCACTCCTCCCAGCCATTATAATGTGATTTCCCCAAGCCAAGCAACAGTTTACAAAGAGCAGCTGTCTCCTTAAGAAGAAAGGACTTTTTTTCCTGCTCATACATGCCATTTATTTCAGTAGAGCATTCTTGTGGGCCAAGACTGAACAATTTTGAAATGCATGTTGTACAATCAGATACCAGTGTTGAGTGTTATAAGGTATTTGGGGCATTTAAAAAACAATATAGATGACATGTCAGCTCTTCAGAAAGGGTGGAGAAGAGTTATTAAGACTATCATCTTTTTTTTTTTTTTTTTTTTTTTTTTTTTTTTTTTAGACGGAGTCTCACTCTGTCGCCCAGGCCGGACTGCGGACTGCAGTGGCGCAATCTCGGCTCACTGCAAGCTCTGCTTCCCGGGTTCACGCCATTCTCCTGCCTCAGCCTCCCGAGTAGCTGGGACTACAGGCGCCTGCCACCGCGCCCGGCTAATTTTTTTGTATTTTTAGTAGAGACGGGGTTTCACCTTGTTAGCCAGGATGGTCTCGATCTCCTGACCTCGTGATCCACCCGCCTCGGCCTCCCAAAGTGCTGGGATTACAGGCGTGAGCCACCGCGCCCGGCCGACTATCATCTTTTAAACTGGTAGCTTGTGGGGTATGTTTGATATTAACAACAAAATCTCTCAAAGTAGATAGTTACATTTACTATAGAATACTTCTAACAATTGTTATGAGAACATATAGTGTAATATTTAAGCACCTAAGCTCTGAACTTGGACACCTTGGGTTCAAATCCTATTCAACAACTCTCTTCTCTGTGTGACTCTGGACAAGGCATCTAATATCTCTGTGCCTTGGTTTCCTTTTTGGAAAATGAAGAAAAAATAGTACTGTACCTATTGGAGGAATAGATTCAATAATCTGTGTAAAACACTTAGCACAATTCCTTGTAGAGTAAGCTGATGTGATAATATTAATGAAAACAGGGTTGGGCGCAGTGGCTCACGCCCGTAATCCCAGCACTTTGAGAGGCCGAGGCAGGCAGATCACGAGGTCAAGAGATCAAGACCATCCTGGCCAACATGGTGAAACCCTGTCTCTACTAAGGGTACGAAAATTAGCTGGGCGTGGTGGCACACACCTGTAGTCCCAGCTACTCGGAAGGCTGAGGCAGGAGAATTGCTTGAACCCAGGAGGCAGAGGATGCGGTGAGCCGAGATCACGCCATTGCACTCCAGCCTGGGCAACAAGAGTGAAACTCATTTTCAAAAAAAAAAAAAAAAAAAAAGTTAACGAAAACAATTAATGTTACTCATAATTATTTTTAATGATTCTAGGTTATTCAAATGTAATGGATCCCAAGTAAAGTCTTGGCAGTAGGTAGTGTGGATATATCTCTTGATTTTTACTGTGCCTCAAAGCCAATCCTGGGGGATCCCAGTAAAGGTAAGGAAGGACTGAGAAACTAAGTTTATGTGGACTACTTGGTCTCTGAGAGTCATTCATTCTCAATCAATATATTTAAGCACCTGTTATGTGAGTTGGTATTGAATTGTCACTGAAGGCTCAGTGGTTTTATGACAAGCAGCCATGGAAGAGTTAACACATTGCAAGGAGAGTCAGTTCCTGTGCCCTTGTTACTGTTGTCAGTCAGGGAGTAATAGCTTGTATTTTGACTGTTTGATCTACCAACTTTGTTATCTCATACTTAAAAAGGTTTAAAAATTTGTAATTCTAGTGTAAACACATTTACCCATGCCACTGAGTAAATGTGCTTATTTCATCACATAAAGAATAATCATCTACTGCTTTTTCACAGTTCTCTAATAACTAAGAAAGTAGAAGCATTTTCTTTTTCTAGTTTATAATATCTTTTGTCCCCTCTACTTTACAGGAATGTCGTTTTCGGTAGCACAATTCCTAAGACTTCCTAAATCTTGTCTTACAAATATGGGAAATGGCGGAGGGTTTTCAAGTTTCTAGGTTGCTTTTTTTGTTATTTTAAAACGAGAGAATCAGAACACAAATGTAGTAAAAACATTGGCAAGAGCTTCAGATTATTAAGATTACTAGAAAGTTGCATGTTCCAGTTTATGAACGAGAACTGCAGCTCCACCACTGTCTTTTGTATACACAGATGATGTTCTAATTTAATCCCTTCTTACGGATTGCTACATTTTGCTGGTTTCCTATCTAAGAAATGAGATGAATTTAATTGCTTCTTCACTTATACGATATCTTAAAATAAGTTATTTTAGGGAAATCAATTTTAATCCTGTATCTGCCCTGGAAAACATCAGAGCATACAAGCAGAGTGGCTTTCATTCTTCTGCTTTTAGTATCAGAAATTTTGTTTTTGTGCTTTACTATTTTTTCCTTCACTTAATTCCCTGAGTTAATTTAAAGAATGTAATTCCCAATTATCTAATCAGTCTCAAAAGCAATATAGAAACTAGAAGTCTAACTGTGGAGAATCTTTTACAACTACCACTTAATACTAGTCAGTAAATTCTAAGAATAGTTTAAAAGCATCCTGACTTAAGTCATCCCACTGGAAAATGCTTTAATTATCTTAGAACACTCAAAGTTTTAGAAAATGATTAGAATTTCTGAGAGGGGGAAAATAGATACAAACCCTGTGGTTGGAAGAGTTTGTGTGTGTCCAAGCCTTCACACTTAAAAGAATAACTGCTAGAATTGTTTTTTATCTAGAATTATAATAAATATATTTTAATGTTTTGGTTGCTTGTAAATCCTGCAATTGATTGCTTAGACATACACATAACAAGAGGTTTGGCGTCAGCATTAAAGTTAACCTACTACCATTTGATGTGTTTTCAGGTTTTCGGTAATTCATCTTTAAGAAATGATTTCCAAATCTGTGTTGGATTTTGCTATTGAATCTAATTAATTTTGAATAAATTAATTTATTTCTTGGAATATTTTTGAGTTTTTCCCCCAGTGTGGTTAATGAAAAAAAATCTGCATATGTGAAAAGAAATGGACTTAGCATCATCTTTAATAATAGAAATGAAAATACTTACAATTATTCCCATTAGGTACTATGGTGTCAACACTCATAATTAAGACTATCCAGGCATTATTCAATTCTGAGAAAGCTGGCATTATCTAGGGTATTGCAATTGTTTTGCCAGATAAAGCAAACACGTTATTTGACTTCTTAGGAAATTAACTGTGTATGCTACTGCTAATCATCTAGTCCATCTTACTAGTTAAAAAAAAAAAAAACCTAGTTAAAATGATGACTGAAACATATATAAAACCTAAGAAAGTTATTTTAATGTTTCTTAGTCAACTGTGAGGCATACAATCTAATGTACCCAGTAAAAACAGTGTTTATTCCATTATGGACTGACTTAAGTAATATCATCCCTGATAATTTTTTTATTATGCCAGATATTGTGAATGGTACCTGGTTGGGTGCTGGCTATTTCTGTCTTCCTATAAATATTCTTGAGCTTTGTTCTGGGTCACAGCTAAGTTACTTGGAAATAGTGTGATCCTTTGGGTCTTGCTTTTAAGATTATGTAGATGAGACCAGAGCAGTGTTTAGCCTACGGCTAATTATTTCATAATACTAACAAAAGACCTTGTTGAGTACTCTACCAATCCTAGGAATCATGAGTTGTTCCAGTTTGGCTGGTGGGAAGAAGTGTTCCCCGCCTTGTGTGGGTTCTGGGTATTGTTCTCTGAAATGGTTTTGGGTAGTTCATTCCCTCACTCTGAATAGTGTCTGCACATGTTTTGCTGATCAGTACTCTGCTGAATACGTTAGGGGAGCCCTCTATAGATCTCTGGAGTTTTCTCCCTATGATGCTATCTCCTCTCTGGCATTCTGCCCTGGAACTCTAGCCACCTTGGCTCCCTAGACTCTTGGCTAGAGTCTTCAACTTGGCAGTTCTCTTTTTTTGCCCTGCAGATTTCAGACTCTCATCAGTCAGTAAACTAAAGCTTTTCATTTGCTTCCCATCTCTCAGGGATCACTGTCCTTGTTGCTGATGTCCCTCAGGAACCACTGTCTCATATGTTTTGTCCGGTTTTTTAGTTACTTGAGGAAGGAGAATAAATTTAGTCCCTGTTATTCCATTCTGGCAGAGGCAGACTACTGTCAGATCAAATTTTAAAAGAATTTTGATCTTTTAGTTTAATTTTCCAAAATACGAGTTAAGAGTCTCTGATGATATTATCTCCAAATGAGACTATTTCTCAGGGGATGGAACCAGATGATTTCTTAATCTCGTCTAGCTATAAAACCTGTTGTGACAATATCTGGTTTTTACATTTAAAGCAGTGTCTTAATGAAGGTTTTAATTCAGACAATGCAGTTACTACATAATAAGATAATGACCATTTTTCCACCTGTTATCTCTGTCTTCCTCTCATTCCCATAAATGGTGAAGATATAAAACTGGTAATGGGACATGGTAAATTGTTTCTGCACTCATTTTTTTAACTGAACTATATATTAAGAAGCATGGCTGGGTGCAGTGGCTCACTAATCCCAGCACTTTGAGAGGCTGAGGCAGGTGGATCACGAGGTCAAGAGATCAAGACCATCCTGGCCAACGTGGTGAAACCCTGTCTCTACTAAAAATACAAAAATTAGCTGGGGGTGGTGGCGGGCACTTGTAGTCCCAGCTACTTGGGAGGCTGAAGCAGGAGGATCGCTTGAACCCAGGAAGCAGAGGTTGCAGTGAGCTGAGGTCGTGCCACTGCACTCCAGCCTGGTGACAGAGCAATACTCCATCTCAAACAAAACAAAACAAAACATAAAAATTGTTATATCCTTTGAATCATTAACCCCACTTGTGGAATTATAGCCAATGTAAATAATCTAAGGTATGTAAAAAGCAATGTTAACCATGATGCTAATTATAATGGGGAAAAGTAGAAATAATCTTAATGTCAAAGTAGGTGCCCTAGAATGGATGAATGTCCAGAATATATAAAGAGCTCCTACAACTCAATAACAAAAACCAACCCAATTAAAAAATGGGCAAAGGAATTGAATAAACATTTCTTCAAAGAAGATATAGATGGCCAATAAACACCTAAAAGGTGCTCGACATCACTAGCTATTAGGGGAAAGCAAATCAACAACATGAGAAACTGCTTCACATTCATTATGATTGCTATTTTAAAAAGATATATATAAGTTCTGGCAAGGAGGTGGAGAAATTGGATCTCTCATACAGTTCAGGTGGGAATGTAAAATGGTACAGCTACTTTGGAAAAAAGGTAGTTCCTCAAAGTGTTAAACATATAGTGACCATATCATCCAACAATTGCATTTCTAGTTACCTAGTCAAAATAATTTTTTTTTCTTTTTTGAGACAGAATCTTGCTCTGTTGCCAGGCTGGGGAGTGCAGTGGCGTGATCTTGGCTCACTGCAACCTCTGCCTCCTGGGTTCAAACGATTCCACTGCCTCAGCCTCCCGAGTAGCTGGGACTATAGGCGTGCACCACCACGCCAGGCTAATTTTTTGTATTTTAGTAGAGACAGGGTTTCACCATGTTGGCCAGGATGGTCTCAATCTCCTGACCTCGTGATCCACCCGCCTCGGCCTCCCAAAGTGCTGGGATTACAGGCGTGAGCCACTGCGCCCAGCCACTCAAAAGAATTTAAATCAAAGACTCAGATACTTGCATACCAGGTTGATAGCAGCATTAATCAAAGTAGCAGAAGGAAACAACAAATGTCTATTCACAGATGAAAAGATGAACAAAATGAATGGGAGTCACATTCAAGAGACAGGAAGTAGAATGGTGGTTGTCAGGGGATGGGACAAGGGGTGAGTGTAAGTTATGGTTTAAGGGGTACAGAATTTTTGTTGTGGTGGTGAAAAAGTTCTGGAGATGGATGGTGGTGACAGCTGCACAACACTGTGAGTGTACTCAGTGCCACTGAACCGTACATTTAAAAATGTGAAAATGGTAAATTTTTAATGTATGTTTTCCCACAACAAATCTTAAAAATAGGTGCCTAGTTAAATAATTCACATTTCAAAACAGAGTAGCCTAAGAAATGCTAACCAACTAATCCCTCCTGCTCTTCTTCCTCTCCAGGAGTGACACACGCGGCCATCTGGGCAGCATGCATTTCTTACCTCAGTGCAGCCGTTCCCCCTGAGCTGAGGACATCTGCTCAGGGCATCCTGCAGGGCCTTCACCTGGGTTTGGGAAGAGGATGTGGTGCCATGATCGGAGGCGTGTTAGTCAATTATTTTGGTAAGAATGGCTTTCTCCTTTTTTTTCTTTTCTATTATTAAAACATGATTTTTTCCAGCAATACCTCAATAAACAATCCAATTATTACTGAAGATTGCCCAAAGCTAAATTCCAGTATTCATAATCTCTTTCTAGATTTCATGGTAGTCATAATTGTAAAGCAGTGTGCTTACGTTGTTAAGCTGATCTGAGCCAGCCTGTAACTGTGCACACTCCTCTGACAATCAGCTTAATGAGATGCTACAGAGATCCCTCAAAGGAGCCAAACAAATGAATTAGCATGAGTGCTTTTGGTCTAAAATAAGGTACCTTAAACCTGCTGATAATAACCCTAAAGGAAATAAAATTCATCATTGTTATTCCATTAGGAGATTTTGAACCAGAAGAATCTAACCATATGCTGGCTTTGGTAATGCTACTACATTTATGGTAACAATATCTGTCTGTCTTGTCATATCTTCCTTATTAGAAACATAGGAGCTGAAATAGGAATGAGATTATTCTGCTCCAGGAATCTTAACTACTCAGTCATCTATTAATATATAAGGTGGGCCCCAGGAAATGCGTGCATTTATAGCACTATTTGAGCACTGCTGTTCCAACTACAGATTAATAGTGCTGTTAGTTAATAATTGGGTAAATGGTCTTTTCATATGAAGAGGAGAGCACCATTGAATTGTATGAGTCATGGTGAAAGGCACTGAGAGATAATCCTATATAAATGCAGTTTTATAATCGATCAATGACAGATCCAATATCAGCCCTGGGTCTCTTGACACGTACCCAGCCCTGTGTTTTTCCATTATGTGGAGCTAATACCCAACTACTTTTCTCTGGTTTGTCTCAAGCTGTGCTTCCTTTGCTTTGATCTTTAGAAAACTGATGGTTTTAGATGAGCGCTATCTGCATTTCTTGGAATTACTCTATAGAGTGCTGTTTGTTTTTATAGGGGCTGCTGCAACCTTCCGAGGAATTGGCATGGCCTGCTTGGTGATCCTACTGCTCTTTGCCCTGATCCAGTGGCTGGCAGTGCCAGATGAGGAAGAAGGTAATTATTTCCATTCTTTCTTAATATTCCTAACAGTTCAGGCCATGGGAAGTCAACAAATGCCCCGAGAAGCCTAGAAGTGGTACAGAGTATACAACAGGTCTGTTTGGCTCAATTTTCTGAGTGGCGTATCGATGAATTCATGTGGACTATTGTTAAAGAGATCCACCTACTATGCAGAAAAAATATTGTTTTAAGTAGCTTGGGGTTTTCTTGTTTTTTGTTTGTTTGTTTTCTTTTATAATACAAGGTACTAGGGAAGTATTAGTTTTCAATTTCTCTGGTATTCTAAAGGTTTTTCAAATTTAAGTCAAATACATATAAGGCTATACAGTCATTTTGCTACTAGGGATAGGGAGTGAGTGGTAATCTTCTCTATGACTTACCTTCATTTGTTAAAAAAAAAAAAAACAATGGCCGGGTGCAGTGGCTCACGCCTGTAATCCCAACACTTTGGGAGGCCGAGGCGGGTGGATCACGAGGTTAGGAGATCAAGACCATCTTGGCTAACACGGTGAAACCCCATCTCTACTAAAAATATAAAAAATTAGCCGGGCACGGTGGTGGGCGCCTGTAATCCCAGCTACTCAGGAGGCTGAGGCAGGAGAATGGCGTGAACCCAGGAGGTGGAGCTTGCAGTGAGCCGAGATAGCACCACTGCAGTCCAGCCTGGGGGAACGAGCAAGACTCCCTCTCAAAAAAAAAACAAAAAACAAAGACAAAAATGTCAAGACCTGAAATCTGAAGTTTTCTCTGAACCAGGGATGCCTTTATTAAGATTGTTCTACCAAAAGGAGGTTATATCAAATATTAATATGTAGATGAGAATGAGCTGACTCAACTTTTTATGAAAAAGGTCAACCAGGAGGATGAAAATATTTTTGCTCAGTTTTTTGGTCCCAGAACAGAGCTCATCTTCTTTGGGTGTCCTATCCTTTGCGGAGCATTAGCCTCAGGCCCCTGAAATGCTTCTGTGAAGAGAAAAACTTGCTTGTTACAGAAGCCTCAGAGACAGATTTTAATCTCAATGAGTTACTCAGAAAGAGCAATACTGTTTTTTCTTACTTTTGTTCTTTTATAATCCTAAATGGATTCTCTCTCTTACACAGCCTCAGTCCATGCCTCATGTAAAAGACCAATAAAAATAACTATCATGGCTCTCCCAAAGTTATAAGATGTAGTTAAAGTTGTATTTTGAGAAAAATGTATGGACTTGAATATCTTTGCTATTAATCACAAAAAAATTTAAAATCATTAATTAAACATTCAATGTAAGAAACATAAAAATAAGCAATCAAATTTTAACTCATCTTTGATTAGTGAGAATATGGTACTGGGTTAGTTTTTAAAATACTTGTGTTCTGGAGAGACTGTTATTGGGAAAATGGCAAGATAGGAGGCAGGATTAGGTTGCAGCTCACACTCAGGTGGACCGAGTAGCATGTGGAGACTTGCATCATGCTTTTGCTCCAGAACTACTGCAGGAATATACCAGGAAAGCTGAGAGAATACACAGACCCTCTGAAGGAAGCATATTGCTCCTGGAGGACCTGAGAGACAGGCCAAATATTGGGCTGGTATCCAGCTGAGAGACCTAAAGATGGTTCACATCACAGGACTCTATGCAGACAACCCCAGTACCAGCCTGGAGCCTGGTAGCCCTGCTGGGTGGGCTAGATCCAGAAGAGAAATGACAATCACTACAGCCTGGCTGTCAGGAAGCCACATCCCTCAGAAAACAGGGAGAGTACTACATCAAGGGAACACCCTGTGGGACAAAAGAATTGAACAGCAGCCTTGAGTGCCAGCCCTTCCCTCTGCCATAGCCTACCCAAATGAGAAGGAACCAGAACAACAATTCTAGTAATATGACAAAACAAGGTTCTTTAACCTGCCCCAACAAAATCACACTAGCACCAGCAATAGATCCAAACCAAGAAGAAATCTCTGACTTCCCTGAAAAAGAATTCAGAAGGTCCATTATTAAGTTAATCAAGGAGGCACTAGAGAAAGGTGAAGTCCAATTTAAGGAAATCAAAAAAATGATACAAGAAGTGAGGGGAGAAATCTTCAATGAGATAGATAGCATAAATAAGAAACAGTTACAACTTCAGGAAATAAAGGACACACTTACAGAAATGCAAAATGTTCTGGAAAGTCTCAGCAACAGAATCGAAGAAGCAGAAGAAAGAACTTCAGAGCTCAAAGACAAGGTTTTTGAATTAATCCAACGAAGACAAAGAAAAAAGAATTTTAAAAAATGAACAAAGCCTCCAAGAAGTTTAGGATTATGTTAAATAAACAAACCTAAGAATAATTGGAGTTCCTGAGGAAGAAGATACATCTGAAAGTATGGAAAACACATTTGATGAAATAATCAAGGAAAACTTGCTAGAGACCTAAACATCCAAATACAAGAATCCCAAAGAACACCTGGGAAATTCATTGCAAAGAGATCATTGCCTAGGCACATTGTCATCAGGCTATCTAAAGTCAAGAGGAAGGAAAGAATCTTAAGAGCTGTGAGGCAAAAGCACCAGATAACCTATAAAGGAAAACCTCTCAGATTAACAGCAGATTTCTCAGCAGAAACCCTACAAGCTAGAAGGGATTGAGGCCCTATGTTCAGCCTCATAATTAATTTCCATAAATAAATGGAAATTAAATAACCTCCTGAATTATCATTGGGTCAACAGCAAAATCAATATGGAAATTTAAAATTGAACTGAACAATAATAGTGACACAACCTATCAAAACCTCTGGGATACAGCAAAGGCAATGCTAACAAAACAAAACAATTACCAGCCAAGAATTTTGTATCCAGTGAAACTAAGCTTCATAAATAAAGGAAAGATACAGTCTTTTTCAGACAAACAAATGCTGAGAGAATTCACCACTACCAAGCCAGCACTCCAAGAACTACCAAGCCAGCACTCCAAGAACTACCAAGCCAGAACTACAAGAATTTGCCACTCACCACCAAGCCAGCACTACAAGAGCTGAAAGGAGCTCTAAATCTTGAAACAAATCCTGGAAACACATCCAAACAGAACCTCTTTAAAGCATAAATCTCACAGGACCTATAAAACAAAATACAATTAAAAAAAAAAGCAAGGTATATAGGCAACAAATAACACAATGATTGGAATAGTACCTCACATTTCAATACTAACATTGAATGTAAATGGCCTAAATGCTCCACTTAAAAGATACAGAATTGCAGAATGGATAAGAATTCACCAACCAAGTATCTGCTGCCTTCAAGAGACTCGCCTAACACATAGGAACTCACATAAATTTAAGGTAAAGGGGTGGAAAAAGACATTCCATGCAAATGGACACCAAAAGCAAGCAGAAGTAGCTATTCTTACATCAGACAAAGCAAACATAAAAGCAACAGCAGTTAAAAAAGACAAAGGGTGACATTATATAATGATAAAAGGCCTTGCCCAACAGGAAAATTTCACAATCTTCAATATACATACACCTAACACTGGAGCTCCCAAATTTATAAAACAATCACTACCAGACCTAAGTAATGAGATATACAGCAACACAATAATAGTGGGAGACGTCAGTACTCCACTGACAGCACTAGACAGGACATCAAGACAAAGTCAACAAAGAAACAATGGATTTAAACT
This sequence comes from Homo sapiens, assembly GCF_000001405.40. Lineage (NCBI taxonomy): Eukaryota > Metazoa > Chordata > Mammalia > Primates > Hominidae > Homo > Homo sapiens. The sequence continues at coordinate 190,493,512 of NC_000002.12, forward strand.
ATACCCTGGAACAAATGAACTTAACAGATATTTACAGAACATTCTACCCAACAACTGCAGAATATTCATCAGTGCATGGAACTTTCTCCAAGATAGACTATATGATAGGCCATAAAACAAGTCTCAATAAATTTAAGAAAATTGAAATTATATCAAGTACTCTCTCAGACCACAGTGGAATAAAACTGGAAATCAACTCCAAAAGGAACCTTCAAAACCATGCAAATAAATGGAAATTAAATAACCTCCTGAATTATCATTGGGTCAACAGCAAAATCAAGATGGAAATTTAAAATTGAACTGAACAATAATAGTGACACAACCTATCAAAACCTCTGGGATACAGCAAAGGCAATGCTAAGGGGAAAGGTCATAGCCTAAATGCCTACATCAAAAAGTATGAAAGAACACAAATAGACAATCTAAGGTCACACCTCAAGGAACTAGAGAAACAAGAACAAACCAAACCCAGCAGAAGAAAGGAAATAACCAAGATGAGAGAATAACTAAATGAAATTGAAGGAAAAAAAATACAAAAAATAAATGAAACAAAAAGCTGGTTGTTTGAAAAGATAAATAAAATTGATATATCATTAACAAGATTAACCAAGAAAAGAAAAGAGAAAATCCAAATAAGCTTAATTAGAAACAAAACAGGAAATATTACAACTGACACCACAGAAATACAAAAGATCATTCAAGGCTACTATTAACACCTTTACATGCATAAACTGGAAAACGCAGAGGAGATAAATTCCTTGAAAGACACAACCCTCCTAGCTTAAATCAGGAAGAATTAGAAACCCTGAACAGACAACTAAGTAGTGAGACTGAATCAGTAATAAAAAAATTGCCAACAAAAAAAAGTCCAGGACCAGATGGAGTCACAGCTGAATTCTATCAGGCATTCAAAGAAGAATTGGTACCAATCCTATTGACACTATTCCACAAGATAGAGAAAGAGGGAATCCTCCCTAAAACATTCTATGAAGCCAGTATCACCCTAATAACAAAACCAGGAAAGGACATAACAAAAAAAGAAAACTACAGACCAATATCCCTGATGAACATCAATGCAAAAATCCTTAACAAAATACTAGCTAATCGAATCCAACAGCATGTCAAAAAGATAATCCACCATGATCAACTGGGTTTCATACCAGGGATGCAGGAATGGTTTAACATATGCAAGCCAATAAATGTCTTTCACCACATAAACAGAATTAAAAACAAAAATCACATGATCATCTCAGTAGACGCAGAAAAAGCATTTGATGAAATCCAGCATCCCTTTATGATTAAAACCCTTAGCAAAATCAGCATACAAGAGACATAACACAGTGAAATAAAAGCCATTTGTGATAAACCCACAGCCAACATAATACTGAACAGGGAGAAGTTGGAAGCATTCCCTCTGAAAATTGGAACAAGACAAGGATGCCCACTCTCACCACTTCTATTCAACATAGTACTGGAAGTCCTAGCCAGAGCAGTCAGACAAGAGAAGGAAATAAAGGGCATCCAAATAGGTAAAGAGGAAGTCAAACTGTCGCTGTTTGCTGATGATAAGATTGTATACCTAGAAAACCCTAAAGACTCCTCCTAAAAGCTCTTAGAACTGATAAATGAATTCAGCAAAGTTTCAGGATACAAAATTAATGTACACAAATCAGTAGCTCTGCTGTACACCAACAGTGACCAAGATGAGAATCAAATCAAGAACCCAACACCTTTTATAATAGCTGCAAAAAATAAAGTATTTAGGAATACACCTAACCAAGGAGCTGAAAGACCTCTACAAGGAAAACTACAAAACACTGCTGAAAGAAATCATACATGACATACACAAATGGAAACATATCCCATGCTCATGGATGGGTAGAATCAATATTGTGAAAATGACCATACTGCTAAAAGCAATCTACAAATTCAATGCAATTCCCATCAAATACCACCATCATTCTTCACAGAACTAGAAAAAACAATCCTAAATTTCATATGGAGCCAAAAAAGAGCCTGCATAGCCAAAGTGAGACTAAGCAAAAAGAACAAATCTGGAGGCATCACACTACCTGATTTCAAACTATACTATAAGGCCATAGTCACCAAAACAGCATGGTACTGGTATAAAAACTGGCCCATGGACCAATGAAACAGAATAGAAAACCCATAAATAAAGCCAAATACAGCCAACTGATATTTGACAAAGCAAACAGAAACATAAAGGGGGAAAGGATACTCTATTCAACAAATGGTGCTGGGATAATTGGCAAGCCACATGTAGGAGAATGAAACTGGATCCTCATTTCTCACCGTATAAAAAAATCAACTCAAGATGGATCAAGGACTTAAATCTAAGACCTGAAACTTAAAATTCTAGAAGATAACATCAGAAAAACCCTTCTAGACATTGGCTTAGGCAGAGATTTCGTGACCAAGAACCCAAAAGCAAATGCAACAAAAACAAAGATAAATAGATGGGACTTAATTAAACTAAAGAGCTTTTGCACAGCAAAAGGAACAGTCAGCAGAGTAAACAGACAACCCACAGAGTGGGAGAAAATCTTCAGTCTATATATCCGACAAAGGACTAATATCCAGAATCTATGACGAACTCAAACAAATTAGCAAGAAAAAAAAAAACACCAAAGAGTGGACTAAGGACATGCATAAACAATTCTCAAGCAAAGATACACAAATGGCCAACAAACATGAAACAATGGTCAACATCACTAGTGATCAGGGAAATGCAAATCAAAACCACAATGTGATACCACCTTACTCCCACAAGAATGGCCATTATCAAATAATCAAAAAATAATTGATGTTGGTGTGGATGTAGTGAAAAGGAAACACTTCTACACTGCTGGTAGGAATGTAAGCTGTACAAACACTATGGAAAACAGTGTGGAGATTTCTTAAGAACTAAAAGTAGAACTACCATTTGATCCAGCAATCCCACTACTGGGTATCTACCCAGAGGAAAAGAAGTCATTATATGAAAAAGATACTTGTACATGCATGTTTATAGCATCACAATTGCAAAAATGTGGAACCAGCCCAAATGCCCATCAATCAATGAGTGGATAAAGAAACTGTAGTGTGTGTATGTATGTATATGTGTGTATATATATGTATATGTGTATATGTGTGTGTATGTGTGTGTGTATATACACACACACACATATACATACATACACAATGGAATACTACTCAGCCATAAAAAGGAATGAATTAATGGCATTCACAGCAACCTGGATGGAACTGGAGACCATATTCTAAGTGAAGCAACTCAAGAATGGAAAACCAAACATCGTATATTCTCACTCATAAGTGGGAGCTAGGCTATGAGGATGCAAAGGCATAAGAATGATATGATGGACTTTGGGGACTCAGGGGAAAGGGTGGGAAAGGGGTGAGGGATACAAGACTACAAATTGGGTTCATTGTATACTGCTTGGGTGATGGTTGCACCAAAATCTCACAAATCACCATTAGAGAACTTACGTAACCAAATACCACCTGTTCCCCAAAAACCTGTGGGAATAAAACATTTTTTAAAAAATAACTATCACGTGGCTTTTCCTGTTTTGACGTCTTTTTAATCATAATCCTGTAAATGGGCCTAAGGCAACACTCATTATAACCTATGCCCCACTGATGTTCTAAGTTAAATGAAAAATATATTTCTTAAATATATATGCTAATGTCTATTAAGGCCTATAAAGAGACCCAAAGATAAACATCATGTTCATTGATTCAGTACTTACACCAAGTAATGAAGTCATTGGTAACCAGCAATTTATTAATATTATCAAGCACTCTGGAATGGGTATATGGGATTCTTGGTTTATTTATTTATTTTTACCTTTGTTCAAATATGTAGAAAATGCTGAAAAAATAGTTTAAACATTCTTTTCTCTCCAGACAAGACAATGTTGGCAGAAAGAATTCCTGTTCCCTCCAGTCCCGTTCCTATAGCAACCATCGACTTGGTACAGCAACAGACAGAAGATGTCATGCCACGCATTGAGCCCAGACTTCCACCCAAGAAAACTAAGCACCAGGAAGAACAGGAAGATGTGAACAAACCAGCCTGGGGAGTCAGCTCTTCTCCCTGGGTGACCTTTGTCTATGCACTCTACCAAATTAAAGAGATGATGCAACTCACAAGAGACAACCGTGCTTCTGAGATACAGCCTTTACAGGTACAGTTCCTTTGCTGGGCTAGCAATATTACCTGTCACTCAAGATACCTTAACTGGGCTCAGTTTTAATTACTCACTTTTCATTCAACAAGATTTATTGAAAGTCTGGTGGGGGAAATAGACATGCAAACAATTTCAGTACTCTGTGAGCACTGAGTTAAAGAGGGTGTATACAAGGTCCCATAGAGAGAATATTCTGCCTTATGGAGTTCAGGAAAACTTCAGAGGTTATGATTCTTTCACTTCTTGAAAGAAATAAAATAAATTAATCCATTCTTTCATTGTATATTTGTTTTAAATTTCAGTATTGATGGTTGTCTCTGTAATTCCAAAATTCTAGTGGGGGCATTATATTATAGGACCACAATAAATATTTGTTGAATTAATTAATCTGAGCCACTGTATGGGTCTGATAGGACACCTAACTCAGTGGAATTATGGTTATGCAGGTGGCCTCACCTGAAAAATAAGTCTAAAAGTGTGATTTTTCTTGTCCCCAGAGGAGTGATCTTTCCTGAGTAAAGTTAAAGCATGTTGATAAAAGTGTGGATAATTGTACAGGTGTATCCCGACTTTGGAAAATGAGTGTAACTTCTATAAACAATTTAGCCAAAGAAATAGGCTCAGTTCCCCCATCTCATGATAATCACTCCCTTTTATTTGATAAGTCACGTCAGCTTTGTCTGGAGTAGCTTCAGAGGACACATAAAAATAAAGGGGAAAGATTTAAAAATAAGGGTCATTTGAGTAATTCCCCTTTCAGAAAATTTGTTGAACTGTTAATTAATCTCACTTTGTAAGCTAACATAAAATCTTTGTGAAATTTTAACCAAATCTGGTTCTTTACTGATAACCATATGCATGCTAGTCCATGCATGATCCTATTTATTAATTTATCAAGATAATAAACTCACATCATTACTCTGCTCAGTCAAGAACCAGATATTGTGGTGGGAGATGCATATGGAGGATTTTAATACCTTAAAGCAAGAAGACTAAACAGGAGAAAGGATGATTTTAATATCTGCTGCTTGAGTAGCAATATTTTCATTACTTTGTGTACTCATCCTCATTTTCACAGAAGCCACATAAAATTTTTGATGTGGCGCTTTTTTTCTGGTATGTTAGGATTAATAAATTTTTTTCTGGGCTGGGCATGGTGGCTTATGCCTGTAATCCAAGCACTTTGGGAGGCCGAGGTGGGTGGATCACGAGGTCAGGAGTTCAAGACCAGCCTGGCCAAGATGGTGAAACCCCGTCTCTACTAAAAATATAAAAATTAGCTGGGCATGGTGGCGGGTGCCTGTAATCCCAGCTACTATGGAAGGCTGAGGCAGAGAATTGCTTGAACCCAGCAGGAGGAGGTTGCAGTGAGCCAAGGTCACGCCACTGCACTCCGGCCTAGGCGACAGAGTGAGACTCCGTCTCAAAATTATAATAACAATAATAAATAAATAAATAAAATGTTTCTGGTATGTTAGGATTAATAAAAACTGGCAGGTATGCTGTAGTTATTCTTAGAAGTCATTATACTAAGTTTCTTTTTCTTTCATTGTAGAATCACAGAAATGAACATTTTTATTTGGGTGTTCAGCCAAAAAGTGATGGGTACTAATTTGGGGGAGAATCCATTTAAATTTTTTTTTATTTGTACAACCAATATGGCATTTATGGAAATTGCTGCTGGTGATGTTCTACTCATGGTTATTTACAGTTGGTTACACAAGTGCTTGTTTACATTCACTTCTTTATGTGGATGTTCTGTCTTATCTAACTTTTGGTGCACATTTTGAAATACCAAATATATATCAGGACTCTTAATTACAGGACATTCTTTCCCAGCTCTGCCTCCAAGGATAAGAACCCCTTATTTACCTCCTGTTAGACAAAGTGTCTTCTGGCTCTTGGATTCTGTGGTCTTAGCAAGCGGCCTGAGTTTCAGTTATTCCATAGTGCTTGCCCAGCGACTTGCCACATGGCTTGGGGGGCTCAGTAAATATTTGCTGATGTAAACTGTTTACCAAGTACTAACAGACATTTTGGTAGTAATGTTCCTTTTTCCACAAGACACGTCTGCTTATAGTGTTTGTGTTTTTCATGCGGCTCTGGCAGTTGCACATAGGAAAGGAGATGAAAGGTAAGACATTCTATCCTTATTCCTCTATTACTTGGTCCCTGAAATGGGCACTTCCGGATGATCTCCCCATGTTTCCTGTCTTACTTGAAAGCATATATAAAAAGTTGGATTTATTTGCTATCACTGATCATGGGGCATCTCCTGTTTTTTACCTCCAGGGGACCAATGAGAATAGGGAAAATTCTCCTGCTGGTAGAGCCCAGCCTGTCCCATGTGAGACTCACTCTGACCCATCTAGAAACCAGCCATCCCCTGACGCAGCAGCATCTCAGACGCAGACCAGCCCCGCTCACCCCAGTGTGGACCCGTGCACAGAGGAGAGTGAAGAGCAGCAGGCTCAGCTGGCCGCGGGAGGACACTGAGGGCATCCTGCTCATCTCACACCCTGCATGGAATCAGGCTCCTCAGCCAGGACACAGGGTGAGGCCCCCCAGCCAGGATATGCCTCCCCTGGAGGAGCACAGCACTGCATATGCTTCTAAATATCTAAACTCATTAACATGGAAACACACACACAGGAGCTACAGTACATATTGGCAGGAAAAGGTAAACTTTCGTAATCTCATTGGAATTACAACAGGGAAATGGAGTTCAATGAGGACTTTCAGTTCTTTGCTTGGTTAGGTTAAGGATGATAGAATTTCTCTGCCAGTGCAGTAAGAGTTGAAACCGGCAGTTACACTAAGTAAGTGGAGGGAATGAAAGTGTTTCGAGGTGAATGTGGATATAATTTCCCTCTTCTGATTATTTATTCTTATTTGGTTCCTAACACAAACTGGGAAGAGATAGAATTCATCTATACTTTCTTTTTTCTTGGAGAGAACCGTTTAAAAAATTACAAGATATATTTAAAAAGTAACCAGATAAAAGTAGCACATGTGCTTTTGTTAAAAATAAAGTTAAAAGTTAAAGTTAAAAAATGAAGTTAAAAGTTTCATCAGAAACTTTACATATCTTTAGCAAATATATTTTTATATGTGTATGGCATATAATGGAAATAATTCTTTGAGCAACAGAAGCTATTATTAACTACTGCAAGCTAAGCCGAGCTTAAAAATGCCTTTTGTTTTAAATGGGCTTTGAGAAAAAAAACAGAAACAAGCGATTATTTCAAATCAACCAACCAACTCAGTATCCTGTGTTTTGATAGACAAGAGTTTACTAAATATATTGATACTGTAAATAGCCTCTCTCGCTATTTACTATCTTATAGTAATTCAGGCTCTAATTAGCTGAGGGAATGAAACACACAAAAATCACTGAATTCCTAAGAGTTCCTTAAATAAGCAGTACTAGTTACAAATCACAGTATAAGATTTAAGTGCCTGGGGGAAGGATACAATTTTTAGAAATTACATATTGGGTCAGTTTTGTTTTGTTTTTGGTGAGGAAAAGGTGGTAAATAGGAAACCATGAATGGGAAGGATGGCAATAAGTAGCAACTATACTTTCCAATGACTAAAGAAAGAAAATCTCAGTATATTCGTTCTCATGAAGACACAGTCAGACACTGGACAATGTAATGTATGCAACTGCAAACGTTACAACTGCAGCCAGAACAATGGCTGGGTGGATCGCACGTAAAGCTTGCCACTAAAAATCAAAGCAGAGGTTAACAGGAAACCTGGGGGGAGTGTGGAAAAGGGAAAACTGTTTTAGCTGAATAAAGGTGAATTATATAATTTATAATAGCTGTGGATGAGCACAGGAGAGAGAGGAAAGAAAAGAACAGTCGAAATGAGCAACTCACCTTACCCTCTGACCCTGATTAGACAGGATCAATTGTAAAGTGAGGGCTTCTCCATGACACCATAGTTCTGCCCAATACTGCATTTGGGATAAGAAATTCTACACTTGGATGTCTCGCTTCACAATAAAACACAGCTTAAAAATAAAATAACTGAAAGAAATAGAATTCAGCAAATAGTTATTTTTTGCACTTGAACTGAAACGTACTGTACTGTAAATTATGACTCATTTTAAGTGACCTTTAAAATCAGATGTATTTATTATGCTTGTGTAATTATAGAAATAAAGAAATGGGTGACAGGCTTAACCTCACCTATGAATGTACAGTATGTGGATTTGTGAAACTGACTGTAGGAAGTCAAAAACTTGTACTGTATCTTGTGTTTACAGTTCTGATTTATTCCTTTGAAAAGCCTGCTGTTTTGGAAATGCACAGTTGACATGTTGAAATAAAAATGAATACCATTTTTAAATGTTTCTTAAATGATAAAGATGTGACCAAACAAAAGTCCTATACTCTAATGAATGAGACCAAATTCAACATGCCTTTGTTATGGAACATTTACTGTGACAGCAGAATCGATAATGCAGTCATTTCCAGCCTTGTGAGCTGACACCTTCATGGGTTTGTGGACTTTGTGACTTTTTCTTCCTGTCCCCAAAGTGCCATATGCTACCTTAAAAAATATTAAAGTGAATTCAAATTACATTTTGATTTGAGATTTTGTAACCCCTCTTGAGATCCCTCAACACACACAGGGGTGTCACAGAGCCCAGGCTGGTAATCACTGCCTTAATGACTTACTTCCTACTCTTTCTCCTATGGTTGTAGAAACAGTAAATTACCGAGTGCTGAGCTTGTGTGGATCCAAAGTGGTTAACTGCTAATTATTGAACTATTCCTCAAGTTTTAGGAATAGATTATAATACATACATTGTCCAGCAGGCAGTAAACCTCATGAAAAGTGTTAAGGAATTCACAGGAAGAGCAACCCTGCTTTACTGGCTTATTAATCCTGCCATGGGTCACATGAAGTGGATAGCTGGCTAATAGCTTCCCTCTAATTGGCAATTCCTTCCAGTACTGCTGAGGTACTGAGACCATTACTTAGGCAATATTCCTCTCTGCCAATTTGGAGTTCAGCAGGGAATCTAGGAAAAGGGAACCACATCCGTGGATATTGGGTGCTTGTAGTGTGCTGATGAGATTATCATTTTGCCCTTAACAAAAACTGGAGGTGTTCCTATCACTATCCCCATTTTAAACAAGAGAATTCTGAAGCTAACAGTTTAAGTTATGAGATCAAGGTCACAAAGCCAGGATTCAAACTCAAATCTTCCTAATGTCAAAGCCCTGGTCCGCTTAGCACCTTACCCCACCCCAGGAGGCAGGGAGGCCATTCCCTGCATCTGTTATGGCAGAGGAAGCCATAAAGCAGCCCAGCCTGAACCATTACCATACATGCCTGATATGTGTATGTGTGTGGTTGTATTTCCATTTAGGATTTCTAGATATTCCTAGATTCCTAGAAATGCTTCAAATTCCTGATGCTTTGTGAAATGTAGGTACACCAGACCCTTTACACTCTGCAGGTGAGTTGGCTGGACTGATAACTGCACAGGAAACCCAGAGGTTGGTAGGGACTCTGGCCAGGGCCATGGAAATCAGGAAGGGAAAGCAGACACACCCACAGCTCTGTACTGTCCGGTAGGACTTACTGGGAAGATGGGAAGTTCTCTATTTACACTGTCCAGGATGGTAACCATAAGCCATATGTGGCTATTAAACAACTGACATGTGGCTAATTTTCTGGGGAATTAGGTTTCTAATTAATTTTAAATAGCCACACGTGGCTCAAGGCTACCATACTGGACAGCACGGGTATACAGGAAGAGATCCTTTCGGGAGATCTCTGGGCCTGTTTCCTCAGCTTCAGTGTGAGAGGTTAGAGCTTAAGGTTATGTTGATTCTATGAAAATGAAGGTATGCTTTGACAGTGACTGTAGGGAAGAAAGAGGTGATTTTCCATTTGGAAGTTCTTCAGCCCTTTGGAGCATGGAGACAAGACAAAGGCTACTTCTGAAGCCCCAAACCACTCCTGGGCTTGTTTAGCAAAGCCTTGAGAATATCTGGCTTAAGAATTCCAAACCATGGGGCAGTTGGGAGAGAGGCTGGTGCCTAGGTGGGGACAGAAAAGGGGTGAAAGGGGGAGTGGTTTGTCAGATCTCAGAAAGTAATTTACACTATGCCAGGACAAACTGTGGCTTCTTATAAGGGAGTAACTGGAAACTTGCTGATGTCTAACATGGGGGGAAAGTGAGCCAGTCCGGCTAAGTGCCAGTCCAGCTGTGTACCTAACTCTCAACCAGCTGCCATCTGCTTCAAGCAGCTAATATAGGACCACTTGTCCCCCACTGTGGCTCCAGGAAAGTCCCAGTTTTTAGATGGCAACCCAAGGACCTTACAATGTTGGGGTTAGGAGTGTGCGCCCTGGAGTCACACTGTTTGCATTTGAGTCCCAGCTCTGCCAGTGAGAACTTACACACACATAGAACATCTCTGGGCCTCAGGACCCACCTCTGTAAAACGGAAGTGATTACAGTAGGTATGTAACAGGTTGATGTTTAAAATGAGTTATCTGACATACAGTGTGTGCTCCATAAATACTGCCATTGTTGTGCAGCAAAGAGCCCGGGGCAGGAGGAGCGCTGTCTCATTTCCCCAACCAGGGTCTAGTTCTATTATTTTATTGCCATTTAAATCTATAATCATATTCCATTCTCCCAATCTACAGTGCCATACTATACATATTTACCTATATCTAGTAAGCTGTACAGTAAGGCATTCAATTCCAACATGCATTGTAAACATTAAGTGGTTGGGGATATGAGTTAGTTAAGAGACAAAATTAAGCAAAACTTAAGTTGAAGAGGATGGAAAAAAGTGATGATGGTGACAATTCCATAAAGTGCAAAAGTCTGCTGAGAGAGGTTATAAGTTTCATAATTTTCATTTTTCTTTTTCTTCTTAAAGGTGTCAACAAAAGTAAACAATTTTATAATCATTTAACAAATTATATACCATACTCTCTCCAATAGTCAGTGTAGGATGCTATTCTTTTAAATTGTAAACTTACATTTGAAAAAAGGTCGGATTTTTTTTGTTTCCTGAAAAGATCACTGGCATCTTAGAAAAATAACATGTAGACCAGTGCTACTCAAAGTGTGCTCAATGACTGGTGCTGTCAAACTACTGCTGGTATGTGACAACATAGAAATTAGACATTTCAAAATATGTATGGCAAGTTGACATTGTCATGACATGATCATCGTGCTTATATTCTGTATGTCTTTTCTTTCAAAGATTATTTCATTTTTCTAATAATTTAGTGTATCTTACAAAAGTATTACTAGTGATGAACTAGAGGGAAACTGGTCCATCACCCCAGACAGTCTGAGAAGCACTGACAAGAGCCGCAGACTACAGTGTCCATTGCTGCGGGGCACAAATGACTGGTATGTGTATAACATCAGCAGATGTAGTCACCTCTTGAATGCCTTATCCATGGGGTCATTTCCTTCACTTTCTTAAAAAGATGGTAATAAATAAAGGAAGTAGAATATGAGCCCTGGAAGCAGACATATGGGGGCTTGAATTCTGATTCTACCACTTTAGCTATATGTGTCCTTCAGCAACTTTCTCCTACCTTCTCTGGGTCTTTCCTCATCTGTAAAATGAAAATACCAAAACATATCACAGAGTGGTCATGAGGTGCAAATTAAGAGGTATCGAAGGTGCCTCATATAGTGCCTGATGGATCTCTAGTCAATGTTGGTATTCTTTCCCTTTCTCTTTTCAATCAGTCTTTCTTTTTTGGAAAAACGACCAAATCTAAAAAAACAGATGCCTCAAATTATTTAAATAATAGAGAAGCTACCCACTAACTGTATCTTCCAAGATTTATATTAGATAAGTATAGTATTCATTTCAAATCTCTGGTGACCTATTAAGGTTTCACATTCAGGGATCATAACAAAAAAAATACAGTTACCTTTAAAAGATAATCCAACTCCTAGGCCAGAGAAAGACTAAAGATTTTAACACATCTGAGTAAAAATATGCCCATCAGAGGGGGTGGGATGTTTGTCAATAATGAAGATTAGAAAAACAGCAGTCACAGAGAGGAAAAAGTTGGCAGGACCTGCATAAAGGAAGGCGTGGTCTTTGTCAACAGACCTGGTATCTCATCCCATTAACAAGGCTAGCCCCACTGGGGTGGGGGGTGGCATCTGCATCAAACTCTTTGGCCTCATGACATTAACCATGTGAATTATATAACAAGCTCCCTTTGTTTTGTTTCAGTTCACCAAGTAGCCACCTTATTATAATTTGACCCCTTGTAAATCTGTCTTCTGAGAGAGAATCTGCTGGTCATATCAAGTCAAGTGTTTTTATCCTTATGCTAGTTATATTTTTGGTTGTGAATCACTACCTGTACCAACTATATGAATTGACTAACAAGAGACAGGTCTTATGGTGCAATAACAAAAAGCAGGGTTCTAAGTCAATAAGGCTAACAGTCACACCCAAATAGTTCACTCTTCAATGTCATGCCACCCAGCAGGCTCTCTCAGAAGGCAGCTTGCTCCTGTTGTCACCTAAAAGTACCTCTCTGTCTTCCTGCAGGTGTCTTCAAACTTCCACATCCATTATGTTGTCTATCTTGCTTTCAGTTGGACAAGAAAAGCTAATTTATAAAATTGTACATCTCTCACTCTGGGAAACAATCACACATAGCATAATGTAAGAGAGCATTTCTTTAGTTGACATCATTTCAGGATCTTAATTCCTCCACATATTTAGATATTTTTATGTAATCCATCATCTATTCCAAACCCTCTTAAAATCTAAATATATGAAATTTCCAGATTTTTTTAAAAAGTCATAAATTGAAATATTGTCCTTCATGTCAGATGGACATTCCCCTGTAATTCAGCCCTAGGTATTACTGGCAAACCATACAACTAATTCACAAAGCATTTTTTGTGATATGTAAAATGTGTTTTAAAACCTTTTAAAAATAACACTTGAATGATACGATTGTTTAAGCATAGCCACCTACACTATATCTCACCCACACATCTGGTGTCAAAGAGTTCAACTTGCTAACAACAGTAAGCTTTTGTAGGCACCAAGCATAAGCAGTAAAATAACAAAGGGATCTGTTAGGCTCCATAATTATACACCTATGGTGTGTGAGGCACAAAGCCAACTTCCAACCACCTGTGAAGGGCAGAGCCATTTTATTGAGTGGTCGTTTAAACTGTTCAAAGGCCTTTAAAAAGGGAGGAGGAGAGGAGACAGGAGGTGAGGGAGAAAGAGAAGGGAAGGGAGGAAAGAAAGGAGGGAAACATTTCTTGGAAGAGTTATCTGTACATTGCTTGATGGGGATTAGAATTGTGATCAGTACTATAATACACCCCCAAATCAAATGAAAACAACATAAATACACTAAAAATATCACAAGTAATGCTTCTAATTGTTTAGCTTCTCACAGTAGTCACAAAGCAGAAACTGACAAACCTATGATTTCCTCTAAAAATAAACATGGAAAACAATATCCTCAAGGACTGCTGTTGTTCTTCTCTCTTTGGCTGTTTTTACTGTGATGGTTACACCTGGCTAGCTGCCCATGAAGAGCTGCTTCCTTCCCTCAGCAGTACCTCTTCCCCCTGGCCCAGCGGCTGTCCTGGCTGGGATGTACCTGGCAGCCCCAGCAGATTGTTCATGTGTTATTTACTCATACGCATACGTTGTAGCACACAAACTGCTTCTTAGGAGACGAACTTGGTGAGCACAGGCACTGATACATCTGATACATTTATATCACCAATAAATATAATTTAAAAAAACAGATTAAACCATAAGAAAAATATTCAAACTTCTATTTACTCATAAAATAGTTACCATAAATCTGAATGGAAAATATATCCTTTGGTTTTTTAAAAATCCAAGTCTATATAAAGGCAGATTAACTTTAGTGGATATTACAAAAAAAAAAGTTCCCAGTATGAAAAGATGTCTGGCAAAAACAGACCTGTAAATACTTCAAAGAGGAACTATCATTTGAAAATCAATCTAGGAAGTTCCAGATGGATAGTCATGCTCTTTTTTCATGATTTAGAAAAACTACTTAATTTGGCTCAGGAAAGCAGCAGTGCCAAAATTCTGTCTATCCTTCGCCCATAACCTTTGTCCTGATAAAAAGATTATTTTTATGATCCCATCACAGGAAAAAAAGCCTGATTTTGATTCTCAGAATCAACTTAGCAACATCTTAACCCTGAGATTGTCTTGCCATGTTCAAATCTTTCCTCAGATCTATGTTTTGGCCTTCTTTCCTCAGGGTCAAAGCTCATAGCCCCTCATTTCAATCTGGAGTTTAATATCATGAATCAAGAAAAAAAATCATTTTATAAGAAATTGTTACAAACACCTATAGCTAAACAATTTTTTAAATGGATCAGTCAATTCAAAATATCACAAGAGCTTAAGTGCCTTCAATTTCAAAATACAAAAAAAGTAATCATAGTATCTAATCCTTACGTATGTATATAAAAATCTTACGTATGTATAAAAAACTTTAAAATGTCTTCAGAAACATTTCCCTTTATCACAGTTAAATAGCAAGTTGGCCATTATTGAAAAATAAAAAGTAAAGCCACCAACATTGTGAGGCCCATGGCTGTAGGGAGATGGCTCCTAAGCTTGCACCTGAAGATCTTGTCTACCTGAGTCAAAGGATACATCAGGGCTGGATTTCTACCAGTGCTGCATCTCAGTGTGGTCTTGCACAAGTTATTTAACCTCTCATGAGCTCAGTTCCACCACCATTAGCATTTTCCAAACGTGTTCCAAGGAATATTAATCTCATGAAAAAGAGTTCTGTGGTCAAATTAAGCAAGAAACTGCAGCACACAATTTCTCCCCTTTGGGAGATTCACAGTGCACACGAGCATTATGAATGCCTCTGAGAGATACTGAAATACATTAGTTTAACTTTATATCAATCTTAGTTGACCTCAGAATACCTTTATTGACCAACACTTGGTAGTAGCCTGTGAGCTGTACTTTGGAAAACACTGGTCCAGCATGTCTCAGGTCTCTTTAAGGACTTATACTGACGAACTATAGGAAGAGTATTGCAGAGTCTTCTGACACAGGTTCAGGGGATTAAGACCAGATTTAGTGCCCTGGTGTCGACAAAGCACCTGTTCATGCTTACTAGCCCCTTAAGAACAACGCCATTCCCCTGTTCCTAATGAAAGCCTTCATTCAAGGTAAGTGGTAGTGGCTGTCACAGAATTTTGGTATCCACCTACAGTACAATAAGTAGCAGAAGTCACCAAGAATGCTAAGTTATCTTCAAAATGGGTTGGTTTCCCTTTCCAGACTGACTTGTTTTTCTCCACAGCAAATGTTTTTGCCACCGTTCACTAGAACAGTTCTGCCTAACTTTAATAGAATCCCTGCCCTTTGCCCACTTCCTTGTCCAGAATGAAGTCAACTTGAAGGTCGCATGTCAGGCAGTACTCGGGTTAAAGAGCTGCTCTTCCAAGAAGGCACCCCCAAGGCCATACTGCTCTTCATGCAGACTGATTTCTTCAGGTGACAAGTGGCTTCCTCCAAGAACAAAGTCTGCAAATCTAACAAGTTTTTTGTTTTAAATAAAGTTAATGTTATCTCAGGAAGGTTTATTTGAAAGATAACATGTTCCCTTGCTATTTATCCCCTTTAATTAAATTTGACTTTGCATCAATACAGGGTGGCATTTACACAGTGGGTGTAAAAATGGGAATGGCTTATGTGATCCCTCTAAAAACAGCTATTCATGGAAAGGGCAGAGAATTAGGGCAGATATATAAGCACTAAGTAAGCCAAATGTACTCACTCCTGTTTTCTAATTCCTTCTTGTCTCTATTTTTTATTAGTTTGAATTTATTATTATTCATTATTTTGTTTCAAATACTTCCCCCTTCCATCTTTAATTTGAGGGCACTGTTATTTGGATAAAGTTATGAGGAAGAGAAAGCAATAAGGAAAAATTTTGGGACAGACGTCTTTCTTAGTGAACTTTAAAAATGATTTTCCAGCTGGGTGCGGTGGCTCATGCCTGTAATCCCAGCACTTTGGGAGGCCAAGGCAGGCAGATCACGAGGTCAGGAGTTAGAGACCAGCCTGACCAACATGGTGAAACCCCATCTCTACTGAAAATACAAAAATTAGCCGGGCATGGTGGCGCCCGCGCCTTGTAATCCCAGCTACTCAAGTGGCTGAGGCAGGAGAATTGCTTGAACCTGGCAGGCGGAGGTTGCAATGAGCTGAGATTGCACCATTGCACTCCAGCCTGGGTGACAGAGCAAGACTCCATCTAAAACAAAACAAAACAAAAAAGATTTTCCCCACCAATAGGGTGAGAAGCAGGTCACACATCCTATTCCACCTTCCCTTCGCATAGGGAAGTTATCTTTATAGCCTTCCCTATAAAACATCAGATAAATATTTATTCTGACATCAGCAGTTCTACTGTGCAAAGTCACAGTACTGAGAAAAGGGACCTCTGACAACTTCCACATCATCTGTTATCCAGGGAAACAGTCTATTTCTACCCTGAAGTGCCTGTACCAAACCATCATATTATTTTTTAAATCATTCTGAACTAAACTATGGTCCGAGCAGCAGAGCGGGACTTACTTGCTAGGAGTGTGGAGTCTGGAGACGACCAGCCATGAGGGAAAGTCGGGTTTTCGGCAGGCCCGGCGTAGCTCCTCCAGAGCACTGTTCGTTTCAGCATCAGCTTGCTCCCTGTACTCGTCTTCCGTAAGATATTTCACCACCAGCTCTTTTGATGTAAACCACTGCTCCATTTTCCTAAAACATGGCATGTGGTTGCAGGATTACTTCCTAATTCAATCCTTAAGATTTACAAAAATAGGCCAGGCTCGGTGGCTCACGCCTGTAATCCAGCATTTTGGGAGGCCTGGGGAGGCGGATCACGAGGTCAGGAGATTGAGACGGTCCTGGCTAACAAGGTGAAACACTGTCTCTACTAAAAATATAAAAAATTAGCTGAGCATGGTGGTGGTCGCCTGTAGTCCCAGCTACTTGGGAGGCTGAGGCAGGAGAATGGCGTGAACCTGGGAGGCAGAGGTTGCAGTAAGCCGAGATCGCGCCACTGCACTCCAGCCTGGGCGACAGAGGGAGACTCCGTCTCAAAAAAAAAAAAAAAAGATTTACAAAAATACATTTCTTAGATGGTAACAGTAATAATACTTCTTAACTTCCTCTATATCATATCTATACTTTTTTATTGCTGTTATCATGACTGAGGTATAGAGAACATGTAGTTTGGGCCTAATAGTGTATTTCCCCATTTCCTGGACTATCATAAATAATGTCCTAAGGTATTTGAGAATCAATTTCTGATACAGATGTTAATTGTATTTTTCTTCCTCGGTGATTTCTAATCACAGAGGCAATTAAAAGCTTGTTTTGTTTTGTTTTTTTATGCTTGGCCTGTTGATTTTCTTGGGCACTAATAGAAGCAAGCTTTTGAGATGTCCTTTTATGCAGACCCTCTAGAACACTGACCATTTACTCTCCACACCAAGAACCTGGGAGGATTTGTGGGATATCACTTCCACCTAGTGGTGGTGATTCTAATCCTAGAGAGAAAGAGCAAATATTGTACAAAATTTATAGTAATTTTTCCTGTATTACATGACGAGTGGATCATGATTAGAACTTTCTTTTTCCAACCAAGAAAATCCTAAATCTCATAAAATGTAGGAATCTAAAAATTTAGGAATCTAAGACTCTCATAAAAATAGTAACAATAATAAGGTTTTTAAAACATTTGTTTTATTTATTTTTTAAATTAAATTTAATTTTTTTTTTTTTTTTTTTGAGCCAGAGTCTCGCTCTGTTGCCCAGGCTGGAGTGCCGTGGCACAATCTCAGCTCACTGCAATGTCCACCTCTGGGATTCAAGCAATTCTCCTGCCTCACCCTCCTGAGTAGCTGGGATTACAGACGCACGCCACCACGCCCGGCTAATTTGTGTATTTTTTAGTAGAGATGGGGTTTCACCATGTTGGTCAGGCTGGTCTCAAACTCTTGACCTCATGATCCATCCACCTCAGCCTCCCAAACTGCTGGGATTACAGGCATGAGCCACTGCGCCCGGCCTAAAACATTTGTTTTATTTATAATGAGTTTTTAAAAATATTTTGAGGTGGTTTTAAATTTAACCAGAGATTTTGAAATATAAATGAGCATCAGAATTATTAGGATATATTTATATAATATATATTTAAGTATATATATATTTTTTCTTGAGGGTTAGGATTGATAAATCTATTATCTTTTAAAGATCTTATAGTTGATGAGCTAGATCAAGGAAACAGTGATATAATCTCCTTCTGCTTTTCTGAATACCTGTGCATGGTTTCCCTGAAGGAAAAACCCTGGATGCTAAGCCAGAAGACCTGGACATAGTCCTGGCTTTGAGATTTATTCACTATATGAACTTGGGGAATTCCTTAACAGTTCAGAGCCTCACTTTGCTCATATGAAAAAAATTAAAATGAAAGCAATAATATCTCCCTCATCTACTTCATAGGTCACTGTACAGGTTAAATGAGATATTTTGTGTAGGGTTCTTAGCACTGTAAGTGGCCTATAGTAGGTGTTCAATAAGGATAATCAAAAGAGTAGTTACCATATACTATTAAAATATAAGTAAACAGCTCTTTGCAACTAGAAAGTACTATACAAAATAAAGGTATTATTTCTCTGGTGTGTTATTTAACCTATAAGTTCCTGTTTCATCCCCTAATTCTTTATATAATTATTCACTAGCAAAATTTTAAGTTGAGGAAGTTATAGTACATTTTGATTATTATAGAACACAGCTAGTGCACAAAAGAACCATTGTGCAGAACACACTCTGCTCTTGGCAGGGAGCTGGATGGTTAAAGGGAAGGAAGAAGGAACTCTATCCTGAGTTCCTCAGGCCACAAGCCTGGCAAAGGGCCAGGGACCTGGAAGATGTTGGGGGACCAGCCTCACTGACAAAAGACCTCTGGTGTTCCGAGTCACTGTTTGCCTCGGGCAGATGGGGCAAAGAGAGACCCAGTCAGCATCAACCCTCCAACCCTGCCCTGCTGCCTTTCAGCCCCGCCAGCATCTTCTGTGCGGGCTCCCTGTCCTGTCAATGGTGCAATTTTAACCCTGTGATATTGCCACACACACACACAGTCACCAGTTCCATAAACTACCAGTCACCATAGTGTCCTTCCTCACAGCCAATTTTACCTCTTGAACATTTATTCACTCCCTCTTCTAGCCTTGGTCTCATGGTCCTACCCTAGGCCCTCATCAGCTCTCGCCTGGACCACTGTGATGTCTGATAACTGTTCTCCTGCCACAGGGGCCTCCCCTTTATATCCACCTGCTGTGCCAGAAGACAGATGGGCCACATCCCACCAGCCAATGAGTATTTATGGTCTCTGGTGTGATTTTTGTTTGTTCAATGTATTTTTATTTTTAATTATTTTTACTTTTAAATGCCAACATTTAAAAATCCTGAGATTTCACATTCTAATCGTAATTCCCATTTCCAATTTTTCTAGAAAACCAGCAGATCTGGCAATACAGGACTCATATTCCCACACATGAGCAATCAGCTCAAGCTGAGTGGTAACAGCCCCGTTTTCAATGAGGTTGCTTTGTAGAGTTTCCCACAGTCCTCCTGGTTACTGCTGCCTTACCCCTGCTCAGCATCACTCACCATAGTATCTGCCTGGGTCCTAAGCAACTGGTTTGATAACTGCTGTAGAGGCAGCAGTCAGAGTGGACCAACTAAAATGTCTCATGGTTAAACCCCACTGTGTACAGGACTGGACTAGATTGCTTAGCATGGCTGCCATGCATCTGGCCCATGCCCACCTTGCTTGCTGCACTGACAGCACTGCCTATCTCCTGATGGTACCAAACTGGGCTTTCTCTCCATCAGGAAAGCCCTCCGCATTTATTCGTCTGGTTATTTTTATTCATTCTTTAAGATTCAGCGTAGTAATATCTCTCCAGGAAAGCTCTCCTGGCTTTCTCTATATACCCTTAGTTCCTGGGCAAGTCTCCATTTTAATACTTAAAAGAGATAGAAATGTATGCCTATGTCTAGCAAGTATACCTCAAGGGCAAGAACCATCTCCATCTGTGCACCTGACATGAAAACAGCTGCTCAGACTCAATGACTGAGGAGAAACATAACAAAGCTGTCACAATAGAGGTTACTTCATTTTTCTTTTTATACTCCAAAGGCCATAAGCCTTAACTAAAAACCTAAGAGAAAAGAAAGTCCTAAATACAAATAATACCTTTCAGTCATTTATGATTCATTTCTGTTTCCTAATTCGTATCTCATAAGCACAGCTGATACCACTAAAGCAGTCTTTGACTCTAATTAAAGAAAATGTTGAATAAAAGAAGATATTTTAGGTAACCCAGAGTCCAAGTACTTCTGCCATTGACTCTAGTGAATTCTGAGTGAGCTCTAATTACCTGGTAATTGGTGGTACAGCTCTCAACGATTAATGAAGACTAGCCATGAAGATGGGATCAGATGCTTGGAGCTCTCTACCCCTACACCCCCAATCTTGCTCAGAATGAAATCTCCAGATCAAATGTAATTATGAGATTAACATGATGTGTGCAAACACTCTCCCAAATAATAAAACTAGAGCTCAAAATGTCAAATTTGCTGGGGGAAAAAAATGATACATACCACCTCATATAACTGCATGCTCTCAGTGGGTAGTGCAGACTCCAGGAGGACAT
This sequence comes from Homo sapiens, assembly GCF_000001405.40. NCBI lineage: Eukaryota > Metazoa > Chordata > Mammalia > Primates > Hominidae > Homo > Homo sapiens. The sequence goes on from NC_000002.12 coordinate 190,514,506, forward strand.
GAGGAGGATTATGGCTGCATAGGCAAACTGAGGCACGGCCACACCAGCATAGACCAGAACCAGGGAGAGGAGTCGCAGCATCCACATCAGAAGACTTCTGCTCCTGTCGTCTGCAAGGGGCCCATGCTTGTAACAAACAACAAAGCTGAAAAATCCAACTATCAAGACATAGCCTGGAAAAGTGGAAGAGGTAAAATAATATAAATTTGAATTTGAGACATTATGTGAAAAACCTGGCAGAGCCTTGACTTAAAGGTAAAAACTATTAGAGAACCTTAATTTTTGTGTTTTTTACCCCATAAAGTAAGGTTGAAAAATGCACATAGGGTGTTATTCCTTCCATATGAGATACTAGGCTGACTTTCGCAATAATTTGGGATGTACACTCATTATTATGATGATACATAAGTATGTCTGTGTTTTAGTCCAGCACCCTGGCTGGACTAAAATGTTATCATGGTTACTTTGGTCAGGAAGAAGTCACAGTTGTATGTCACCATTGGCTACAAACCCTATTTTTTATTTTTACCTTCTTGTCATGAAAGGAAAAGGTAATTTTACAGTGGAGGGAGTCACCCTCTGAATCCAATGTTCAGTCTCATCATTACGATGGTGAGACTATAAGCTATTCTGTGTCTCTGGGTATGATCCAAGGTGAAGTGCCCATCACCTCTTAGGTATTCTATCTTAAGTGTTTAATTTATATCTAACCAAGCCTTGAAGTCTAATTTCCAGTTTACAGAAAATACGCAGAAGAGAAGAATATGTTAAATTCTATCATAAAGGGGTCATCAGATAAATCTAGAAGGTGGAGATTCTACAGGACAAGCTTGGTTTCTTTAGCATATCACTATGATGAAAAAAGAACTGCTACGGATTAAAAGCAATTTACAGGACAAAACAGATACTAAATGTGGTTCTGGACCATATCCTAGTTTATATAAGCCATCAAGAATGGGAAATTTTTTCATGGCCTGGGTAATAGATGATTTTATGTAATTATTTTTCAGATAATAATTAACTGATTATATAGGAAAAGCCTCTTGTTTTTCAGAGAGGAATAGTGCAGTATTCAGGGGAGCATACCATGGTATCTGTAATTTAAAAGTAGCACAAAAAGAAGAACGAGCTAAAAATATACAATTTTCAAGTAAAACAACTTAATTGCTTTTGTTTTGAGGGAAGTGAACTTATGTGAGAAATTTGGTGCTAAAGGTTAGGAGAAAATTGATTCTCTCATTGTCCATTATTTTCTAGTTAAAATAAACAATAAAAACATTTATTTTGTAATGTAAAACAAGGAAAATAAATGGTTTCTTAGCCTCTGTGTTTCTGAAAAGGCAAGTTTTCATTAGTAATTTATAGTTAGGATTTCTCACCTTTCCTAATGAATACTTACGGGAAAGAAAGAAACAGCCACTTTTCAGAGAAGCTTTTACATTACCAGTTAGATGTGGTTAGAGCTTAACCACAATTCAGAAGCATGTGCATTCAAAAGGGACAAACACTTTTTTTTCCTCTTTTGATCATTACTACAGAAAACTAAGAAACATGTCATAGGGAAATCATCTAAAATGAGATCTAAATGAACTGAAATCAACAACAATGGGAATAAGATAAACAAAATATTATTTTTAGTAGCACCTTTCGTTAGTTCAAAATGAAAATTTAGATGTTGGAGAGAAACATCTATCAAAAGAAGGCCTCTAGTTGTACATCTCAGTTTTACCAATCACAGAGCATATTGTTTTTCTATTTACCTACCTAATACATATATCCTGTTTTCATACCACAGCCACTTCAGATCTTCCATCAACTGGCATACAATATAAACTGAGGCAAACCAACAACCAACCATTAGAGCCCAAAAGGTGCTATACTGTGTGTGGAAGAAAATAAATGACACATTTTTTGGTTCATTCACTCTCATAAAAATAAAAGCAAACAAATAAACCTTTTGTATTAGAAACTCCTACATCAAACTGATTTGAAGTCAATTTAAGAAACTCCCTAGGGTCTTAAGGTGTGGTCCACAAATCAGCAACACCGACATCACATGGAGCTTGCTGGGATGGCAGAGTCCTAGGCCCCACTGCAGACTGCTAAATCAGAACCTGCATTTCAACAAGATTCCCATCTAGCTTGCATGTACACTGAAGTTGGAGTTATAAGCACTGTTATAAAGAGTAAATTTATCTTAAAATAATGCTGCTGTTGCAAACTTTAATCAGTGTAACTGCAACACTACCAACATGAATTATTTATCCTCAACTAAGTTCAGTGTGTTATTTTATTGAAGGTGTAGCCGGGCACGGTGGCTCACGCCTGTATTTGCAGCTCTTTGGGAGGCCAAGGCAGGCAGATCGCTGGAGCTCAGGAGTTCAAGACCAGCCTGGGCAACATGGTGAAATCCTGTCTCTACAAAAAATACAAAAATTAGCTGGGCATGGTGGTGTGTGCCTGTAGTCCCAGCTACTGGGCAGGCTGAGGCGGGAGGATCACTTGAACCCAGGAGGCAGAGGTTGCAGTGAGCCAAGATCATGTCACTAAATTCCAGCCTGGGCAACAGAGCAAGACTGTGTCTCAAAAAAAAAAAAAAAAAAAAAGAAGGTGGGTTGGGGAACTAATAATAATAAAGAAATTCCCAGATGTAGCAGTGCTGTTATTCAAGGCCCCAATGGTTCAGCATCATGAGATTCCCAGCTCTATAAAGATAATAGAAATTTTCACTCAATATAGAAATAGCTTCCTATCACTCAAGAAAAACACATTACCGAGAAAGCAAAGGGGTCTCAAAAAAAGTATCATGAAAACTTAATACTCAGCTAAGCCTACATATAGTAATAAATAAAATCAGGAACTCCAGAAAAAGATACATTTTAGAGCCAGTTTACATAATGAAGAAACATAATTTAAATTAGAACCTATCATAATGTGAATTAATTTTGATTAATTTTTCATGTCTGTAAGATCATGATTTCCATTTTTTACTCATTTTCACATAGTATGCCTACCTTCGGAATGAATCTTTTCACCAACAGCAAGACAAAGACTAATGTCATTAGAACACCTAGCACAGTTCCCGAGGAGTAATAGAAAGTAGGGCTTCTGTCAAGATAAGCAGATAAAAGCTATTTAAATGCCAAAAAGCACTTTGAGTATGAAAAACATGTTTAACCTGGCAACATCAGTCATAAATAACACTAAGAACAGAAAACTCAGATGGCAGCTCTCATTACATCCTATACTCTTAAAAAACAAAATGGGTACTTGAAATTTATGGTAAGTTGCTTGCCACTAACTCAAAACAGAATGTCTGAAGTATTTTTCATATTCAGGATCTGATCAGACAATAATTACTGAACACCTATCATGTAGCAGGCACTTTTCTAGGTTTTAGAAAGGAGAAAATTAAGGCACCAAAAAGTTAAAAAATCTTCCCTAAGTCAGTATCTGCTCAGTGGAGGATTTGGGATTACAGCCCAGCTCGTCAGAGTCCAGGCTTTATTCTTCATGCTATGTATGCATCATCTGGTTTCTAAAGTTCATGGATGACATTAAACACACTTGGTAATACTATAAGGAAAAGCTTCAAAATGAACAATGTTAAGAATAGCTGACGAGTGTTGGGTACTAACCTAGAATCTACAAGCTAAGAAGTAAAATATTGAAAAAAAGATTTCTTTCTCATGAGAGAATTCCAAGAAGCAAAACATCAGAATAATATGTTTCTCAGATGAGAACTTGTCAGTAATAAAAAAGAAAATGATAATGTTTCTCTAAGAGTCAGAAATTTGCTATATTCAGCCTTCTGTATCACGGTCATAAATCTAGTAGGTGGCTCTAATGTAATAGAGCAAGGTGTGTGGACCAGAAAACCAGGGAACAAATCTCCAGCCCTGATAAGAACTAGTAGTGTGATGAAGGATGTTGCTTTTCTCATCTATAAAATGAGAACAATAATACAGAGCTTGCATAGTTATCAAGATCTAATAAAATGTTAATACATAAAATATGTGAAAGCACTTTGTAACATATACATATCACACGATAAAAATAAATGTTACTGTTTTCAAAGGCCTTTCCAATACCATCTTCAGACCTATTGTTTGCAAAACCTAAAGTAAGAACTACAAATGCACAATAGTGTGAAAATACTTAGCATGTGGTCAAAAATGATCTAAATCCCTTTTCATTCACAAAGTTAAAAATATAAAAAGGAATACTTACTGACTCAGGGTCCTTGCATAAAAGAAAAGAAAAACTCCTGCCACAAACACAAGGAAGAGTTTGAAATCCATGACTGGAGTAAAAAAGACACACAAACACATAACAAAGATTTTTTATCAATGTAATGTTGGTAAAAGAAGAAAAAAGTCAATTTATTGAAAAGTTACTCCAGAAAAACTGAATCCAGAAAGTCAAGTATAATAAAATCGGACTTACTGTTTCGATTCACATGTATCATATAGTTAAATATCTTCTTGACAGGCTCCACAGAGAAGCACACAGTCTCCCTGTATGGATTGATGATTATGGTTATTTCGTTAGATTCCTTTGGTATCCAAAAGTTATGAATCACACATTTGATAAAAGATAGAATGTTTTCTGGATATTGGCAATTATGTCTTTCTGCGATATATACAATTCTGAACAGGCCTGGACTGGTAATTTTCACCTGTAAAACAAGAACAAGCAAATCCATAAACAGAATAACTTCTCTTTTTTGTTTTGGAGACAGGGTCTCCCTCTGTTGCCCAGAATGGAGTGCAGTGGCAGGATCTCTGCTCACTGCAACCTGTGCCTCCAGGGCTCAGGTGACCCTCCCACTTCAGCCTCCCAAGTAGCTGGGACCACAGGCACATGCCACCTGCCCAGCTAATTTTTGTATTTTTTGTAGAGATGAGGTTTCGCCATGTTTCCCAGGCTGGTCTCGAACTCCTGGGCTCAAGCTGTTTGCCTGCTTCAGCCTCCCAAAGTGCTGGGATTACCGGCATGAGCCACTGCATCCAGCCAAAACTTCTTAAAAGCTTCTTAAAAACATGAGCAGAGGAGTAAAGATAACTCAAAGTCAGCTGAAAAAAGAATACTCAAATGCGCAGGGTAGAGTTCTATGTTCTGATCCCAGAGGTGGACTCAAGAGATCTGTATTTAGTCCAAACACACGCTGAACCACAGACATTATTGAAAGTGAATGCTTCTCCCTCCAAGCTGTGGCTGATTTAAGTCCCTCTTCTAGCAAGTTATTGTGGCCAAGAGACATTAAAAAGGATAAGAAGAATGTACAGGCATACCCATTTTATTGTTTTACATCACTGTGCTTTGCAGATAGTGCATTTCTTACAAACGGAAGGTTTGTGCAACTCTGTGTCAGGCAAATCTACTGGCACCATTTTTTCAACAGCATGTGCTCACT